>NC_000023.11:16379912-16682942 GCF_000001405.40 Homo sapiens
AAGGATCACTTGAACCCGGGAGGCAGAGGCTGCAGTAAGCTGAGATCCTGCCACTGCACTCCAGCTGGGCAACAGAGCAAGACTCCTTCTCAAAAAAAAAAAGTGTATGATATTCTCAAAGTTATTGAAAAGGCATTTTATAAAACAAATTCCCCATTCTTTAACTATTATAAAACTAAAATTAGAAAAGCATAAACTTGTAGGATTTTTTAAAGTCTGTATCAACCTCTAAGATCAAAAACAAGGCAAGGATGCCCAGTCTTGCCACTTTGATTCAATGTAATATTGAAAATCCTAGCCAGAGAAATTAGACAAGAAAAAGAAATACAAGGAATTCAAATGGAAAATGAGGAGGCAAAAGTATCTCTGTTTGCAGATGCCATGATTTTGCATGTAGAAAACCCTAAAGATTCCAGAAAAAAAAAAACTGTTAGAATTAGACAAATTCAGCAAAACTGTAGGATACAAAAGGAACACTGAAAAATCGGTTGTGTTTCTATACACTAATAACAATTTTAAAAGGAAATTAGGAAAACAGTCCCATTTATAATAGCATCAAAAAGAATAAGACACTTAAGAATAAACTTAACCAAGGAGGAAAAAGACTTGTACACTGAAAACTATAAAACATTGCTGAAAGAAATTAAAGAAGACCCAAATAAATGAAAAGATATCCCATGTTCATAGATTGGAACACCTATATTTAAGATGTCCATACTACTCAATGCAACTTACAATCCCTATCAAAATTCCAATGGCATTTTTTGTAGAAATTTTTAAAATGCTAAAATCCAAATGAAAACTCAAAGAACCTCTAATAGCTAAAACAATCTTAAGAAGGAAGAACAAAATTGGAGACCTCATAACTTCTAATTTCAAAATATATTGCAAGGCTACGGTAATCAATGTGTCTGTTCCAACTATGCCTATTGGAACCCAAAGCTGGGAAACTCATCTGCCCACTTGGCCCTTAGGATTCCTCTGCCATCCCCATCCCTTGTGCAGGCTGTGTGCCCCTCTCTGTGGAGGTGCAGTGCAGACACAAGCAGCAGCAGGGGCCTGGCTTCCAGGGGAATTGCTGGGCTAGTTTGGGGAAGGAAGGAAGCCCCACCTATCATGTCCACCCCATAGCCTGGAAGAAGCTCCATGCCAGCAGGAAAGACCAACATGGAAGCCACAGCCCTGCTAATTCTGTGGCTCATCAATCCTGCTGAACAGCCCAGCTACCATCACCACATCCCATTATCAGGGCCTCCTGTCCCCACATTTCCATCTGCCCGTGGACAAACATGCCTCTCTTCCTGTCAGTCCAGAGTAGACCCAGCTGGTGGCTGATATTTTTCAAGTAAACTTTCAATGAGAAAATTAAAAAACAATAACAAAAACAAAAACAGTATGATACTGGCATAAAGACAGACAAATAGACCAATGGGACAGAATAGAGAGCCCAGAAATATACCTTCATGTATATGATCAAATAGTTTTCAACAAGGATGGCAAGACTACACAATGGGAAAGGATAGTCTCTTCAACAAATAGTGTTGGGAAAACTGGATATCCAACATGCAAAAGAAAGAAGTTGAATCCTTAATCTTATGCCATATACAAAAATTAACTCAAAGTAAGTTAAAGAACTAAACATAAGACCTGAAATATTATTAAACTCCTAGAAGAAAATATAGGAGAAAAGCTTCATGATATTGGAATAGGTAATGATTTCTTGGATATGACACCAAAGCACAGCCAACAAAAGCAAAAATAGACAAATGGGTCTATGTCAAACATAAAAACTTCTGTCCAGCAAATGAAACAATCAATAGAGTGAAAAGGGAACCTATGAAATGGGAGAAAATGTTTGCAAACCATACATTGGATACAGGTTAATATTCAGAATATATAACTTACTTCTACAACTCAATAACAGAAAAACAAATAACCCAATTTAAAAGTGGGCAAAGAACTTGAATAGACATTTCTCTATAGAAGATGTACAAATGGGCAAAAGCATATGAAAAGATGCTCAACATCACTAATTATCAAGGAAAATACAAATCAAAACCACAATGAGATATCACCTCACACCCATTAAGATAGTCACCATTAAAAAAACAGAAAATAGGCCAGGTGCAGTGGCTCACGCTTGTAATCCCAGCACTTTGGGAGGCCGAGGCAGGTGGATCATCTAAGGTCAGGAGTTCGAGATCAGCCTGACCAACATGGAGAAACCCTGTCTCTACTAAAAATACAAAATTAGCCAGGCATGGTGGCGCATGCCTGTAATCCCAGCTACTCAGGAGGCCGAGGCAGGAGAATCACTTGAACCCGGGAGGTGGAGGTTGTGGTGAGCCGAGATCACGCCACTGCACTCCAGCCTGGGCAACAAGAGCGAGACTCCATCTCAAAAACAAAAACAAAAAAAAAACAGAAAATAGTAAGTGTTGGTAAGGATGTGGAGAAATTGGAACCCTTGTGTACTGTTGGTGAAATTGTAAAATGATGCAGCTGCTATGGAAAACAAAAATTAAAAATGAAACTACCATATGATTCAGCAATCCCACTTCCGACTATATATCCAAAAGAATTGAAAACAGGATCTTGAAGAGCTGTTTGTACACCCATGTTCATTGCTGCATTATTCACAACAGCCAAGAAGTGGAAGCAACCTAAATGTCCATTGCTATATGAATGGATAAAGAGAATGTGGTATATACATACATACATATATACATATTCAGCCTCAAAAAAAGAAGGAAATCCTGTCATATACTACTACATGGATGAACCTGGAGGATATTATGCTAAGTGAAATAAGCCAATCACAAAATGATAAATACTGCATGATTTCACTTATTCAGTAACTAAAGTAATCAAACTCATAGAAACAGAAAATAGAATAGTGGTTTCCAGGGGCTGGGGAAAAGGGAAAAGGGAAGTTGTTCACTGTGTATAGAGTTTCAGCCATGCAAGATGAAAGTGTTCTATATATCTGCCGTATAAAAAACATGCATATAGTTAGCAATACTATACAGTACACTAAAAAATTGTTGAGGGTGAATATATGTTATTTTTTTACCACAATTTTCCTGTATCAAGCAACAGCCAAGATACATTCAACAGTAGAGCCATAGAAGCACTCCATTAAAATAAGATATAAAAAAGCATTCTCACAATAATCATTAATATTTAATATTATTTTCATTCTGTCAATTTGCAATAAGATATGAATCAGAAACAAACATAAAATTGTTATTTGCAGGTAATACTATACAGATATAAAACAAAATAAAATCCACCTAAAAATTATTTAAAGTGATAAGGAAGTTCAGTAAAGTGATTGCACACAAGGTAAATATACAGAAATTAATAGTTTTCCTTCCCAATAGTAGCCAAAAAGAATAAATATTTGAAAAACAGATCACATTCACAAGAGCAACAAAGACATAAAATACCCATTTGTTAAATATGTAGAACCCCTATGATAAAAACTATATTTTACCAAGACATATAAAGAAAGACTTATGTATATAGAATCCTGCCATATTTCCGGCTGTCATGACAAAACATTATAAATATGCCAATTATTCCTAAAATGACTTATAGATTAAATTTCAGTAAATAGTCCATTTTTAAAATTTAAAAATATTTGTCTCAGAAATGTGAGTTGTGATTTCATCTTTCATTCTACCCATCTTTGTAATTTCGAGAAAATGAAAAACACTAAAGGTTTGGGCTATGATGATGTCAATGGGATTAGGGGAGTATCCTGGACTTCTGGAAAACACATATGTTCCAGAATCAGGAAGCATGTTCATGCCATGCCATCGTGTCCCCAAGCACATATTTTCTCTTCTATTAAATAGTCACCCAATGATTACTTCCATCAACATTTTTCCCTTCTCAACTAGTTGAAATTTAGTATTTATGTACATCTGAGTATTTGCCTACTTATCTATTGATTATGGACTTGGTGGATGACCCCGAGGCCCAACCTATCTAGAATAGTCCAGATTTTTGATATGCTGAAGATCATGAGATGTCAAAAACTCACAAAGAGAAAATGGGAGATGAGTTGAATCGTCGTTTGCAGCATCAGGCTGATTATCACATATCCCTACAGTGTTCCTCCAGCCCCACTATTATGCACTGTGGAAGAGGTTTGCTAATGCTAGGCTGCTTTGGCAGATTCTTGAGCACTCTGTAACTCTCTATAAAGGACTCACACACTGGAGATAAGATTAAATTATTATGTGGGTCTTATGCAACCCACCAGATCTGACCCTTTCATGTATTGGTCAATAATTGGTCCTTGTCCTTTTTTTAAATTATCCCAGGACACCAATGGGCCACAATTCTGGGAAGGAGGACCTCCTGGTCCTGGGAATTATTTGGCACTTTAAGAGGTGATTCAAGGGGCCCATGTCCCTCCATTGTGGCTCCAAGACCTCCAGGGCATAGTTCTTTTTTTTTAATTTCAACTTTTATGTTAGATTCAGGGGGTAAGTGTGCAGGTTTGTTACATGGGTATATTACATGATGCTGAGGTTTGTGGTACAATTAATCTCCTCACCCAGGTAGTGAGCATAGTACCCAATAGGTAGCTTTTTTTTAGCCCCTGCCCCCTCCCTCTCTCCTCCTTTTTGGAGTCCCCAGTATCTACTGCTTGCCATCTTTGTGTCCATGTGTACCCATTGTTTAGCTCCCACTTATAAATGAGAACCTGCAGTATTTGGTTTTCTGTTCATATGTTAATTCACTTAGGATCATGCCCTCCAGCTGCATTCCATGTTGCTGCAAAGGACATGATTTCATTCTTTTATAGTATTCTTTATCCAGTCCAGGGCATAGTTCTTATCTCCATGGTCAAAGAGAAGTATCCTGGCTAGCAGGAAAAGGGAAGAGTAAAGGAGTTGGAAACTGCACATTATCAAATGGCAGTGAAGAGAACTTGGTCACAAAGACACACCTAATCCCAATGGGGAGGTGGGAGTGTAGATTCTAGTGCCCTAGGACAAGGGGAGAATGCATTCAGAGGACAACCAGTTGCCTTTCACAGTTCTTCACATGGAGTACAGCAGTGAATGGGCACAGACTGAAACATTTGAGAACAATGCCTGGAGTTCCTGCTTCATCACCTGCACACTGTGTGCCCTCATTTTAAAATCATTTCTCCCTTGATAGTGTTGACCTGTCATAATGGCATGTTTTCCCAAATGCATTGCTGACTGGACTAGATAAAGAGGAATGTGCTAAAGAAGACCTCATGCGTTTGCAGAAAGATCTTAATACACAAGTCTTAAAAACCAACACCTTTAGGGTAACTGTCCCTAAAAAGATGTTTCAGAAATTGTAGTTAACATTTGATTACATGTAATCATTTCAAATTTAGCAAAGTCCTTTCTGGGTTTGGCTAGGTAACTTTTTCCCTCTTGCTTTTCATATTTCACTGATGTTTCAAAACCAATTTCTAGAGGAAGGG
Source organism: Homo sapiens (assembly GCF_000001405.40). Classification (NCBI taxonomy): domain Eukaryota; kingdom Metazoa; phylum Chordata; class Mammalia; order Primates; family Hominidae; genus Homo; species Homo sapiens. The sequence goes on from NC_000023.11 coordinate 16,385,389, forward strand.
CTTGTCAATTTATACCAATCAAGTCCAAAATGGCCTCCTAAATGTATTTTTCTCTGGCTTTGTGTTCTTCGTTTATCACATGCTTTGTCATTGGTAAACCCAAGGCCATCTTACAGTCCCTCTTTTACTGAAAATGAATCACATTTATTTATAACTAAGACACCCTTAAGGGAAAAGGAGAGACCAAAGCAGCTGGTTTACTTAAGTACAGAACCAAGAAATGCAATTTACCTCCTCAGTCTTTGCCCACCCTTTCCAAAGGCCATAATATATCCCTCAAAATAAGCACAATTGACTAAGATGTACTGCAACTGCAGGAAAGGAGATATTGTTCAAAAACATAACCTTTTGACTAAAAAATATAATCATCTCATTACTGGCATAGATCAGAATAATCCAGACAACTGCATTTTATATGAAGATTGGTCTAAATGGAACCCGGAATTAACTCTAAAATGAGTGAGTGTTTGGAAAAATAAAGTAGTTCTTAGGTAGTGAAGGCTCTGAGCTGCTGATTGTGTATCTGTGTTGGATAACACCTTAAAATGCGTAAAACCTCACCAATAAAGAGGCTTCTTTGTGGCTGTTTTTCTATAAACCACAGAGCACTTCTGTTTACTTTTACTAAAGAATGAGATGAATGCAAGCTGAAGAGTAGCAAATGAAGTGGCTGTCAACAGACACTTCTAATGGATAAATCTATTTAAAAAAAAATCAGATTGCTCTTTGAATTGGGAGAAAAGGATAATAGATGCTGGCAGAGCCACCTGAGGCAATTTGCCTGGATCTCAGAAAGGTATTTGCTAACCTTGGCACAGTAAACTAATAAATAAAATAAAGAAACTTAAAAATCAGTGCTAACATTCATACATGAAAATTATCCTGGCTGGAGTTTGAGGTATATTATTTTAAACAGAGGGATACCACATTGTCATGGTAACTAAGACAGAAAAGAACTCCTGGTATTTGCTTAGGCAAGGCAAGCTATCAAATAAAATTCTTTTCTAAACAATAAAGTTCTTTGACAGAAAACATGTAGGTTTCCTATATAAGACTAAGCATATAATCTAAGTAAATCTTGTTAACTTTAATGTTTAATCATTGCTTTTACATAAAGGGAAATCACTCTTGCCTGTTAACTCAAATTGTAATTCCTTAATTTTTTTTCTTGGAAACCCATTTGCAAAAAACAGTGTGCTTCCCAGGCACATAGTTTAATACCAAAGGCATGGCAAAGAAGGCTTTTATGACCTGCTTCCAACATATGTCTCAACATTAATTTCCCTCATACCCATGTTCCTGCCATGTTCTTTAAGCTCTAATTATTTAAGAATATCCATTATTTCTAGAACAGGCCATTTGCCTCCATCTAACTTTGTCATATATTATTCCCTCCATCTAGAATGCTCTTCCTGCTTCCCTTACCTCCCCCACCTCCCACCTAACAGCCTAGCAAAATCTTACTTATCCTGATCTCATTAAGAAACAGTTCCCCAAGATCATGTCCTTTGCAAGGACATGGATGGAGCTGGAAGCCATTATCCTCAGCAAACTAACACAGGAACAGAAAACCAAACGCTACATGTTCTCACTTATAAGTGGGAGCTGAACAATGAGAACACATGGACACAGGGAGGGGAACAACACACACTGGGGCCTGTCAGGGGGTCGGGAGGAGGAGAGCCTCAGGATCAATAGCTACTGCATATGGGGCTTAATACCTAGGTGATGGATTGATAGGTGCAGCAAACCACCACGGCACACATTTACCTATGTAACAAACCTGCACGTCCTGCCCAATGTATCCTGAAACTTAAAATTAAATTAATTTTTTTTTTTAAAGACAGAGTTTTGCTCTGTTGCCCAGGCTGGAGTGAAGTGGTGTAAGCTCGACTCACTGCAACCTCTGCCCCCCGGGTTCAAGTGATTCTCCTGCCTCAGTCTCCTGAGTAGCTGGGATCACAGGCATCTGCCACCACGCCCAGCTAATATATATATATTTTGTATTTTTACTAAAGACGGGGTTTTGCCATGCTGGCCAGGCTGGTCTCAAACTCCTGACCTCAGATGATTCACCTGCTTCAGCCTCCCAAAGTGCTGGGATTGCAGGCGTGAGCCACTGCGCCCTGCCTAAATTAAATTTTTTAAAAAAGAAACAGTTTCCATGTCTCTTCCTTTGTGAAACTGTCCCCAAGCAAAGTTAGTTCTCCTTTCCTTTGTTCCCCGACAGTCCATACACCAACTTCAGGCATGGCTGTACTCTACTACAATCCCCTGCTTACATGCCAATCCTCCTATCCAGGGCATGAGCTCCCCAAGGACATAGACATACTCTCAAACATCTTTGAATTCCCAGGGTCTTCCCCATAGCTACTGCCCAATGCATGTGGGATAAAGGAACTTAAGTGTAATGACTGCTGTTGGTTCCCTGCCCGTAGCTTCTTGCCTCTTACTTTTTCAAAGCACATCAGTTCAAGTTCTGTGAGTACCTGTGATGTTTTGCCAGGGGGCTTTCTTTGGCTACTAAAGCCTACTCTTCCCACACCCAAGCTGAAAGCATAGGACAGGCTAGAGGTACAGGAGTAGTCTTCAACCAATGACTGACATGAGCTAGTGGATAAAGACTCCATTCCACTCACCCCTTAGAAGGGAGGACTCTGAGTTGCATGATCTACACTGTCAATCAGAATTCCCCAGAGTCAGATTAAGCTTGAGTTGCCCTTAGTTTTTATGTCTTTTTTATTGATATATAACAGATGCACATATTTGGGAGTATATGTGATAATTTAATACATTTATATAATTTGGAAAGATCAAATCCGTGTAATTGGGATAATCATCACTTTAAATATTTAACTTTTCTTTATGTTAGAAACATTTAAATTATTCTCTTCTAGCTATCTTGAAATATACAAGATTATTGTAAACTATTGTCACCCTACTGACCTATTAAACACTAGGTCTTATTTCTTCTATCAAACTGTATATTTGTACCCATTGATCAACCTCTCTTTATCCCTCCTCCCACCTACCATTCCTGACCTCTAATAGTATCAATGTCTTGAAAACACACCCTGCAATGACTTCCTTTCCTTTTCTATCTAATTTCCCCACTCTGCTACTGGTGTTTCCTAGAACCATGTCCCACATAAACTACTTGCAATCAAATCCTTGTCTCCAGGTTACCTTGTGAGGGAACCCAAATTAAGAAAATAAAATACTGAGTTGAATGTAGCACAAAGTTTCAACGGGGTATCAGTCAAGATGAGTGTATTTTTTTAGAGATTGCTTGATTTGACTTGCTCTTTAAGATCAAATGCATACTTTCCTAGATCACCTGCCCCAAAATTGGAAGTTTTGACTTATTTCTTGAAATAATAGATGGCTTTTAAGGCTGTTTAAGCAAAAGAATAGCATAACAGAAGCAGTGTTTTAGGAAAGCTATTCTGGCAGCAGTATACGGATAGATGGATGATAAAAGGAGGACACTGGGGAAGCTGAGTAGTCATTGCTAATGCAGGAATTTTCAGATAGGAAATGAAGGTCTGTTCTAGGATAGCAGCCTCGGAAATAAAAAGTAAAAGGCAAATATGAATGATAGTGAAGAAACAAATAGCTCAATCATTCCTGTCAAGCTGTGACTATTTGCCAGTTGCTACTGAATCCAAAGAGAAGCAGCAGAGTATAGCACAAAAAGACAAGGCCTGAGCTCCAGCTGAGCTTCTGCTAATGACTCTTGGTCAAGTCGCTTGGCTTCAGCTTCCACATCTGTTAATCAAGACAGATGAGAACAATAATTCCAACCCTGCCTGCTTTTACAGAGTTTTTCCAACTATTTAATGAGATGCTGTCTATAAAAATGTTTTGAAAGTTATAAAGAGCTAAAGACATTTGATATACTTTTACTGCAGAATATATACATGTCATAATCTCAGTCTACAATCAAAAGTAAGAAAGAATAATCAAGCATCACAACAGTAAAAAAATGGCAGCATTATACATCGATCAAATGCTATTGTAAATTGAGCAATGCAGACTATTAGATACAAGAAATTATAATAAATGTATTAATCTTGCAACCCACTGAAAGCAAAAGAACTCAATGAAAGGAGGAAAAAACACAGTGAGCTGGATTTGGCAGAAAAGCTATAGTTAAACGTTTCATATATTTATGATCAATTGATTTTCGACAAGTGTGCCAAGACAATTAAATGGGGAAAGAATAGTCTTCTACAAATGCTGCTAGGGCAACTGGATATCCACATGCAAAAGAATGAAATTGGACCCCTACTTTACACCATACACAAAAAATTAACTCAAAAGGACCATAGACATAAATGTAAGGGCTAAAACTATAAAACACTTGGAAGAAAATATAGGAGTATATCCTTATGACCTTAGGTTGGGCAATCATTTCTGAGATATGACACCAAAAGCATAAGCTACAAAAGAAAATAATACATAAATTGTGCTTCATCAAAATAAAAACATTTGTGCTTCAAAGGACACTATCAAGAAAGCGAAAACTAAAACCCACAGAATGGAAGAAAATATTTGCAAATCATATATCCGATAAGGGTCTAATAACCAGAATATATTTCTTAAAACTCTTGTGACTCAACAATAAAAAGACAAATAACCCAATTTTAAAATGGGCAAAGGATCTGAACAGACATTTCTCAAAAGAAGATATATAAATCACCAATAGGCACATGAAAAAATGTTCACTATCATTAGTCATCAGAAAAATGCAAATCAAAACCACAATTAGATATTACTTTACATCGATGAGGATGGCTATAATAAAACAGAAAGACAATAACAAGGGTTGTGAGGATGCAGAGAAATTGGAACCCTCATATATTGCTGCTAGGATTATAAAAAGGTGCAGCCACTTTGGAAAACAGTCTGGCACTTTCTCAACATGTTAAATAGAGAGTTACCATATGACCCAGCAATTCTGCTCCTTTTTAGATGCCCAGGAGAATTGAAAACATGCCTACACAAAAACGTGTACACAAATTTCATAGCAGTACAAAGTGGAAACAACCCAAGTATCCATCAATCAATGAAGGATAAACAAAATGTGGTACATCCTCACAGTGGAATATTATTTGGCTATAGGAAGGCATGAAGTACTGATTCATCCTACCACTGTTAAAAAACAGTAATGCTAAGTGAAGGAAGTCAGTCACAAAAGACCACATCTGAATGCATTTATGAAATTTCCAGAATAGTCAAATCCACAGAGACAGAAAGTATATTAATGGTTATCAGGGACTAGGGGAAGGGAGCAATGGGAAGTGATCACTAAGGGGTACAAGGTTTATTTTTGGAGTGATGAGGATTTTTTGGAATTAGATAGTAGTGATGATCACACAACTTTGTGGACACACTAAAAAACACTGCATTGTACACTCCAAACAGGTATAATTTATGGTATTTGGATTGTATCTCAATTTTAAGATTGTATATTATGTTATTCCATTTCTTTTTTTTAATTTGTTTATCTCCTCAAATTCCTTTTACCAGTGATTCCATTTCTATAACATTCTTGAAGTAAAAAAATATATAGTGATGGAGACTAGATTAATGATTGACAGGGCATACGGTTGAGGGAGGGTGTAACTATAATGAGGTAACATGAGGGAGTTCTTGGGATGGAACAGTTCTGTTACACGTATCTATAAATGTTATAGAAATTCATAGAATTATATGAGAGAGAGAGGGAATGTAAAAACTAATGAAACCAAGTAAAGTATGTAGTTGAATTAATAGAGTTGTACCAATGTTAGTTTCTTAGTTTAAATAATGCACTATGGTTATGTAAGATGTTATCATGGGGAGAATTTTTTGTAAGAGATGTTACAAGGGAAAACTGGATGAACGGCACATGGGAACTCTCAGTACTATTTTTGCAACTTCTTGTGAATCAAACTATTTAAAAGTTAAAACATATATACAAATAAATTGTTTTTTAAAAACCATTCATGGTGCGACCTAGACACAAGCAGGTAAGTCCCAACCACAATCTCCCTTTGCTCAGGGATTTAAACCTTTGAGATTTGTTCCTGGTTGCCTAGAACTCAAGATGACAGGTCCCCCATGTGATTTACCTTTCCCCTGAATATCCAAAGCTAAGTGATTTCTGCTCAGCTCTCCCCCGGCCTCTGCTGCTTGGTTTCTAGAGCAAAAGCCTTTTCTGTCTGAGCCCTTACTCTTCCTACTTGGATCACAATTGCAAGAAAACCCACCTGCCACACAACTCAGGGGAATCCCCTCAAGTCTGCCCACCAGCCTCAAAGACCTCTCTGCTGACCCAGTTCAATGAACTTTCCCACAACCCATGCATTCTCCATCAACCCCTTCAGTCGCTGTTTTACCTTTTCTGGTAAGGAGAGAAAACTGCTCCTATTTTGTGTCCTATAACCTTCTCCCCCTACACATCAACTCCCTAGCCAGTCTGGAGAGCCTTTCCCTTATGCAGGAATCTCTTTGTCCTTTTCTTAGGGATCCACTTTAGCACTTCAAATAAAATCATCCTCTACTCACACTTCCTTTACACATCTCGCACTCCTACTCAGCAGCCCTAAACCAGGGTACCCAATGGGCTTTTGGGGGATGTGTTTCCTTCCATTATTCAGCATCCAGAGCCTGGCTCAGAACAAGGGTGCACAGGTAATTGACAATAATCCTATCCTTCCTTTTAAATATTAAGGCGTGTAACACTCTAATTTTATTTTTAATCCCATGAATCCATTGGTTTCTCCCCACCACCACCACCACTCACCCTCCACTGTGGAGTAACCCCCTTTTAAATTCAAATTCTCTTTTTCTCTTTTTGAGGAAGGAGTTACTTTGGCAAAACCTGGCATTGCCTAGGCGCTGATAACCAAACACGACAACATCCTGTTGGCTATATTACTAGTGTAAGTAAATAAATATGTCCATCAAGACCCAGGGTCCTGATTAATCCAGAAAATTGCTTGAGTATCCATCTAGAAATTGTCATTAGTGCAAGATGAAGGATTTCAGAGGCATGGAAATTGGAAATTGACCTATTAAGATCCAGTGGCTCCTGCTGTCAGAAATATTGTAAAATCAATTTGTCAGCAGAGCTACAAATGCCTATGGGAAGTTATGCTTTGCGGATGTTTCCTCTGGCATGAGGCCTTCCTCCTCCCATCAGGTGTCAAGATGGTCTCTGGTTGTGATGACACAGGTACTCTGTGTAACACGCTCCACTCTTGCCAGCTGCATAGTATTCCTTGGTGTTAAAATCAGCACTTCAGAGATTTCCATTTCCTTTGTTGTTGGTGAGAAACTTTCACTTCAGGTCCTTGGAGCTGTTATGATTATTTTATATTTATTTTTAATATTTATATATTTAATCTACTGAAATATTTTGTTTATATATTTGATATTATTTAATATATTCAAATATTTCTATTTTATATTTACATATTTCCGTATTTTATACTTAATGTTAATTGTATTTGGCCTCAGTAGCAACAACATCAGAATAAAATTTTTCCTTGAATCTCAAATTACTAGTGAACAGATGTCTTTTTATGATGTGCCTATGGTTTTAGAATAAGTTCTCTTTTCGAACATTGTGAAATAGTAGAAAAGGCTCAGAATAGCATCCGTCAGAGTTCCTACAACCCAACTATAACTAAGTAATGTTGAACCACATAAGAAGAAATCTAAATTCTCCTACCCAATTAATTTTCTTCCAACCTCAGTTCATAAGATAAATTGGAACCCAGTTGGAATAAGTTTGTCACTGATTGGTCACCAGGACCAGCTACATAATTTGCAGGGCCTAGTACAAATGAAAATGTGGGGGCCCTTGTTCAAACAGTAAGAATTTTAAGACAATGAGAACAGAGCACTAAACCCAACTTGAGCCCTTTCTAAGCACAGGGCCTTGTGCAACTGCACAGGCTGCACACCCGTGAAGCCAGTCCTGCTCCCTACCATTAAACTCCACTGTGACCTTGGAAATGACTTGGGACCTCAAGGTTGAAAACCAGCCCTGTGTACCTTCTGAGTTAAGAAATCAGAATTTAAACATGTTTCAGAAGGGCTTTGGTTCATAGTCAAATGACCTGGAGAAGCCAGTGTATCAATTGTAGATTTCTTCTGGGAACCCATCTATAGTAGTTCATCCAGATAGGGATGCATTATTTTCTGGCACCAAGAATTCTGGATTGCCTCTGTAATTATCTGAACAGCATAAAATTTAAATTGACGATATGAATTGGACTCACATGAATAGCCTGCTTCTAGAAAAGAAGAGTGCCTCTTTTTTTAACTTTCAGATGATGAGCGTACAGAGTTACCCAGGATCAGCAGTGATAATGAATCAGCCAGGAGAGTGTATCAGTCACTTAGGTTTCCCTGGCTGTAAGCAACAGAAACCAACTCTGGTTGACTTGAACATGAGGCAACTTATTGGATGACTCTTGCTACAAATAAACCCTCTTCCTTTGCCTCAAATAATTTTTCAACCCTGAATAGCTGAGCAAGCACAAGCAACAATCTGAACCCTTCTATGCCTCAATTGTTTATTGGTTAATGGAATATGAATTTAACTTGTAGGGTGTTTTTAAGTGTTACATACACTAAAGACAAGTATCTTGAATAATGCCTGATAAATGACACTCAAAAAATGTTAGTATTTACCCCTTTATAATCAGTTATACATTCTTCCTTGTGTCATGGCTATTTGTGTACAAATACACTGAAATGAAGGGATACTAGACTTTGGAACCATCTGGGTCCTACTTATAGCTTTTCCACTTACTAGTTGTGTGATCTTGTTCTGTTTACCACTATACTTCCACCACCCAGTATAGTACATATCACTTAGAGCAAGAGCTCAAGGAACAGTCATTGAATGAGTGAAAAAGTGAACTTTTCTGAGCCTCAGTTCTCCAAGTATAAATTAGACAATAACTGGCTCACTATATCAAGATATTTCAAACTGGAAAAATATAAACATTGCCTGACACAGTCCTTAACTGCATATTTGCTGCTCTATTAATGTTAGTTTCTTTCCTTTCTCAAAAAACTGGTATTTCTGGCTGGGCGCCAGAAATTTCTGGCTCATGCCTGTAATCTCAGCACTTTGGGAGGCCAAGGTAGGAGGGTCGCTTGACCCCAGGAATTCAAGGTTATGGTGAGCTGTAATCATGCCACTGCACTCCAGCCTAGGCAATGCAGCAAGACTATCTCAAAAAAAAAAAAAAATACTGATATTTTCAATGAATAAAAAAATGGCCTTGGAGTGCGGTCCATTTCATATACTCATTAAATCAATGAGTAGTTGTATTCAATTAGATTTGAACACTTGTTTTAAAAACATAAATATAAGGGCCACAGAGGAATCCACTTCAATTTTAATTGAAGATAATTGAAATACACATTTCCATAAGAGGCCAGACAAAATATAAATCATTTCTTTTTTCACCCTTCATTATTTCAAAAGGTGTCAAATTATTGATGTACACTCAGAAAGTGATTTTGATGGACTTTGAAGAAATAGGAACAAAAGGACACTTATAATAAAGCACATGCCTGTTATTATTTTAGCTCTAAAACTAGAGTGGATGAAATAGAAAACTGCCTATTTCTTCAAATTATTGAGGATTGGTCACTCTGAAAACAAATTTATACCCACTTTAAGATATGCTTGGAAAATAATATCACTGTAATAAACTGAAATTCAATGTGGGCTCCTTTCCCTATAGGACCCAACTGGAGCAAGTAATTTTCTACTAATCTGTGTTGTTATAGAAACACAGGCAAGAAAGAATAGCTTGGGAACTTGGTTTTTTCCACAACAAAAAATAAAAGCTGCTCTTTTCATTTAAAAATCTTTCAATTGCTTTTTATTTCATTCCCTTCTATCTTGCAGATGGTTTATTTTCTTTTCTTGATTGTTTTCCATTTCACTGATAAAAGAGAAAACCAACCGCAAAATTCTTGTGTCAGATGTATACCCTGTTGATGACATAGCTATCTTAATTTTTCAGTTATGGACCTTAAAGAGTATAACTGTATTGTTTGCAAATGAAAGGATAAATGCTTGAGGGGATGGATACCCCAATCTCCATGAGGTGCTTATTTCAAATTGCATGCCTGTATCAAAACATCTCATGTACCCCTTCAATATATATACCTACTAACCTACTACGTACACATAAAAATTAAAAACTGAAAATAAACATTTTTTTTTTTAGTTTCAGTTATGGGGTTTAGGTACATGATACAATAGTTCTGTAATTTTTGTCCTCTCTAAAGTATACTGGCAAAAATTGAGCAATAGCAAAACATCTGTGTATGTGTGTTTGTGTATTTGTGAATGGGGATGTGTGTGTGTGTACAAAGCACAGAAGAAGCTATAGTCTAATTTAAGTGATAATTGTTTTTAATAAAAAATGCCCTTTACTAATTATTAGCTCTAACTTTAAAAAATATTTCTTTATAGCAATGCAAGAAAAAAAAACAATATAAAAATGAAGATAAGAATGTGATATGGGTCACAGGTTGATCATCAGAAAAGCTGGACTTTCAGTTCTCGTTTCACTGCCAACTGGCTGTCTGACTGTGGTAGCCAGCCTCCAAGATGGCATCCAGTGATCTCTTCTTTCCAGCATTCATGCCCTTATGTAGTCCCCCTCACATTATATCAGGGTAGGCCTGCATGACCAATAGAACATGGCAAAAAATGATACTGCATGACTTCTGAGGCTAGACCATAAAGGACATTGTGGCATCTATCTCTTGCTCCCTCTTGAATCACTCATTCCCAGGGAAGCTAGTTATCATACCACTCAAGCGGCCATATGGAGAGGCCCACCTGGTGAGGAACAGAGGTTTATGACCAACAGTCACTTCAGTGAGCTTGGATGGAGACCTTCCAGAATTAGGCAAGCCTTCTGATGACCACAGTTTTGACTGACATTGTGATTACAGCGTCATGGGAAACTCTGAGCCAGAACCACCATCTAAGCAGTTCCCAAATTCCTGACAGTAACTCTAACATAATAAATATCTATTTTTTAAGCCACTAAATTGTAGAGTAACTTATAGGTAGAAATAGATTACTAATACAGCAACCCAGTAGAAAAAACCACTTTATGTTTCCATTTCTCAGGTTGTTTTTATTGAGTCAACAACTATTTACTGCCTAGTGCATCAGGCATTATTAGAATGTGAGTGTTAGAGTGAATGTTCCTGCCAGAAATCACAATAGAACCCGCAGTTTGCTAGATCAAATGTTCACTTTTAGAAAAAGTTCAAATACTACCTGAAACCAATACCATTGATTGGCTGACCCAACAATAATTTCCTTGTCCCTTGTTGCTTTCAAACTTAGGCACTGGAAACACAACTTGTTGGCTTTCCCAGTCTCTCTTGCCACCAGTGGTGGCCATATAACCTAATTCTGGCCTATGAGAGAGAAACACATTTTTTTTAAGGATTTCCAGGAAATATTTTGCTTTCCTAATAAAATAGGCAAATATGGCTTGTACCACTCTTTCCCCTTTTTTTCTTCCCAGTGTCTGGAGCTGCAGCTGCCATCTTTTAGCCATGAAGAAAGGCCTCAGGAATTAAGAGACTCTTGCCTTGATATAGTTGAACTGCAAAATTAATGCCAGGGCCTTCCTGCCTCCAGAGATATAGAACTCTACAAGGCATAAAAGTTGCATTTTCTATTACTTGTTGCCAAATACAATCTTAATTGACACAATGCCATAGAAAGTGTTTGCTTTCAAAAAAAAAAATAATAAGGAAGGGTTTATCTCCCAATACATCTCTGAATTCCATGAATTATTGGTACATATTTTTGCTAATACCAACACCAACATCAGCCAAAAATGCCCCTTCATGCCTTCCTAAACAATAGGCAATAGCATGTTAGTAATACTGGCTGGGCATGGTGGCTCACATCTGTAATCCCAGCACTTTGGGAGGCTGAGGCAGGAGGATCACTTGAGCCCAGGAGTTTGAGGCTGCAGTGAGTGATCATCACACCACCGTAATCCAACCTGGGCAACAGAGTAAGAACTTGTCTCTAAAAAAATTAAAAATAATACTCAACATTTCTCGAATGCCTACCATGTGCCAAGCACTGTTCTAAGTGCTTTACAAGTATTAATTCATCTAATCTTTACAATAATTCCTCAAAGTCAATACTATTATTTTCTCCATTTTGCAGATGAAGAAACTGAGGCACAGAGAGATTAAAAAAAAAAAACTTGCAAGGCTTCACAACTAATTAAGTGGTAGAGCTGGAACTTAAACCAAGATCATTCAATTCAATTTCTATCTCTGCCATTTTGCTTCCTTATCTGACATTAGCAGATGAAGCAATGAAGATAAGAAAAAACAACCATTTGCGCTCCTCAAATGCACAGGATCTTCCACATTATGAAATTTTAAGTTCCTTGAATATTTTCTACTTAGGTAACTTTTAAAAAAAAATTTATCTTAAGTTCTGGGGTACATGTACTGAGCGTCCAGGTTTGTTACATAGGTATACATGTGCCATGGTGATTTGCTGCACCTATCAACCTGCCATCTAGGTTTTCAGCCCCACATGCATTAGGTATTTGTCCTAATGCTCTTCTTCCCCTTTCCCCCAACACCCCCTACAGGCCCTGGTGTGTGATGTTCCCCTCCCTGTGTCCATGTGTTCTCGTTGTTCATCTCCCACTTATGAGTGAGAACATGTGAAGTTTGGTTTTCTGTTCCTGGGTTAGTTTGCTGAGGATGATGGTTTCCAGCTTCATCCATGTCCTTGCAAAGGACATGAACTCATTCTTTTTTATGGCTGCATAGTAGTCCATGGTGTATATGTGCCACATTTTCTTTATCCAGTGTATCATTGATGGGCATTTGGGTTGGTTCCAAGTCTTTGCTATTGTAAATAGTGCTGCAATAAACATGTGTGTGCATGTGTCTTTACAGTAGAATGATTTATAATCCTTTGGGTATATACCCAGTAATGGGATTGCTGGGTGAAATGGTATTTCTGGTTCTAGATCTTTGAGAAATCACCACACTCTCTTCCACAATGGTTGAACTAATTTACACTCCCACCAACAGTGTAAAAGCATTCCTATTTCTCCACATCCTCGCCAGCATCTGTTGTTTCCAGACTTTTTAATGATTGCCATTCTAACTGGTATGAGATGGTATCTCTTTGCGGTTTTGAGTTGCATTTCTCTAATGACCAGTGATGTTGAGCTTTTCTTCGTACGTTTGTTGGCCACATAAATGTATTCTTTCAAGAAGCGTTTGTTCATATCCTTCACCCACTTTTTGATGGGGTTGTTTTTTTCTTGTACATTTGTTTAAGTTCCTTGTAGATTCTGGATATTAGACCTTTGTCAGATGGACAGATTGCAAAAATTTTCTCCCATTCTGTAGGTTGCCTGTTCACTCTGAAGATAGTTTCTTTTGCTAAGCAGAAGCTCTTTAGTTTAATTAGATCCCATTTGTCAATTTTGTCTTCTGTTGCCATTGCTTTTGGTGTTTTAGTCATGAAGCCTTTGCCCGTGCCTATGTCCTGAATGGTATTGCCTAGGTTTTCTTCTAGGGTTTTTATAGTTTTAGGTTTTACATTTAATCCTTTATTCCATCTTGAGTTAATTTTTATACAAGGTGTAAGGAAGGCATCCAGTTTCATAGTAGGTGTATATGTTTATGGGGTATGTGAGATGTTTTGATACAGGCATGCAATGCATAATAATCACATCATGGTAAATGGGGTATCCATCCCCTCAAGCATTTATCCTTTGAGTTACAAACAATCCAATTACACTCTTTTAGTTATTTTTATTTATTATTTATTTTTTGAGATGGAGTTTCACTCTTGTTGCCCAGGCTAGAATGCAATGGCACAATCTTGGCTCACTGCAACCTCCACCTCCCCAGTTCAAGCAATTCTCCTGCCTCAGCCTCCCGAGTAGCTGGAGCTGGGATTACAAGCGCCTGCCACCACGCCCGGCTGTTTTTATATTTTTAGTAGAGACAGGGTTTCACCATATTGGTCAGGCTGTCTCGAACTCCTGACCTCAGGTGATCCACCCACCTCGGCCTCCCAAATTGCTGGGATTACAGGCGTGAGCCACCATGCCCGGCCTCTTTTAGTTATTTTTAAAGGTGCAATTATTACTGACTATAGTAAACCTGTTGTGCTATTAAATAGTAGGTCTGATTCATTCTTTCTAACCATTTTTTGTACCCATTAACCATCCCCACAAGTCCCCTATGCCTTCACTGCCCTTCCAAGCTTCTGGTAACCATCCTTCTACTCTCTATGAGTTCAATTGTTTTGATTTTTAGGTCCCACAAATAAGGGAGAACATGTGATGTTTGTCTTTCTGTGCCTGACTTATTTCACTTAATATAATGACCTCCAGTTCCATCCATCTTGTTGCAAATGACAGGATCTCATTCTTTTTACGGTTGAATAGTGCTCCATTGTGTTTATGTACCACATCTTCTTTATCCATTCATCTGCTGATGGACAGTTAGGTTGTTTCCAAATCTTGACTATCGTAAACAGTGCTGCAACAAACGTGGCAGTGCAGGTATCTCCTCAATATACTGATATCCTTTCTTTTGGGTATATACTCAGCAGTGGGATTGCTGGGTCATACGGTAGCTCTATTTTTACTTTTTTGAGGCACCTCCAAACTGTTCTCCATAGTGGTTGTACTAATTTACAATCCCACCAACAACGTATAAGGGTTCCCTTTTCTCTGCTTAGGCAACTTTAAATTGTATGTATAACCAGCGTGTGGAGAAGAACCGGGATGAACAATAGAATAAAAGGTGAAATAAGTGATTTGAATGAAGGAGAAAGTAACACTAACAGCCATCATCACCACCACCATCTTCATTAAAATCATATCTAATACTGACTATCTGTCTTATTCTATGCACTATATTAATACTAATTCTATGCACTATACTAATAACTACTGTCAATCAGCTTCTGGGAGTGATATGCCGTCTTAGTTGTTCAGACCCAGCACACTAAACTACTAATAACTAGTGCATAGAATAAGTCATACTAATAACTACTGTGTCTTCTTTATATATAAAATGTTTAGGTATGATTCCTGAAAGGTCGTTTAGACCTGATTTTCAAATGGCCACTCCAATCATCAGAGACACAAGTATCCATCAATTAAGAGAAAACCAAAATCATACTCAGATGAACCTTGGGGAAATGTATCCAAAGCCCTTTAATAGAAGAAAAATTAAATAGCTATGATTTATTGAGCATTTACTCTGTGCCAGACACTGCACTTAACGTGCTGCAAGAATTATCTCCTTTAACTTCACAAGACTCTCAGAAGTCCGATTATTAGCCTTTGGTCCCTTCTGTGTGGAGGGCTAAGAAAGGGATGCAAAGGTTGGGAGTAACTGGATGAAATCTCTCAGAGCCCCAGCCCCATACTCTATCTTCTGTGCACATAAAATGACCAGACTCCTGGTCAGAGACAAAGGACAGCAATAGCCACAGCTAAAATAACATCACGTGCACTGGTTCCCTGAATCCCAGTTTCCACAGGGTGATGCAATGAGGGCCAGACGATGCCTGAACATACATTACAGGTGCATTACAGGAAAGGAGTTCCAAGCTTAGGAAACCCCAACCTTTGATAAGAGGGCTACTAGTAAACCTGCCCTGGAGAGACACATTATCCTGGACAGCAAACAAATCTACCTTCTGCTCTGGAGGGAGACACTCTCTCTACCTTCTAAGGCTCCTCATTATGCAAACGTCCTTGAAAAGTTAGTCTGGAACACAAATCTGTTAATGCATTCGCCCAGATGTGCAGAAATGCAAATTACCGTTGGAGAATTGCCTCCCAACAAACAAATGGTCCAGCAAGGTTTTATAGGATTATTCCAGCACTCCTAGGTAAGTATAATTGTAGGAACAGAAATTAGGATTGTACATGTTTCTAAGCTTCAACTTACTTAATTATTTTGAAAGCCATTGTAGCATGTCTATAGGCTGTATTGTCAAAAATCATTCACCTATTTCGAAGATAATACAGTGCAAAAAATGTTTTTATAAATATTGAGTGCCCTTCCTGACACACAGATAGGCTCTTGACAGAACCCACTTATACCCACTGCAGTGTATATTTAGTCATGGACATCCTAATGATAGGAGAGTTCATCCTATCATTGAGCTCTCAAGCATTCAGTCATTGAACTCATCAAGTGGGTTTTCTGAGAAGAATAAAGTTACTAATGGTGTTGGTGATTAAGTTTGTGAATGAATAAATTAAATCCATCGATACTTTATTAACAACTATTAAGAGCTGCTAAAAGGGTGCCATAGGCCAGGTGAAACTGGTTTAGTTCAACCTTCAACCTATTAGATTAATATCTAATTAACCCTTATTAGTTCCTCTTTACAGATGAGGAAACCCATATAATAAGTATATTTCCCAAGATTACACAGTAGATGGCGAAAAACACATCTATCTCACTCCACATGTAGTCCCAACATGTATTAACAGGACTCTTTCTGATCACCTTTAGGCATATCAGAATACTTTTAGAAACCAGGGACCTTCGTGGGCTCATAGAGAAACTTGAATTTGGATTCTGAACCCATATAAAATGATAACACCATTTTTGTTTCTAAAATAACCACTCTCCAACCAAAAATTGAGGACCCAAAAATGCCTTTTCCCGAATGGAATGGGGGAAAAAATAAGCCGCGGCATTTGTAAAAGCTAGTCAATGATGTATTAGCCTCTGGATTATCATAAAACTAGTTTGGTAATTCTGTGATTGTTATGAAGTTAATAGTAACTAGGGAAAGTTACCCGAAGCCCTCAATCATTTATTTAGTGCTGGCAATATCCCAGGGGGGAAAAACCCACAAGCAACTATTTAAACCACTTCACATATTCATGAAAAAAAAGAACATGAGTATTTATCAATTAATAGGAATTTCCATCTTTTCAGTTCTTAAACTTAGAGAAAAAATATAGGAAAAATCATAACTATGTTTGCATCATAAATACTATAGTATAACAGCCTCGTAGTTTGATCAAGATGTCATTCTATCCATGTGTGTGAATTCCAATGTGACAAAGTCAAACGATAGCATAAGAGGATTCAATTCCCAAAAAATTTTAAAATTAGAAAAATCCAAAACACATCAACATATTGACACACTTCAATTTTCAGAATTTTGGAGATGTTCATTATTTTTATTCATGTTCATCATAATTATTATAGTGTACCTATGAAGTCTGATGAGCATCCAAATAAAGATTATCAGCTTTTACCATGCTTAAGAATCTATATTGAGTTTGAGATCTAGGCTTTTCTCACTGACATTTTTACAAAATAATAAAGATAAAATATAATAAAACATTCAAATAATGGCACAAGCACTGCTGTGCAAAGATGGAGATGCTTTTAAACCTGATGGATGAATGACAGGTAGCACCAATATATGATGGCTTGAAATACTCACTCATCAGATGATATACTTAAATTTCAATTTGGCTAATGAAAGGCAGTTTAAGGATTTCCTGATGAATAATGTATTAATATGTGGGATGCATAAAACTCAAATTACAAAGGTCAGCACAGATCAAATGCAAGACTTCTGAATTTCCAGGTGTGATGGCAGCTAGCTAGCACTGTGTGCTCCTCAGTTTCCATTATCACTGCAGAACACCCATGGATGCACAGGACATTTTATTTCACAGAAGTCCTGGAAGCTGAGCAAAGCAATCAATGACTTGCCTCCCACTAGTAGAAATTCTGTTGGCCGTAGGGGAGATGAGCTTGACATTAAATTGTCGTATTCACTTCCTAGTCCTTCGAAACAGGACAGAGCCAGAGAGGAAATAGGAAGGAGTGGAATGTAACTGACCCCCCAATATCCACCCCTACCTTGGAGAGAATAGGTCTGAGTCACACCTTTTCTGCAGGAAAACAACCCTCTGAGTCGCTTAGGATTATAGATACCAAGAATTTGGCTAAGACCTGTACCCATCAACTCACTCCCTCAAGTTACAATCTGAGGCAGAAATTATGACAAACCCCAATTGGTCCATGAACATAACCAGAGAGAGAGTAGTATTACCTCATCTTCTGCAAAACTCAGGTCAGGCTAGATCTCTTTCTTGCAAGGATGAACTCACAGGTGGGGAATAAAAGAATTTAACATGAAAAGATCAATAAAAATATTTTGCAACATTAAAACCTGATCACATAGCAGTTATTTTTCAAATGCTGATGTTCCAGGTACTCTGCTTAGCACTTCACATACTTACCTACCTTAATTTTCAGAGCCACCCCATGAGAGAGGCACTGAAGTCCCAGAAGGATAATTAAATCTTCAAAGTCACATGGCTGATTGGTGCCAAGGCTGGGACTCAAATAAAAATTGAAGGTCTGTGCTCCTAATCACGCCCCAGGCTCCTTCCCAGGGAACCAGGGACCTGTGCTTCTCAACTCTCAGGACACATACAAATCCCTGGTTGAAGTGGGGAGGGTGGCAGTGGGGGCAGGGGAGCATGTTATGTTAAAATGCAGATTCTGATTCAGTGAGTCTGGGGTGGAGTCTGAAAATGTACATTTCTAACAAGCCCCTGGGTGATGCTGATGCTGGTGGTGCTTAGACCACAGTTTGAGCAGCAAAGATCAAGAAAGTATGCAACTGTGGGGAAACAGGAAGAAGTTAGGTTCTCAAAAATATGGCAAAAACCTCAATTACGTTTGCACCATCCTTATATATAAGAAAATCTGAACTCTGTGAAGTAGGCAATGAAAGAAGAAATAAAAGCATGCAAGGCTGGCATGAAAATAGAAGGGTGAAGAAAGAGCTGGGACAAATTGCAAAGAATCCAAGGAAACTACAAAGAAAGAAGTATCCACTAGAGCCAACAAAAGAGCAGAATCTGCATTAGGAAACAAATAAAAAATGTATAAGGCAAACTTACACAGCACTCCAAAAATAATGAGGGGAAAGAACAAAAGGATGAAAATGGTAAAAAAAAAAAAAAAAAAAAAAAAAAGATTACAGCAACAGGAACAAAGATACAAGCTTCTAAAAACAGGCATTGTAGAGGGGGAAGCAGGAAAACTGGGGCAAACAGTAAACTTGACGATACAGTACAGGAAAACATTCCTGCACGGAAGATATTCAGACTTAACACTGAAAAAGTGAGGGTAATTTCCCATGGCAGATGCTGTTGGTGCCCTGCTTCGTTTCCCCTCCTGACACTTCAGACTCCACCTGCTGCTACGGTGGACTGTTCCCTGGGCTCCCTGACAGCTCCCTGCTTCAAGCACCCATATCCCTCTGCCTTCGAGAGAGCTTGTGCACCAAGAAGCTCAGATTTAACACCCTCAGATTAAATCAACCAAGGCGGAGCCAGATTCAGTGGATACACACCTCAGGTTCACCTTCACAGGCTGGGACAATTTTGAGGTGTGCTCTACATTGTCTCCCAATATCCCCAATAAGATTGAGCCCCAGTCATCTGCAGTTGTAATCCACACATTCACTCACCCTTTATTGGCTTTTCTCTCTTCCTTGCCCCAATTCCCACTCCCTAACTTGGGTATCCTGGGATCACCTCCCAATTAAATTATTGGCTCCCAAGTCTTTGTCTCAGGATCTGCTTTTCAGGAAACACAAGCTAAGACATGCCCCAAATATGTGAGAGGAAAATCCTTAACTATATTCAAAAGGAAAGAAATTCCACGTTTAATGATGTGTTATTTAATGGGTCAAGTGGCTCCCATGTTTTGAATTCTGGAGCTTACAGGCAGCACTAAAGTGGGCAACAGATGAGTCTTCCCAGACCTCACCCCTTTCACCACTTTCCCCTCCTTTGGGCTCCACTATACATGGTGTATAACATCCAGAATGTCTTAGAGTATGATTCCTATCCTTTGTCTCCCCCTCTTACCTGTCAACACCTCATATACAGAAACTGCAATTTAATGGCTTTATATCCCAAGCATATAGCACAGTATCTTACACATAGAAGGCTCTTGATAACTTGCTAAATAAATGTTGGGTCAATAACTGGGTCCTAGGACTGGCTCTGCCACTGACTAGCTGTGTGACCTTGGAAAAATCACTTAAAGGCTTAACTGGGCCTCAGTTACCTCCATTTATAATATGAGATAACTTGACTCTGTGTTCTCTGAGGTCAAGTTATTATATGAATCTAGATAAGTAAAATTTCTCCCCACTCTCTGATTTCTTTTTTTTTATTTTTGTGGGTACATAGTAGGTGTATATATTGATAGGACACATGAGATGTTTTGATACAGGCATGCAATGTGTAATAATCACGTCATGGAGAATGGGGTATCCATCCGCTCAAACATTTGCCCTTTGTATTACAAATAATCCAATATGCTCCTTTAGTTATTTTAAAATGTACAATTAAGTGATTATTAACTATAGTCACCCTGTTGTGCCACCAAATAGTAGGTCTTATTCATTTTATCTAACTTTTTTTTGGTACCCATTAACCTGCCCCACGTACCCCCCATCTCTGATCTCTTGAGCCTGGTTAATGCAGTATAAAGCTGGCCATACTATAAGGGAGACAGTCAAATCTTTGTGGATCACACTAAGCTGTAACTACGGTATTTTCTAAAATCCTAGCACTTAACAGCTTCTTTTTGTGCCTAAGTAAAATTCTACTGGTGACTATGATGTACCCTTATTGTCCAAGGCATTGTCTATGCCTGTGTTGTCCATTATGGTGGACACTAGTCCCATGTGGCTATTAGGCCCTTGAAATGTGCCTAGTCCCAAATGAGATGTGAGGTAAGTGTAAAAGACACACTGAATTCTGAAAAATGTAATACCAACAAAATGTGAAATATCTCAGCTGTGTTGTATGGATTACATGTTAAAGTGCTCACATGTTGGATATATTGGGCTAAATGAAATACATTACTAAAATTAATTTTACTTATTTCTTTTTACTTTTTAAATGTGGCTATGAGAGCAATTAGTATGAAGAAAATTTAGTGACTCACATCCTGTTTCTACTGGACAGTTTCTGATGATAAAAAAAGATGCATGTCTTAGTCTCTGACCTTTAAAAAAATTGTTTTAGTATAGTGGAGAGACACATGGAGGAAGAAATAGACCCAGAAGTAACTAATGGAAGGCAGCGTGACTGTGAAACAGAAGAATAGAGGGACAATGTACTACATGAGTTAAGAGGAGAAAGGAATTCTGTAACTGGGTTTTATTTGCTGGGGAGCCACGTTGAGCCTGCTCCTACATAGGAAAACACCCTGTTGTGTTTTGTCATTTTTCTCACAGAGATTCACGCATTATCACAATAGGCTTTTGCTAACAGCTACAGAGAAACTAGAGAAAACCAAACCAAACCTGGTCTCAAAGATATTATTGTCCCGGAAATGCTCTGAGAATAAGAGAAAATCTTGTTTATATTTCCTGCCTGTGGTGTTCAAATCTATCCAGGGAGAGGATGATATAAATTCCCCAAAATAAAGTATTGTGGCTTGACTCTCCCCATATCCCTCTAAAAAGACAAATTATTGTTCACAGTGCAATCTCTTGAATTGGCTAAATGGTCTTCCAAATAAACATTTTGAGAGATAGGTCCCCCAGGTGCTTACAAATTCCCCCAGTCCCTTAATGAGTGTATCAGTGCAACTTCATGACAACTGAATGGAAAATGAAAAACTTGATGAGTGAGAGTCGGCTGAGATGGGTTTACTTGACATCCACTTTGTAACTCTAGCTTCACCATGATCTTGTGTGATAGCAAGTGAGAGCTAAAGGCAGTGAACTGAATTCTATCTTTTACAATCCAGTATCTAGTCCCCCTTTTTTCCTTGCTAGCAGAACTCTGTTTTTGTTGGAGGAGGCAACAGGCCCAGCTAAAAACTATATTCCCCAGCCTCTGTTGCAGATGGGATGACCACGTAAGCCAGTTCAGGCCAATAAAACATACATGGAAGTTGTTGCATAGGGGGCCGGGCTCACAGCTCACCTTAAAGAGGGTATCAGGGTGGCCCACAGCTGTAGTCTCAGCTACCCAGGAGGCTGAGGTGGGAGGATCTCTTGAGTCCAGAAGGTCAAAGCTGCAGTGAGCTATGATCATATCACTGCACTCCAGCCTGGGAAACAGAGTGAGACCTTGTCTTAAAAAAAAGAAGGCAGCAGGGCATACTCAGATAGGGGACCCTCCACCCTGTGACCTCTGCCCTGCCAATCTTCCTGCCCACAATGTGGGCACAGTGAGGAAGGAGAAGCAGCCAACTGTGACCTGAGCAACAATCACACATGAGGACAGCTGAGGAAAGAGATGGATCACACATGAGGACAGCTGAGGAAAGAGTGTTATTATGGAACCACTAGCCCTAGACTGGATTGTTACAGGAAAAACATGAAATAACTATTTGTTTAATCCACTAATTTAGACATTTTTGTAACTGATGTATTTTGAGTTGGCTGGTTGCTTTGTGTACCCAACTGATGATCTCAGCTTGTTCATTTTCACCAAATGTGTTGACGTTTTGGTGACCTACCAATCCAACAATGGCAATGTCAGTGCCCATCATTGCTGTCTAATGGACCATAAAACTTAAAAAGAATAAAGCATCTCAACTACAACAAATGTTATACTGGGTGTGACCTGTGGTTTTCTAGTCCCTTGTTTTCACTGACTGTACTCACTGACACTTATCTTAAGAGCCTGAGGATGGTGTATTGAGTACTTGCTATTGACCAGGCACTATTTCAAGTGAATTATGTATATTATGCATTTAATCCTTAGATGGACTCTGCAAGATAGGTAGTTATTTTTTCCATGATACAGATGAGGCAGAAATAGGGCATATGAAGTTAAATGACGTGCCCAGCATCTCAACTACTAAGTGTTAGGTTCATCTGAATTCAAATTCATGTCAGCTACCACTAGAGCCTGTTCTCTACTAGCTATACTTGATTGCCCCCTGCTCACAAAGAGCCCTAAATTCTTCCCTCAATGATACTTTAAATGTGTAGTGCCCAATATTTTTTGTTTAAACCTAGTCAATGTTTTAATATCTTCTTGAACCTACTTACAATTTAATCAATGCTATCTCTCGTGGCATGATTCAAAATCATCACCACCATCACCACAGACAGGATCATTCTGGATGTGCTTCCAGTTGATGATGGGTCAGAGCTAAAAGGACATATTATTTAACTCCATATTGCTCGATAACCATTGTTTTAAGCTATCCAGCCCTGTTTGAACCACCTGATAACTGCATTCACACAAGTGACCCAAGCCCAGATCAGCTGAGGAACCACTCAGCTGAGCCCAGCCCAAATTGCTGACACATAGACTCATAAGCAAACAAAATGGTTGCTGTTTTCAGTCAAATGATATGCCCATAATCCCAGCTTCTAATTTAAATCTATGCCAGCTGACACTAGAGCCTGCTGTCTACCAACTATACTCTTTGGCTTGGGATAATCTAGTTTCTACTTATTGTTCTAACATCCTGTTGAGTTTAGCATTTGTTTTGGGATTTTCATTTTTAAGGAAGTAATACTATGAATAGATGTATTTATATAAACTGAGCAGATTTTCTTGACTTCCATCTTGTAATTACAACTTCTGTGATGGTTTCATGCAGTAGCATGGGAAACCCATAAGCAGCGAATAGAATTCTGCCTTTAACAAGTGATTAAGTATTAAACTTGGTTACTAATAACCAATTCCTTCTTTTCCGATGTTTTCCACACACAGATGTATTAACACTGTTCTTTCAAGGAAAGCATGGAGAGCTCTAGCTGATCAAATGAAGTGCTCTCAGACTAGAGCAGGCAAGGATAATGTATCAAGTATCCATTACGACCTAACAAACCACCCCAAAACTTAGGGACTTAACTGCTATTTTGTTTGCTTATCAGTCTATCAGCAATTTATGCTAGGCTCAGCTGAGTGGTTCCTCTGCTGATCTGGGCTTGGGTCACTCATGTGAGTATAGTCATCAGGTGGATCAAACAGGGCTGGATACATTTTTTTTTTTTTGGTGCTTCTAGACAATTTTTATTTATTTATTTATTTTGAGACAGGCTCTCACTTTAAGGGCTGGATAATTTAAAACAATGATTATCGCATGCTGCTATAAAGACACATGCACACGTATGTTTATTGCGGCACTATTCACAATAGCAAAGACTTGGAACCAACCCAAATGTCCAACAATGATAGACTGGATTAAGAAAATGTGGCACATATACACCATGGAATACTATGCAGCCATAAAAAATGATGAGTTCATATCCTTTGTAGGGACATGGATGAAATTGGAAACCATCATTCTCAGTAAACTATCGCAAGAACAAAAAACCAAACACCGCATATTCTCACTCATAGGTGGGAATTGAACAATGAGATCACATGGACACAGGAAGGGGAATATCACACTCTGGGGACTGTGGTGGGGTCGGGGGAGGGGGGAGGGATAGCATTGGGAGATATACTAATGCTAGATGACACATTAGTGGGTGCAGCGCACCAGCATGGCACATGTATACATATGTAACTAACCTGCACAATGTGCACATGTACCCTAAAACTTAGAGTATAATAAAAAAAAAAAAAAAAAAAAAAAAAAAAAAAAAAAAAAAATAAAACAATGATTATCGGTAACAATTATAATTAGGTTGACCATGTAATTTGTAGTCCAAACCAAGACACATCCAAAGTAAAATGGGAGGGTCTAAAATAAATGAAATATTTATTTCATTTAATTTTTTTAACATTTAAATATTTAAAATATTTAATATCTTATTTTGAAATAAAATATTTCAAAAAAAGACATGAAATCAACCTAGATGCCCATCAGTGATAGACTGGATAAAGAAAATGTGGTACATATACACCATGGAATACTATGCAGTCATAAAAAAGATGAAATCATGTCCTTTGCAGCAACATGGATGCAGTTGGAGACCATTATCCTAAGCGAATTAATGCAGGGACAGAAAACCAAATACCATGTATTCTCACTTATAAATGGGAGCTAAACAT
Organism: Homo sapiens; assembly: GCF_000001405.40. NCBI lineage: Eukaryota > Metazoa > Chordata > Mammalia > Primates > Hominidae > Homo > Homo sapiens. The sequence goes on from NC_000023.11 coordinate 16,410,492, forward strand.
TGCATACTCATGGACATAAAGATGGAAACAATAGACACTGGAGACCACTGGTAGGAGGGTGAGGAGGTAAGGGTTGAAGAACTAACTATTGGATGCTATGCTCACTACCTGAGTGACAGATCAGTTGTACCCCAAACCTCAGTATCACACAATATATCCATGTAACAAACCTGCACATGTATCCCCTGAATCTAAAATAAAACTTGAAATTATTTTTAAAATCTTTCAAAAATAAAAGTTATATATATATATATATATATATATGCGCACGTGAAAACAAAATTGAAACTTTTTTGTTGATAATCTTGACATTAAAAAATAACAAGCAGGGCTGGGCACGGTGGCTCACACCTGTAATTCCAGCACTTTGGGAGGCCAAGGTGGGTGGATCACCTGAGGTCAGGAGTTCGAGATCAGCCTGGCCAACATGGTGAAACCCTGTCTCTACTAAAAATACAAAAAATTAGCTGGGCATGGTGGCAAGTGCCTGTAATCCCAGCTACTTGGGAGCTGAGGCAGGGGAATCACTTGAGCCCAGGAGGCAGAGCCAAGAATGTGCCATTGCACTCCAGCCTGGGCAACAGAGCGAGACTCTGTCTCAAAAAAATAAAATAACAAGCAGAACGATGATTTTTGTATACACAGTTGACTCTTGAACAACACAGGTTTGAACTGTATGGGTCCACTTATATGCAGATATTTTTCAATAAATATATTGGAAAATATTTCAAAGATTTTATGACAATTTGAAAAACTCCCAAACCAGATAGCCTAGAAATATCTAAACATTTAAGAAAAAGTTAGATATGTCATGAATGCATAAAATATACGTAGATACTAGTTTACTTCATCACTTACTACCATAAAATATACACAAATCTATAAAAGTTAAAATTTATCAAAACTTATGCACACAAACACAGACAATACATGGTAAACAGTCGAGGGAAATGTAAACAAATGTAAAGATGCAGTTCTAAATCAAGACTGCATAAAATTTACTGTAGTAATACTGCACTACTGTAATCATTTCATAGCCACCTCCTGTTGCTATCATGGTGAGCTCAAGCGTTGTAAGTATGCGCTTAAAATGCCGCCATGTGAGGCTGACTATCTTTACGTGAACAGTTTGTCTCTACAGTAAATTGCAGATCACAGTAAAAAGTAATCTCTTGCGGTCCTCAAGTATTTATCATTGTATTTAGTGCAATACTGTAAACCTTGAATAACACCATGGGACCCATATGACGTGCCACTAGTGATGCTGGAAGTGCTCCCAAAAAGCAGAGAAGAGTCATAACATGACAGGAAAAAGCTGAATTGCTTGAGCACTGTAGAATGAGGTCTGCAGCTGCTGTTGCTCATCATTTCAAGATAAATGAATCCAGCGTAAGGACCACTGTAAAAACAGAAAAGGAAATTTGTGAAGCCATCACTGCAGTTATGCCAGCAGGTATGAAAACCTTGCACTTTTTGCAAAGTATGCTTTTATCTTGTATTGAAAATGCAGGTTTTATGAGGGTGGAGGATTGCGATAAGAAAGGTATACCTATAGACTCTAACATGATTCTAGAAAAAGTGAAGTCATTATATGACAATTTAAAGCAAAAGGAAGGTGAAGGATCTAAAGCCAAAGAATTTAATACCAGCAAAGAATGGTTTGATAGTTTTAGAAAGAGATTTGGCTTTAAAAATGTCAAGATAACAAGAGAAGCAGCTTCTGCCGACCAAGAGGCAGTGCATGAGTTCTCAGCCACCTTTGAGAAAATCATTGAGGAAAAAGGATATCTGCCTGGACAGGTTTTTAATGGAGACAAAAGTGTCCTATTCTGGAAAAAAAAAAATGCCACAAAGGACATTTATTAGTAGGGAAGAGAAACAAGCACTAGGATTTAAGGCAGGAAGGGATGGGCTAATTCTACTGTTTTCTGCAAATGTAGTCAGGTTTATGATCAGGACTGCCCTCATTTAACCCCTGAGCCTTGAAGGGAAAAGAAATATCAGCTGCCAGTCTTTTGGTTGTACAACAAGAAGGCCTGGACAACAAGAGCCTCTTTCTGAGTTAGTTCCATTGATGCTTTGTCCCTGAAGTCAGGAAGTACCTTGCCAGTAAGGGACTGCCTTTTTAAGTTCTTTTCATATTGGACAATGCTCCTGGCCACCAGAACCCCATTAGTTCAACACCAAAGGTGTCAAAGTGATCTACTTGCCCCCAAATACAATGTCTCTAATTCAGCCTCTAGATCGGGGGTCAAAAGGACCTTTAAGGCACATTATATACAGTACTTTATGGAAAAGATTGTCAACGCTATAGAAGAGAACCCTGATAGAGAAAGCATCATAAAAATCTGGAAGGATTACACCATTGAATATACCATTGTTGTTATAGAAAAAACTGTGAAAGCCATCAAGCCTGAAACAATAAATTCCTGCTGGGAAAAACTGTGTCCAGATGCTGTACATGACTTCACAGAATTTATGACAGAGCCAGTCAAGGAAATCATGAAAGAGATTGTGGATATGGCAAAAAAAAAAAAAAAAAAAAAAAAAAAAAAAAAAAGTGGGGGTGAAGGGTTTAAAGATACAGAACTTGGAGAAATTCAAGAGCTAATAGACACCACACCAGAGGAATTAACAAAAGATAACTTCATGGAGATGAGTGCTTCTGAACCAGTAGCCAGACAATGAGGAAGATGTAGGAGAAGCCATTCCAGAAAACAAATTGACATTAGACAATCCTGCAGAAGGGTTCTAATTGTTCAAGAGTATTTATGACTTCTTTTATGACACAGACCCTTCTATGATATGGGCACTGAAACTACAGCAAATTGTGGAAGGACTGGCATCGTATAGAAACATTGTTAGAGAAATGATAAAGCAAAAGAGAAAGAAATAAGTGTACAATATTTCCATAACGTTACACTGAGTGTGCCTGCCTGTCCTGCTTCCCCTTCCATCTCCTCCACCTCTTCCGCCTCTGCCACTTCGGAGACAGCAAGACCAACCTCTCTTTGTCCTCTTCCTCATTAACCTACTCAACATGAAGATGACAAGGATGAAGACCTTTATGATGATCCACTTCCACTTAATGAATAGTAAATGCTGTATATTTTCTCTTCCTTAGGATTTTCTTAATGACATTTTCTTTTATCCAGCTTACTTTATTATAATACAGTACATAATACACATAACATACAAATTATGTGTTAACTGACTGTTTATCAGTAAGGCTTCCAGTCAACAGTAGGCTATTAGTAGTTATGTTTGCGGGGAATCAAAAGTTATATGCAAATTTTTGACAGCTCGGGGGTTCAGCACCCCTGAACCCTGAGATGTCCAAGAGTCAACTGTATTTACATGTTTTTATTAGTTTTTAACTGTATTACTCTCTAAAACTGTGTCGTTAGTGTTTACCTGAAGAATGTATTTTTAATACAGTCGTTTTAATTTTTTTCATAAAATTGGTTGCAATTTTCTTTAAAGTTGCATTTTTGTGGTTGTTGGTTTGAAACTATTGATACATCAAACAGCTATCTCTAGACCATAATATTTTTAATTGAGAATTTACTCTCATTATAGATTCTGAGTAAATTCTGCTAAATGGGGAATGTTCTCATTTCTATTTTTGTGGATATTCAAATGTATAAGAATTTAAGCCCAAATAATTTTTATAGGTACTGTCATTTTGTTTCCAGGTATCTTTCTTCAACAAGCACTTTTATAAGACAAAACTCAACCAAAAATTGTCTCTCTTTTAGGATTCTTTTGAATGTGTCACCAAATTTAGATGTTGCAAAATTGTAGGCTTTATCAATTTAAATCCATCTAGTGAAAAATATATGAATTTATCCAATTAATAATGTGAGTGCCATCCCAAGGTTCTTCTCACAAGTCAAGACATCCCATAACACAATAATAGAATGTCAAATTAAACCATGTATATGATCTAAGTTCTTATCATTTATTTTGTTTGGCTTTTCTCTTGTGCTTGTACCAACATGTTTTAATGACTTCCATCCGCAGACCTTATTTTAATTATTACGTTTGATTAAAATCTTAAATATTTTGGTTTTCCATTTGTTGAATACCTTGATTAAAGATGTTCAATAGATTTGGGGAGAAAAAACGCAACCAAAATTTAGATGATTCTTTGTACACACACAAAAATCTTATTCTGTTGGAAGGCTCAAAAGGTCAAACATTTCTACAATCTGATAGATGAGAGTAGCAAAGAAAGAATGCATGCACTGCCATGCTGACAAATTCTTTTTGCATCCAACATTGTTTTTGTCATAAAAAAATATTGTAGTTTAGTTACTTTGAGTATATATAAAAACATGTTGAAATTTGGCAGCTACAGCTTCTGTTTTGATTGACAAAATATTCCTGCTTGTTTGAAAACAATCATGAATAACGTATGCAGCAAACCAATTTCAAAAACATATCTTCTCCACACATTTCTTGATGAAATAATGCCATTGTTTGTACCACATCACTGTCCTCCGTGAAATATATGTAATACGTATGTAAAATATGTGTGAAATACATACACATTCACATAAAACCAAATAATTTTATCTTCCGTGTTGAACTTTATAACTAAATTTGTAATTGCATTCATGTCAGGTATTTCACTTTTAGCAGAATGAATGTCCAAAGCTTTGCTTTGATTTCATGAAATGGATGAAAAATAAAATCATGGTTTGTATTTATTGCTTTTCCATTTGAAACATCTGAAATCTTTTGATATAGGTCTGGCATCACTTAACTGTCTGTGAAATTATCTTCTGCTAATTGACCTAACATATTAACTGCAATGTTATGTGCGCCAGAACATTTAGAATTGAAAATGAGCAAATGAAGAGTAGTTATTTGGTCAAAATGAATAGCCTGGCTACACTGAGTACTAGGTCTTGATACCTTTGGTAGCTGTTCGGGTTACATTGTTATCTTCAACTACGGACTTTTAAAAATAACAACTCACTTCTGAAGTAGATGCAGATACTTCTTTAGTAGATTTAGTCGTCTGGTTGATATGATAATCTAATTATAATTTACATATGAAGATATAATTATAACCTAATTCTAATTTATAACCTAAATATGATTATTATTTCATTAAACTATTTGATTAAGTAATAATCAAATATGACTATTATTACATAATGCCATTGTTTATCCCGCAGAACTAATATAATTGTATTAAAATAACAGAAGTTTTGATGCCATCATAAGATGGAGAAGACATCATAAGCTCCTAAGAGAGGCAGAAGAGATGTTCAGTTTTCACTCAGCACAAAAGATCTTTTCTTTTTTCTCTCTTCTTTTTTGCCTGGTAACTTCAGGGAACGGGTTTTGATGCTGTGTCCCTGTGTTCATTATATTTCTCATTCCTTCCCACTGTGCTCCATTTTAACGATGCTCAAGGAGGGTTTCTCACTCCTGAGTACCTGAGGGCTCTTCTTGTGATGATTACTAAGAAGACTTGCCCTTGGCTGGCTGAAGACCCTGCAGCTGCAGTGTTCCTTTCCCAAGTGGTCGCACTGGGCATGACCCACTCATCTTGATCATTTGAATCAAGCCCCGCACCAGCAAAGCCAGTTAGAGAAAGCCAATAGCTATTCCCTTACATTCCTTCTTTCCTTCTCTTCCCTCTTCCTGACTTCACCCCCTTAATGATATACCACAGTAAGTAAAAAAGCAATAAAAACTTTTTGTCATTGAATTATAAATAGAGAAGTGTTCTTAAATACTTAGTGGTTTTTTGAACTGAAATTGTTTACAATCAGATTGGTTATTATTTGTTTGTTCCCATTAAGGTTCCACTTCAATTATTTCTCAGCACGTGGGCAGCTGCTGCATAATATTTTGTAAATGGACTGGCCCAGATCACTGCAATGGGAAAGGCCAGGCATGCCTCCATACTTTCACTGTTTCTATTTTTACAATTGTTTATTTATGTGTTTCTGTTGCTTCTGTTCTAGAGTGTTCCCATTGTCTATCCTGAGTTAGTGCAATGCTAGTTGCCCTGAAATCTGAGCAGTTTAAACAATTAAAGTTGATTGCTCTCTAAAATATTGTCCAGTAAGCTGAGGGTTGGGAAGTGGGTCACATCTCTGCTCCACAGAGTATCCCAGGGACCCAGGCTGACTAAGACTTTGCCACCTTAGAGTATCGTGTGGGAAATTGTAATGGTCCAGGCCTGAAAGTGGCCCACATCACCTCCACTCACATTCTACTAGCCAGTGTTCTGTCACACCTAACTGTACATAACTGCAAGGGAGGCTGGGAAATGTAGTTCAGTTGTGTGTCCAGGAAACAAGTATGGTTGACAGCCCAATAGTCTCTACCACAAACCAGCCAGACATAGTCACTGTAGTCATTGGAATTAAATACTTAATTACCAGAGAAAACAATAATTTCATCTTAAGAAGTAGTAACATAGCTTGCTAATATTATGTTGAGAGACTGAAGAAGTTTGTCTCTGAAAAGAAAGTGTGATTCAAATAGATTATCTTTTCTCTTACTACTTTTGAGGATTTATTTGGCTGGCTCATACATCTTGACTGCACATTTGAAGACAATTGGCAAACTTGTGGACCCACATGTCAGCCTTGCTGAACTTCTAGAGTGAATTTTACACATAAATCACATGGAGTCAAAAGCTGGTGTTCTTTGGCATTGCATGTCTACAACTTCACAGCAAAATGGAGTTCTCTAACATAATTTTGAAACTGCTTGCTGCTGCAATGATAATTTCCCAAAATCTATTTATACCTTGCAAACAGCAATCATAGCTATTCCCTCACCATTTTTACAGAGTTTCCATTCTCATTTTACAGGTGAGGCAGCAAATGGAGCTCAAAGGTCCTCATTGTTTTGCAGTCCTGAAGTGGCTTCCTTCCCCTATATCTGTAGTTTCATCACCCTTCTTGTTATTGTATTTGTGAACATGTATTAATCTGCCTTCTAGGTGGTAGAAAAAAATTAACAGCATCTGTTTTCATAAATCTCTGTTCTAATAAATGATAATAATATTGATGAACATATTTCCAAAATTATCTTCATAAAAGCTTTAAATGATGGCAAAGGAAACTCATATCCAAATTCTCCTGTAAAATTAATTTTTAGCCAAGTTTATTTTAATCTATCTGTTAGACCACTTGCTCCTTCATTGCTTTTTTTTATTTCTCCATTCATTTGTTCAGTCAATCGTTCTCAAATATAATTAATTTCATCCATTTAGTTAACTTTAAAATAGCTATATTTGGCCAGCGTGGTGGCTCATGCCTGTAATTCCAGCACTTTGGGAGGCTGAGGCGGGTAGACCATTTGAGGTTGAAACCAGCCTGACCAACATGGTGAAACATACGAAAATTAGCTGGGCATGGTGGCACATGCCTATAATCCCAGCTACTTGGGAGGCTGAGACATAAGAATCGCTTGAGGGAGGCAGAGGTTGCAGTGAGCCAAGATCACACCACTGCACTCCCAGCCTGAGTGACAGAGTGAGACTCTGTCTCACAAAAAAAAAAAAAAAAAAAAAAAAAAGCTATATTTGCTGGACTTATTTGCAGAGGGCACATTTTGAGGAACTTGATTAGGGTTCAAGCTCCATAGTCACAAAATTAAAATCGGAGAGCTCTTGCGACTCTTTGAGTAAGTTGTTTTCATAAGTTATACTTGTATGTGCTACAGAGACATTCCAGTTCATCCATTTATTTATGTATTTGTTCTTCATGTACTTACTGAGCACATACCATGTGCTGGGCACTGTCTAGGTACTGAGGATCCCGTGATGGACAAGATACACAAAAAGTCTCTTTCCTCATGGAATTTCCATTCCAGTGGAGAAGACAGTAAACAGACAAATATATACAATGAGATAGACTATATCACCTGCAAAAACCAATTTTGCAACTTTTCCTGTCTCAACAGCAACCCCTAAGTAAACCCCCCCACTCTACCACTGCCTTTGTAAATATTTGGCACTTCAGGAAAATTCCTGTTGTTAGTAGACAAAAGTGCTGCAGAATAGTAAAAGGTAAGAGACATAAAGCTCATTAACGATTAGAATTGACAAGTGTTGCATTTTGCCATTATTTTGTTTCATTATAGTATTTTAACATTGCATGGCTTTTCTTCCCCCTGCTCAAAACAAGACTCCAGGGTCCCAGGTTGTTGCCATCCAGTTATTTTCTTCCCACTACATGAACACAAATTTCTAGAATTCTAAAGGCCTTGAGAGATAATCTTCACTGACCACATTATTTTATAAATGAGGAGAGTTAGGTTCAGAGAGATGAAGCAATTGCCTGAGATTAGAGAAGTAGTTGGAGGAAGAGCTGGGACTGGATTCCAGGTCTAATTTTACATCCCCAGGAGAGCACAGCAGTGAATAACAATCCATTTATAATACTAAGCAGAAAATACTAGCAGACTTGGCTACAGAAAGTGGGACTTTGAAGTTGTTAACTAGAAGTTTGAAAAGTCTATTTGCAAGTCTTTCTTTGCTTTCTTTCCTTCCATGCTTCTTTTGAGGACAGAGTTAGATTTTCTTTTCTTTTTCTTTTTTGAGAAAGTGTCTTGCTCTGTTGCCCAGGCTGGAGTGCAGTGGTGCAATCTTGGCTCACTGCAACCTCCGCCTCCTGGGTTCAAGTGATTCTCGTGCCTCAGCCTCCTGAGTAGTTGGGATTACAGGTGCGCACCACCACACCTCCCTAATTTTTGTATTTTTAGTAGAGATGGGGTTTCACCATGTTGACCAGGCTGGTCTCCAACTCCTGGCCTCAAATGATCTGCCCGCCTCAGCCTCCCAAAGTACTGGGATTACAGGCGTGAGCCACTGCACCTGGCCTGGAGTTAGATTTTCCTTACAAAGTTGAATAAATTTCTGACATCAGAGCTGAAAACTGGAAAAACAAGAGACCTGAAAAACAGAAATGCAAATCAGTTTAATCCCCCAAAACACAGGTCAGATGGTATCTTTCTAAACACTGCTTTCATAATGATTAAAACATCCAACAATCTACAAGTTAGGCAAAAGGAAATAAACAAAAAGAAATCCAGACTTTCCAGCAACATATGGAAAAACTTTACTAAAGATCAAAAAGTGCAAATTAAAATTTTAGGATGTCCGTTTTTTAAAACTTATATACATACCAGGAGTTTTCCTAAGGATAATCCTCAGGGCTTATGAGGGTTGATAACATAGAGGCACTTTTTCAGAACAATATTCCAGGAGCCTTGAAACATTCATGTCTTTTGACTCAGAAATGTACTTCTAGGCCGGGCGCGGTGGTTCATGCCTGTAATCCCAGCACTTTGAGAGACTGAGGTGGGTGGATCACGAGGTCAGGAGTTCAAGACCAGCCTGGCCAAGATGGTGAAACCCCATCTCTACTAAAAATACAAAAAAAAATTAGCCAGGCATGGTGGCGGGTGCCCGTAATCCCAGATACTCGGGAGGTTGAGACAGAGAATTGCTTGAACCCAGGAGGCGGAGGTTGCAGTGAGCCGAGATCGTGCCACTGCACTCCAGCCTGGGCGACAGAACGAGACTCCGTCTCAAAAAAAACAAAAAGAAAGAAAGAAAGAAAATGTACTTCTAGGAATTGGTGCTTAAGAGATAATTAGAAATTCTACCAAAGATGTATAGGCAAGGATACTCATCACTGTGTTGTTCATGATGTAAAAAAAAAGAAAAGAAACAAACTAAATATTTGAGGGGAAAAAGCCATAAGTAAATAAAGTATGGTATGTCTATCACATGGATTTTTTAAATGACTACTCAATGATATGGAGAAAGTGCTCACAATATAAAGTTAAATCAAAGATTCTCAACCAGAGATTATTTTCCCCATCAAGGAGCATTTGGCAAAAATGTCTGGGCCAGGCGTGGTGGCTCATGCCTGTAATCCCAGCACTTTGGTAGGCCAAGACGGGTGGATCACCTGAGGTCAGGAGCTCGAGACCAGCGTGGCCAACAGGGTGAAACTCCATCTCTAGTAAAAATACAAAAAATTAGCCGGGCGTGGTGGCAGGCACCTGTAATCTCAGCTACTTGGGAGGCTGAGGCAGGAGAATCCCTTGAACCCAGAAGGTGGAGGTTGCAGTGAGCTGAGATCATGCCATTGCACTCCAGCCTGGGCAACAAGAGCGAAACTCCACCTCAAAAAAATAAATAAATAAATAAAAATGTCTGGAGATATTTTTGGTTGTCAGAGCTGGAGGGAGAGGAGTGCTACCAGCAGCTAGTGGGTAAAGGTCAGGGATACTGCTAAAAATTCTATAGTGCACAGGAACAGCCCCCACGGCAAAGAATGATCCAGCTGCAAATGTCAGTATCACCATGGTTGAGAAACTTCTGAGTCAGATGACTAAAACAGGGCACAATGTTATGAATGCTGATTGATCTCAAATTTTAAGAGGGGGAAAAACAAGGATATCACTTGGTGATTGTGTTAGTCCATTCTTGCATTGCTGTAAAGAAATACCTGAGACTGGGTAATTTATAAAGAAAAGAGGTTTAATTGGCTCATGGTTCTGCAGACTTTACAGGAAGCATAGCAGCTTCTGCTTCTGGGGAGGCCTCAGGAAGCTTCCAATAATGGCAGAAGACAAAGTGGGAGCAGGCGTCTTACATGACAGGAGCTGGAGCAAGAGAGAGAGCAAGGGGGGAGGTGCTACACACTTTTAAACAACCAGATCTTGGAAGAACTCACTATCACGAGAACAGCACCAAGGGGGATGGTGCTAAGCCATTCATGAGAAACCCACCCCTTTGATCCAATCACCTCATACTAGGCCCCACCTCCAACACTGGGGATTACAATTCAACATAAGATTTGGGCAGGGACACAGATCCAAATCATATCAGTGATAAAATTACAGATGATGTTTATTTTCTTCTTTATACTTTACTTTCCCAAATATTCTACCATGAATGTGTGTTATTTATATAGTCAATTTAAAAATTTTTGAAATAATCCTTCAAAAGCTCTCTGCAGCCTCTTGCATCAAATCAAACTCCTCATCTCCACCCTCTGGATCACACATCATTTGGCCCTGCCTAAACTAAAACCTTTATTCTTCCCTACTTTTCATCAAGAACTCTCTAATTAGAACAATATCTCCTGCATCCCTGAACACACACCCTGCTTGTTTGCTCATTTTTTTATTATCTGTGACACAAGAATAATTGTTCACATCACAGGATTGTTGAGAGGATCAAATGAGATAAGATACGCAGACCAAGTTTATAACTGCCAAATATACAAATGTTAGTTGTCACTCTCTGTTGCCATGCCCACCTTCTCTCCAGTGGAACTAACCTACCCATGATTCAACTCCTAACCCGGAATCAGTTTTTCTGTGAAGCTTGTCCTGACTTCCCCAGGCTGTTTTGGGAAACAATGAGCCCTACAATTTTGCCATCCTAATAAAAGAAAGGTTGAAGTTGAAGCACAGTTTCCTTGGAACACTAATTCCATGAGCCATTATATCAGTGAAAGTCATGTCAGGAAACAGTACACTTAAATTGGGCAATTTGAGGAAAGATGAATAATGGGCTGTTCACAAAGATGTGGCAGAGTATAGTGTTGTGGAAATTCAGGAACCCCAAACGGAGGGACCGGCTGAAGCCATGGCAGAAGAACATAAATTGTGAAGATTTCATGGACATTTATTAGTTCCCCAAATTAATACTTTTATAACTTCTTATGCCTGTCTTTACTACAATCTCTGAACATAAATTGTGAAGATTTCATGGACACTTATCACTTCCCCAATCAATACCCTTGTAATTTCCTATGCCTGTCTTTACTTTAATCTCCTAATCCCATCATCTTCGTAAGCTGAGGAGGATGTATGTCACCTCAAGACCCTGTGATGATTGTGTTAACTGCACAAATTGTTTGTAGAGCATGTGTGTTTGAATAATATGAAATCTGGGCACCTTGAAAAAAGAACAGGATAACAGCAATGTTCAGGAAACAAGAGAGATAACCTTAAACTCTGACTGCCGGTGAGCTAGGCGGAACAGAGCCATATTTCTCTTCTTTCAAAGGCAAATGGGAGAAATATCACTGAATTCTTTTTCTCAGCAAGGAACATCCCTGAGAAAGAGAATGCGTTCCTGAGGGTAGGCCTCTAAAATGGCCGCTTCGGGGGGGCAGCCGTCTTTTATGGTTGAAGCTATAGGGATGAAATAAGCCCCAGTCTCCCGTAACGCTCCCAGGCTTATTAGGACGAGGAAATTCCCGCCTAATAAATTTTGGTCAGACCGGTTGTCTGCTCTCAAATCCTGTCTCCTGATAAGATGTTATCAATGACAATGCATGCCCGAAACTTCATTAGCAATTTTAATTTCGCTCCAGTCCCGTGGTCCTGTGATCTCGCCCTGCCTCCATTTGCCTTGTGATATTCTATTACCTTGTGAAGCACGTGATCTCTGTGACCCACACCCTATTCATACACTCCCTCCCCTTTTGAAAATCACTAATAAAAACTTGCTGGTTTTACGGCTTGGGGGGCATCACAGAACCTGCCGACACGTGACGTCTCCCCTGGACACCCAGCTTTAAAATTTCTCTCTTTTGTACTCTGTCCCTTTGTTTCTCAGACCAGCCGACACTTAGGGAATATAGAAAAGAACCTACGTGAAATATTGGGGGTGAATTTCGCCCAATACCTGGCTGAATTTCCCCTGACATCACAATTTATGTTCTTCTGCCATGGCTTCAGCCGGTCCCTCCGTTTGGGATTCCTGACTTCCCGCAACAGCGTAGGGAAACCACAAGAAATAGGTCAGTATCCCAGGTCTAGTAACAGCTGAAAGTTCTTACCATCCCCAGACCTAAAGGGAAAAGAGGATGGGGTGGTTTACTGAACCCAGAAGCAAGAAGGAAAGAGTCACAGAAAGAAGGCTCCAGAGAGGAACTGTGACTTCTGTCCACAGATGCAGTGAATTGTAGGTGACCCAGAGGATAAATATCCTAAGTCCTTCCTCCTTCTAATCATAAGATCAGCACCCACTGGCCAAACTAACCGGAAGTTAAAGAGTGTGTCAGTCACAGTTCTCCAGAGAAACAGAACCAATATTTAGAAAGAGAAAGACAGGGGAAGGTGGGGAGAAAGAAAGGTTTTAAGGAATTGGCTCATTTGTTTGGGGGATGAGTGGGGGGATAAGGGGACCTGGCAAGTCCAAAATGCGTAGGACAGGCTGGAAACTCAGGCAGAAGCTAATGTTGCCTTCTTGAGCTAGAATTTCTACAGGAAACCTCGGTTTTTGCTCTTAAGGCCTTCAAACAATTAGGATACGGCCCACCCAAATTATGGAGGGTAATTTGCTTTACTTAAAGTGTACTGATTAGACACATCTACAAAACACCTTCACAGTAGTATCTGGATTAGTGTTTGATTGAATAACTGGGCAATAGAGCCTAGGCAAGTTGACACATAAAAGTAACCACGATGGAGATCAAAGGGGATCTGTTGATGCAGACCATCCATGTCTGCCTCCCTCACAAGGCACATAGCAGAATAGAGGAGGGTTGTGGGTGGAGAAGGAGAAGACAAGAGCTATCCAGTACAGTTTTAACAGCTATCTTGTGAGCAAAAGTGTTCCATGGTGAAATAAATTTGGGAAACACTGAGTTAAACATAATTAAACCAAACCAATTGTTTCCCAGGTAAAATGAAGAGGGGAGACATTCTGAACAGGAGAGATGAGATGCCCAAAGGCTCTTTGTCGAGTTAACTGGTGGGTGTAAATACACACAACGGACAGGAAGTGTAGACGGGCTTATGTAGCTGCAGTAGGATGTCCAATTGAGGCAGGCAAGGGGGGCATCAAGTAGAGGAGGTTACAGGCTAAGGAGCTTAGAGTATGTGATTAGGAGGTTTAATTTTATTCAAGAGGAAATTGAGAGTTATTCTGGGCTTCTTAGAATGGGAGTGGCCTAATCCAATAATAGTTGTAGAAAGGATTCATGCTGCTATGTGTAGAATGCACTGGAATAAAGACAAGAAACAGAGAAACCAGAAAGAAGGCAGATGATGCACTGTGGATCTAAGATGGCCATTGGTTATTATGGGATTGGGGTGAAAATGAAAAGGAAGCAGGAGAGCCAAGAAATATTGCAGAGGAAGGAAATGCTTAGTGGCAGGCTGCAAGTAGAAAGTGAAAGAGAGAGATGATTCTAAAGTCGGAAAATAATTACAATGTTATTTCATAATTAAGGATCTAGGATACTTATGTAGCCCATCCAACTCCAGTCAGCAACCAGCTCTTTCATCCCAAACAAAAATTAGAGAATGCTTCATGTGAGAGGTTGAAATGACATAAATCCCATCCATTCCATTGTGCCTCTGGGGAGCCACTTCTTACAATAATATAATAATTGGAGATGAAATTGCAGAGGCTTCTTGAGGCAAGGGCTCAGAAAAGAAATTTACAATGGGAAATAATCAGTGTCATTGAAGAAAACTGTAGAAGAGTTGTGTTAGTAGATGCAATAAAAGAGTGTCTTTCATTACTACAATCAGTGAGGAGCTACACACTGCAATAAGCAAAGAATCAGGCATCATGGAAGAAGTACAATGTTCCTTTTCTCCACAAAGTGTTCATCTCTCATCTTGTCAACTAAGCCTTTCATGAGAGCACATATAGCTGTGTCCTGTTCTCCAGCACAGCCTCCAACAGGGACAGGTAAAACCTCCTTCCCTCCAACCACCCAACCTGCCACAGTGTATACAGCAGATCTTCTAACACATACCACGGCCCAAAGGAATGGACACTGGCCTTGGAGTGGGATGATACAGGCTCTGACCCTGCCACTTGACTCTAGCAAACCATTTCACCTTTCTGAATCTGCTTCCTTACCTGTAGAATGCAGACAACTTACCTTAGGGTAAATGCAACATGATTAAATGAAATATTGTAAATAAAAACATTTTGTGGACTAGAAACCATAATCCAATCTCTGGTAATATTACTCATGGGGGAAGTCACTTTGTCAACATTTGTCAGCCCCACCTTGAGTACAAAGGGCCATATGGAACCCTAAATTTAGGCTGGGCTGAGAGTCATGGCAAGGAAACCTCTAGCCAACCCCATTCCTGAACCACAAACATGGGAATCTCTAGGGTCCCCAATGAGTCAGAGAAAAAAGCACCTAAAGCCCGAACTTGGCCTCCTCCTTCATCACCATCTGGTTGCCACAGAAACCCTAGTCATACTGTCAAGGGTTTATGCGACCTGCCATTTTGACTGTAATAGAGAGAGCAAATGTGGCTTTAATATAGTTAGCTTTCCATTAATTGCTTTAATAGAAAAATGCTTCCACCATTTAATGAAGAAGAATGCAAACAGCAGTAAATTTCCCAAAAGGTCAGAGAATGAGAACATATGAGTAATTTCTCCGCTCCCAGAATAGCTTGGTTTTGCTTGATAAAATATCATCTCTCCTGAGTAAGAAGTTACTGTTTTCCCGTAAGATGTGGCAGAAAATTGGAAAACGCCGACTGCAATGGCAGTTCCCTTTACAGAGGGCCTGAGATTAATAAAGAATCATTAGCTGTGGCCTCCTGCCACATCAATCATTAAAGATCAACAGGGATCCAAGACTCAGAAATTACTAATACTATCAAGGAAGTCTGGTCAGCGAACCATGTTAACAACTCCAAGGATTCTGTGAAACTGAGAGTGTATACTTCAAAGCCCATGGATGTGACAATGACACAATAATAGCTCACATTTATTGAGCATTTACAATACAGGCTAGACACCATGCTAAGCTCCTTTCCTGCATCAGTTCATTGAATCACCACACAAAATCTCATAAAGTTATTATTCCCCCATTCTACAAAAGAGGAATCAGAGGTTTAAGGAGTTAAATAGCCCAATCCCACAAAGAGAAGAAGGACCAAAATCAGCATACTGGTGTGTATAGGAGCAATAAGAATTCCAAGCCTCAGCAGCCTGTGGACATAAATTCAAGGTCATTATCATCAGCATCTCAAACTTCTTGCATTTAACTCTTCCTGCTCACACAGGCCTTCCAAAAAATTCTCCTACTCCCAAATATATATATATTTAGACAGGGTCTCACTCTTTCACCCAGGCTGGAGTATAGTGGCATGATTACAGCTCACTGCAGCCTCAACCTGCCCGGGCTCAAGCAATCCTCCCACCTCGGCCACCTAAGTAGCTGGGACCACAGGCACATACCACCATGCCCAGCTAATTTTTGTATTTTTTGTAGAGATGGAGTTTCACTACGTTGCCCAGGCTAGTCTCGAACTCCTGGGCTCAAGCAATCCGCCACCCTCAGCCTCCCAAAGTGCTGGGATTACAGGCATGAGCCACCACATCTGGCCCCAAATATTATTAAAAGTCTTCAAAGGCTACCTCTCCTATGCCCATGGACCAGGTATCAGCCAGTCACTGTGTCTTCACAGTATTTTCTCTCCTTTCCATCCCCTCCTGGTCAATGTGTCTGCTCATGCAGCCACTAGTAGGAGCCTCAGAGAACACCCTTGACCGTGTCTCCTTGTGGTCCTGGAGTTGCCAGTTTTGAAAATTCCAGAATGTTCCTGAGTCCCAGGGAGAAGTGGAGATACTAGTGGGCTCTTGTCCTTTCATAGTGATGCCCATTGTCACCTGGACCCTCAAGCAGCCCATTCAGTGCCTGGTTCTGCCTTTCTTCATGAGGACTCGAAACTTGACCCTCCTTTCCTAGTCTTCCCCAAACGTTCTCCCCTGACCTCACAAACAAAAGCCAACATAACAAGACAGAACACTGAAGTTAGTTTATGCCACAGTGTTTTCCAGAACAACTTTTGTAATTCAAATCTCATATAATTCAAGAACAATTTTCCATAGGACTGGCAAAGAATAGTAGCCGGTCATTCTGTCTACCAGCTACCATAGCAATAACACAAATAGACCTCCGAATTCACTCAGTCCACCTTTGAACATACATGATTATTGATTGTTTTTCCTCATTTGGGGAAATTCACATTATTTCAAATTTTGCTCCAGAAATGAGACTTTGTTCTTATATTTACATAACATTATTTCATATTCATATAATCCAAATTCACATAAGGCTATATTAATATATGAATACTTCAGCCCTTCCCATGCGCCCCCCGCCCATTTCTAAAGGAGAAGGAATCTTACTTGAGAGTTAAGCACCTAGTTTTTCCTGTATTGTGTGGAATCTGGATAAGGAGATGATCCTCAGGGAAATAAAACCAGATTACCCACCCCACCCAGAGGCCTGAATACATCGTGGAGGGTCAGGTGCAGGGAGCATTAGCTTTTAGGAAGGGACCACTATGCATGAACAACATGGGAATAGAAAAGAGGAAGTGAATGAGGGAGTATTGCAGTGATTATGGAAGAGTTTAGATGAGAGGAAAAGAAAGATTTTTAGCTATGTGCGTGAGTGAGAACTCACAGTCAAGAGGCAGAAGAGACATGCATTTTGCTTTCAGGAAAGAGTTTTCAAGGACTAAATAGTGTGCGGAGAGAATATTTTATATTTTCATGAGCCACTTCCAGAAAGAGTTTTTAGAAGTTCCACTGCAGGGCACACAAGAATGATAAAGATGTCTAAAAAGGATGTTATTTTAAGTGAGCTTTGCTGGCATTATGAATGTACTCTCCCATTGGCTTTTTTTTTTTTTTTTTTTCAAGAGACTGAGTACAGACATGAATAGCTGTCATTCTGTTTTCTGCCACAGTGCTGGTTTTTGAAAGGAACACTGCTCAGAGACTGAGCTATATGTGACCCCAGTTGCATTCAGGTTATGCCAAGTAACAAAGAACTCTCTCTCTTTAAAAAAAAAAAAAAAAGGTAGTCAGGCATATCACACATATAAACAGATACCTGGTGAAGTCACCAATGTCTGAATTTTAATTTGAGCTGAACTTGGATATATGCCACAAAAGCTGAGTGCTGTCTAGAATCAGGACGTCTTCCTTCATGCTGGGGGGCATGTTACCCAAACCTATTCAGATACTCTATGGATTTTTCATAGCAAGTATTGGAAACAGATTTCAGTTTTCTGGATAGTTTTAGATAAATACGTTTTTTTATTTTTTATTTCAATAGGTTTTTGGGGAACAGGTGGTGTTTTGTTACATGAATAAGTTTTTTAGTGGTTGAGATTTTGGTGCCTCTGTCACCCGAGCAGTATACACCGTACCCAATGTGCAGTCTTTCATCCCTCGCCACCCCCTACCCTTTCCCCGAGTCCTCAAAGTCCAATGTATCATTCTTATGCCTTTGCATCCTCATAGCTTAGCTCCCACACATGAGTGAGAACACACAATGTTTGGTTTTCCATTGCTGAGTTACTTCACTTAGAATAATGGTCTCCAATTCCATCTAGGTTGCTGCAAATGCCATTATTTCGTTCCTTTTTATAGCTGAGTAGTATTTCATGTTATAGATATATACATCTTTACATCCTTTTCTTTTTCACTTATTCTCCCCTTCAGGCTACAAAGCCAAGTTTTATAGATCTAAATCCACACTGTTGATGATCCATCCTACCTCCCCCCACCGCCCTTTTTTTTTTTTTTTGAGACAGAGTCTCACTATGTTGCCCAGGCTGGAGTACAGTAGGGCAATCTCAGCTCACTGCAACCTCTGTCTCCCAGGTTGAAGCAATTCTCCTGCCTCAGCCTCCTGAGTAGCTAGGATTACAGGTGCGTGCCAACACACCTGGTTAATTTTTGTATTGTTAGTAGAGATGGGGGTTTCACCATGTTGGTCAGGCTGGTCTCGAACTCCTGACCTCGTGATCCACCCGTCTTGGCCTCCCAAAGTGCTGGGATTACATATTCATATTCATATTCTTATTCTTACATGAATACTTGTATCAGTTAGCTTTTGCTGGGTGAACAACCACCCCAAAGCCTAGTAGTTTAAACAACTACTATTTATTTAGCTGATTGTAGAGGTCGCCTGGGATGTTCCTCTGATCTGGGCTGGCTCAGTTGACGCCTTCTAGACTTGAGCATGCATCTGCAGTCAGCTGGCCAGCAGCTGGTGGCTGGATCATCTAAGGTAGTCACATTCATATGTATGGCAGTTGGCAGACTGGAGCAACAGGGCCACGTGTCTTTCATCATTTAGCAAGATTGCCTGGATTCCTTCACACAGTGGTCACAGAGTCTCAAGACAAATGAAAACAGAAGCCTCATGGCCTCTTGATGCCTTGATGTCTAGGTCTGAAACTCTTCTAATGCCACTTCTACCACATTCCCAAGGCCAGGCCCGATTCAAGAGTGGAGAAATAGACTCCAACTCTTGACGGGAGGAGCTGCAAAGTATTGAGGCCATTTTTGTGATCTGTTCTGCTATTGATATAACTGAATTCACTGTGCCCTACCCCAGGAAAAGACGTGCAGCAGAAGCTTCACATACCCTTCTTGCCATTTACTATAGAGAAACTTTGGCAAGGACCATTGACTGGCTGCTCCGGAATTAGAAGCAGTATTTTGGCAAAGTGCATATCAAGACCACTTATAGGTAATTATTCACATGGTGTGATGTGTTTTGTAGTGAAAGTTCTGCCCATCTGGTGAGTTTTATTAGAGTCACTAGGATTTCCACATTGCCTCCAAGGAGAATGCCTCCTTTTATGTATCCTCACTTGCTGGCTAATCAAATGAAAAGACCAGCCCTTAGAACAGGACTCTTCCATAATGAAGTGGGACAAAAGGCACGTTCATGAGAGACGCCACAACGGTAGAATCCAGAGATGAGAGACAGAGACAGTCATGGTCCCCCAGTGGAGACTGGGAGTGCAGAGTGAAGGGGTCCTTCACTAGTTACAGAAAAATAGAATGTCCTGGAAATTTAAAGGAGTAGCTACCAACAGATTCTAGGCATATGAAATGGTGATGGAGAATTCCAATCACATTGCAATTTGGTCCAACCCCTCTTTCCTAGCCTACCCTTTTCCTCCCCATCCTTGTCCCAGTTAACTGATCCCCACTTGCAATTTGCCAACTTATGTCCTTTTTATCCTACTACCCTGCCAGTGCCTAACACAGTGACCAATCCGGGTAGTCAACAAGAATGACTGATGGCAAGGCCCAGATTCTGGAAACTGGTGAATTAATCCATTCCCTTTTCCCTTGAAGTTTTCCCTGTGTCTGAATTATTAGGTAATACAGATCAATATCATTCCCAACTATATCAATTCTTCTATAATGAACTTCCTACAAGCAGCACTCAATGAAAGATTACTGGAATGAAGGACAAATAGATAGATGAACACCAAGCGCAGGAAAGAATTGTGAGGTGCAAATACAGAAGTGGTCAGAGGTAGGAAATTGGGGACAGATGGGGAAGGTTGTCAAGAGGTTTCCTTGAGGAAGAGGCACAGGAAAGATGAAAATTTACATTCCTGCTGCTCTGATACTCACTGCTCTGGTTTGGATGCTTTTCCCCCAAAACCTCATGTTGAAATTTGATCACAATGTTGGAGGTGAGGCCTAATGGGAAATGTTTTAGGTCACAGGTGCAGATCCATCATGAATACACTAATGCAGGGAGAAGGGCTGACTGGGGCGAGGGTGTGAGTGAGCTCTCACTCTATTAGTTCCTGTGAGATCTGGTTGTTAAAAAGAGCCTGGCATCTCCCTTCCTCTGTTGCCATTTGATCTCTACACACTCAGCTCCCCTTTGCCTTCCACCATGAGTGGAAGCATCCTGAGGCCCTCACCAGATGCCCAATGTTGAACCTTCCAGCAAGCTGAATCATGAGCTAAATAAACCTCTTTTCTTTATAAATTATCCAGCATCAGATATTCCTTTATAGCAATAGTAAATGGACTAAGACACTGAAACAATAGCAAAACACATACTTTCAGCCCCACAGTGCCTCTAAAAAGGTCTTCCCATATGTTACTGGGGTTTTTTAACTGTGACTAAGCTGGGTAATGTTTTTAAAAAGAAGCATCTTTTGAACAATATTTTGTATAGCCCTTTGACTACTCAATGTGTTCACTCCAAAATGTGTTTCTCATATCCATTTTTGTGTCATCCGCAACCTCAACAACATCTTCATTCTGTAATAGAGTAATAAGATCTTGTAACTTGCAGACATCTGTAGCTTATGGTTTTTTAGAAATACAGATCTGTGGTGTCAAAATTTTAAAGATAAAACTTGTAGCCATTATTTTCTTTTTCTGCCCGTGCAATGTAATGACATTATAAAAATACCGTTACACAACATAAACTGTGCCATTAAAAGTTAATTTAAATCAATGAAATATTGTTTTAGATTTTGTGTGTTTAATTATGTGGTAGTCCCATATCTGATTTCAGATGGAAAATCAACTTGATTTATCCTGAAATTGTATATGTTAGGAATAGGTACTCCAAAGTTATATCCAAGTAAAGAATTTAATAAAATTGACTTTTTAAAAATGTAAAACCTGCCCATATCTGGTATCATCCTTCTGCAGACTTTGGCATTTGATAGTGTGTTTTATTATTTTATTTCAACTCAGTATTCAAGAAAAGTTTTTGAAACCTTTTGATTACCCTGACAGCTGAAATGGAATTTTTACAAGGACAGCATGTTTGGAGCCAAAGATCTGGCTGACACAATGAATGTGATGATGAAAATAATTTTACATCAGCCCAGCCTAGGATATTGCCTTCATTTAAAATTTATATTAGACAGGTTTTTTTTTTAACATTTTTCCTCTAAAAGAAAACAGTAGTTTTCAACTCTTTCCGTCAGCCAAGAAAAGTCCTAAAGCTTTGGAGATTTGGATAGTTACAAGAGTCCAAGAAACCTATTTCCCAGCATCCTATCTTAGAATTATTTTCAGAGGTTTTGGAAAGAAAAGAAATCCTAGGGGCTACATAATTAAGAAATTAGTCTATTTCGGGATAACAGTATACCCCTGCAGAGATTTAATAAATGGTGTTTGAACACGTAAAAATGGCCCCAATAAAATATCCACCCTCTCCAAACTGTGTCCTACTGGGTATTGACACAGCAGTGGTTGCAGGTTCAAATTGGAGATCAGATGCAAGGCACACTATTGGCTTTAATTTTCACTCGGCCTTGTGGAAGGGCAGAAGACAGGAAATAGCATGTACAGCACCTTCATTTCTTCAGGATACCCGTGGTAGGCAGAATCACAGTGCCCCAAAGATATTCATGCCCTAATCTGCAGAACCTGTGAATATGTTACATTACATAGCAAGGAGGAATTAAGGTGCAGATAGAATTAAAGTTGATAAGTCAGCTGACCTTAAAACAGGAAAACTACTCTGTGTATTATCTAGATGAGCCTGAAGTAATCAGAAACATCCTTAAAAGTGGAAGAGGTTGGCAGATGAGGAGGTCAGAGCGATGCAATGTAAGAAGGGCTCAATCCTCCATTGCTGGCTTTGAAGATGGAGGAAGGGACCATGAGCCAAGGCATGCCAGATGCCTCTAGAAGCCAGAAAAGCCAAGAGAACAGATTCTTCCCTAGAGCCTACGGAAAGGAATGCAGCCCTGCCAACACCTTGATCCTAGCTACTGTGAAACTGTGTCAGACTTCTGTCCTGCAGAACTATAAAGTGATAAATTTATGTTGTTTCCAGCCGCTAAGTTCGTGAGGATTTGTTACAGTAGTGATAGGAAACGAATGCAATGCCTGACAGCTACCCAAGTGCACAGCTTCTTTTGCCCCCACACCCACACAGGAAATGCAAGTTTGCCACAGAATGACATCCAAAGTGTCATAAAATCACCTTGACACAGAGAAGCCACAGTCACAGCTTCCCAACAATCTTTTATATGGTTCCAGTAACACAAGCCCCAAAACTGCATGTCAGCCCCCAGCAGCCCCAGTCCAGAAGAGGTCCCACAGAGCAGGGCTTCACAGCAAGCAGGGCAGGTGCAATATTCCACATCTGTTGATCACTGCAGTTTCCAAAGAAACAGGACTCTGTGGTCGATGGTTCTCACAGGCAGGCCTGGATCAGCCCAGTGCTAAGGTTAACCCTTTACTCACAATTGTGATCCCAATGTCATAATATATATGTACATTATAGATTGGAGGAATCTGTCACTGTTTGAATCTTGGGTGCAAATAGGGTCCCCTCCCCACAGAAGCCAAAGGCCAAGTACTTGCTTTCCCTGGACCCAGGCACTAGGAAGATGATGCACATGACCTAAGCTCAGCCAATCAGGATGCCAAGAAGGAAGTTTGGAATGTCTTCTAATACTGTCAGTCACGACAGCGTTCAATGCCCAGTGAGAAGAGCAGTTGGACCCAAAAAGTCTGGCTTGGGACATTTTGGGACCACAGGATTCTAGTCCATTTCCTGAGCCTGGTTCAACAGCTTTCCCATTACTTGATAGCCTTCTAATCAATTCCTTTTCTGCTTAGGATAAGCAAGCTCAGTTTATGCTGTTTATGTCATGAACCCTAACTGGATCAGAAATTGTTACCAGGAGGGGCTTCAGACAGCAGATCTTCTGGAATTGAGGAGAATCCAGGATTGGTTATATAACTTGGTTGGGGTAAGGGCAGCAAACATTCAGGAATGAAAATCTGGTAAACAGTGGCCCACAGTGGAAGAGCAACTAATCAAACTGTAATTTATACAGTAATTTTTTTTGTAAGCAAGACTTGGGGGCCCACATTGGTGGTTTGTAAGCAAGCCTTGGGAGCCCACATTGGTGGTGCCATATACAGCAGCATGAGAAACCAGGACTGGAGAATGAGGTGGCTAATACTGGAAAGCTTAAAGAGAGAGAATGATACTCAAATCCCTAGTTCTTGGCTGAAAGCAAAACCCAGAACCAGGAGGATTTTGTATCCCTGTGCTAAAAAAGAATGTCTTATTTTTTGTAGCAGCAGTACAAAACTACCCAGAATCAATCCTCTACTCCAGTGGGGACTAATTTAGAACATCAACTGAATCACAGACTCATCAAGGGCCTTATATGAAAGTTAGGGCATCAATAAGGAAAGAGCAGACCCTGAGAACTGCAATGGTGTTCAGTGGGAGGGTGTCAAGGCCTCAAACACCAAATCTCCAAACTCCACTGAACCTAGGTTTTCAGCTCAAGCCATTCTTCCTCCCACGTCTGAGGCAGCTCATGACTTACCTGAAGACTCCGTAACTCTCTTTCCTTGTAAGAATTACCTTGCACAAGGAAGACTAACCTTCACAGGCCCTGAATCCCCTAATGAAGGGGAAGTCAGGCAGGGCCTTAAAGAAGTGTCCTGAAATTACTTCACAAAAATATTGGGGAATCTTCCTCCTATCCTTTGACTTGTAAATATTTATCAAGGAAACAGCGTATTGGGCAAAGGGAAATGCCTACCCATTTCAGATATTATTGAACATTGAATCTGAGTAAATAACACTGCCACTCACTAATTAGGGTGGAGACTTACAAGATTCAGGTGATCAATAGCATTTAGGTCCCAGTCCCAGTCTAATTTAAAGTGGACAGACTAACACTCTGAACTCAGCCCATGATAGTTTATCTATCTGTTTCCTAAGGATTTACTTTGAATAGGTAAATCTAGCCACTGCTAGAATCCCCACATTGTCTCTGAACCACAGGTAAAATAAGTCCAATGGAAGCCCCTAGGATTACCCATTGCACTCAAAATGAAAAATAAAAAGCAATACCATATCTGAGAAAATTATAGCAATTAGTGTCACCATGAAAATCTTAAGAAATGCAGGGAAGGTGATTCCTAGTACATCCCCACCTAACTTTCCAGTTTGTCCAGTGCAGAGGATGGGGGCTTCTTGGAGAATGATGGTGGATTGACATGTGCTTCATGAGGGGGTGATTCCAATTGCAGCTGCATTTATGGATGTGGCCTACTAATGAGGAAACATAACCCAGTCCCTGGTGTCTGGCATTTATTCATTCTTCAGTGAATTGAGCACCTACTATGTTCCAGGTAATGTTCTAGGTACTGGGTATAGTGAAGTGAGCAAAACAAACAAAAATGTCCATCCTTGCAGAGTCAAATATCTTTGTCTCTTATCTGATAAACACCAGAAGCATTTTGCTTTTACCTAGCAGGGATAGCAGAACACCTTACCAACTTGTCACAGGGCTTTTCTAGTTCTGTTCCACAATTTGCTATGCAGGAACCTTGACTTTCTCGCCACCACACAGGACATTCCTGAATACTGTATCATATTAAGAAGACATGAAGAGCAGGGACCAGATTGGCTGGGTTCAAATCCTATCTCTACTGCTTTCTAGCTGTGTGATTTTGAACAGGTTACTTAACCTCTCTGTGCCTCTATTCTCCTATCTGTAAAAGGTAAAATCCCACGGTATTTTGGGGAGGGCTAAAGTTGTTAATATATGTAAAGTGCTTTAGTACCTAAAGAAATAAATTTTCCACAAGAATGATTTTCATTTAGTGAGAAGCCAAGACTTTCACATTACCATGCTGGCCTCCACACACATTCCCTTGAGAAAAAAAGGTGAGAAAAAAACTCATTAAAAAAAAAAGGTGAGGAGTAAGTATCATCTTACTATTAAGGGTCAGTTGAGTTGCTGCTACTCGATACAAGCAGGGATGAGTATGAATGAAATTGGGTGAGTCTTACAGTTCCTCCTATTATTATCTTGTCCAGTAATAAAAATTAATGAAATACTAATACAGGACAATCCAGGCAGGCCCACCAAGAGTTCAATTTCCTTAGAAATGAAGATTTGAGTGACTCTACTAAGTAAAACACACTGAGAATCTGAGGTACAGGCTGCAGGCAAAGGAGATCTGGAATAGGGAGAGGTGGGAGTTATAAATACCAGCTGTTGCCTTGTGGTAGAAGTATAAATGGTGACAGTAGACGCTACACATTTCCTTGATTACTGTGACATGAAAATATGGAAAGAAAAGTACATGTGGATATCAAGTAGCCAAAGAATACATTGTAATTGCTTTTCTAGGAAGGGTTTTCCAGGATCTGGATGCTATCCTTAAATCTGGAGAATGTCCCATGGCGTGAGCCTTAGGGAAGGCAGTTCCTCCCTCTTGCAAAAGAAAAGATCAGATTCTGGCTTTCTCTGAGCCCTGGCTGCTGCGCTAGGAGGGGGCACATAGTCTAAGCTTGGCCAATCAGGTGCTCCCACTCAGCTCTTTGAATCTTGAGTTAATGACTCAAAGAAAGTCTTAGCGGTGGTGCTGACAGGGCTTCTAGTATCCAGTGCAGCGGTGTCACCCACAGAATATGTCCAGCAGTGGCAACAGAGGCGTCCGAATCAGACTGTTCCACTAGAGGGCGCTCGAAAGAAGTTCTGGTAGCCCAGTTTAATATGGATGCCTCCTACCACGTTCCCAGTCAGGTTCTCCAAGAGTCCCATATTTCTTTGAGCTGCCTGATATCTTACCAATAAGCTTCTTTTCTCATCAAGGTAATGAGGGTAGCTTAAAGTGATTTGCAACCAAGAACTCCGGCAAGTTTTCACAGAAAAAAAAAAAAAAGACTGAAGAGAAATATATCAAAATGCCAACATTTTAGAATTAAAGTAATTTTTATTTTCTACTTTACGTTTTTCTGTCATTTTCAAATTTCCTAAAGTGAACATATATCTTACTTTTAAAGTTAAAATGTTAGTAGAGATAATAAAAATAATACTAATTGATGGCAATTGGTTTATTAGTGAACCAATTTTTAGAAAAGTAAAGTACTGGGGAATATTTAAAAGGTATGTTTTGGTGGTGGGTAGGAAAAGTTTGAAGTACAGAATACCTGTTTAGGACAGTGCACTTAGGTGAGACAATGAGAGCTCTTCTAGAGAGAAAAATACCTTAAAAGGGTGTCTTAGCCAGCTCAGGTTGCAATAACAAAGTATCATAGACTGGGTGGCTTAAACAACAGAAATTTATTTTCTCCCAGTTTTGGAAGCTGGGAAGTTTAAGATCAAGGTTCTAGCGGATTGCAGATTCTGGTGGTGCCACAGCTTTCTTCCTGGCTTGCAGATTACTGACTTTTTCCTGCATCCTTACATGGCCTTTCCTCTGAGGGCACAAGGAGGGGGAAAGAGAGAGAGACCGCACATGAGCATGAGTGAGCGCATGTGCGGGCCAACCCCAGTGTCTTTTCTTATAAGAACATTAATCCTATCAGATCACGGCCCCACCCTTACAACTTCGTTTAACCTTAATCACTTCCTTAGAGGCCACAGCCACACTGGGGGTTAGGGTTTCAGCATATGGATAG
Organism: Homo sapiens; assembly: GCF_000001405.40. Lineage (NCBI taxonomy): Eukaryota > Metazoa > Chordata > Mammalia > Primates > Hominidae > Homo > Homo sapiens. Next base: position 16,437,734 of record NC_000023.11, read on the forward strand.
GGAGGTGGGGGTGTAAACACAGAGGGGATGAGACATCAAAGAAAAAATTACCCTGGTTCTGACACTTTCAGATCCCTGTATAAAAAACAGGTGTTGGGATGGGAAATATTGTCTTTTCATGACATTCGGCATGATCTTGGGGGTGCATGGCTAAAATAGTATGGTAGACAAGATCTACCATACTTAGACAGAAAGTCAAGAAATGCAGTGCTCACATCATCAGAAAGATCATCAACATAGACACAGCCAATCCTCATTATTCACAGATTCTCTGTTTGCAAATTTGTCTACTTTCTAAAATTTATTTGCAGCCCCAAAAATCAATATGCTTGGAACTTTAGCAGTCATTCGCAGACATGTGCAGAGCAGCAAAAAATTTGAGTTGCCCAACGTGCACGCCACCAGCTGAGTCAAATGAGGCGACACTCTGCCTTCTTGTTTCAGCTCTCAGGCTATAAACAAGTGTCCTTTTCACTATTTAGTGCCATGTTTTTTGCATTTTTGTGCTTTTTGTTGGTGATTTTGCTGTTCAAAATGGTCCCCAATGACTGGGTAGGGTGGCTTACACCTGTAATCCCAGCAATTTAAAAGGCTGAGACGGGTGGGTCACTTGAGCCCAGGAGTTTGAGAGCAGCCTGGGCAACATGGCAAAACCCCATCTCTACAAAAAATACCAAAAAAAAAAATTAGCCAGGCCTGCTGGTGGCATGTGCCTGTAGTCCCAGCTACTCTGGAGGCTGAGATGGGAGGATCACCTGAGCCCAGGGAGGTCGAGGCTGCAGTGAGCCATGATGGCACCACTGTACTCCAGCCTAGGTGATATGGTGAGATCCTGTCTCAAAAAAACAAAAAACCTAAAAATGGTCCTCAAGCTTAGTGCTGCCTAGCACTCCTAAGTACAAGAAGGCTGTGATGTACCTTATGGGAAAATAAATAAATAAATACATAAATACATAATTTGTGTTAGAAAAGCTTCTTTCAAGCATGCATTCTAGCTGTAAGTTCAATGTTAATGAATCAACAATATATATTAAACAAGGTGTCTTTAGACAGAAACATATATAAAACAGGGTTATGTTTGATCTATTCATGACAATGTAGTTACCAGAAGCTTGCAGGAACTTGTGCTTTTCCCCTAGGAACGATGTTTAGTATTCACTGATTCGGTGTTCATCGCAAGTTTATACACCCTAACTACCCCAAATAATGAGAATCAACTGTATTTAAATCACCAGGAATTATGCTGGAGCAGTGCTGGAAAGAATGACAGGAAGCGTTCTTCCTTGTACTCTTCAAGAAAGAAGAATGACCCAGGACTCTGGAGATGACTGCAACAAGAAAGAGGAGAAAGTGGTGAAGTCTGATGGCATGAGATGCAAAGCCAAAGGACATTAGGAAGGAGGAAGAAATTTCTGGAAGAATCAATGAGGAGCAATGAAACAATCAATGGGAACTAATATCAGAAATGTGAGACAGCAGGGGTAGGTTTGTGACAGAAATTTTTTGGCTCTTAAGTGGCACTAAACCTCACTATGGTATTCATCATCCCTCCTACGCTCTGTAATGGGAGCCCTGATTCTCCCCCTCTTCACATAGCTACAATAGCGGGTCACCTCGCTTCTAAATCTTCACATTTGGAAAAAGAAAAGAACAGCTTCATAGTACAAAGGCATAATTCTGCTTCACAACTCAGTATGTTACAAAATATAATCCATTTTCCTTTGCCATTTTTACATAAACACTTTTATTATGCCCATAGAGAAGAAAGGTTACCTTTTGAGGGAAATTATTCATGAGGGAAAAAAAATTAGAATTTTGAACAAGCCATTTAGGTGACCTATAGAGATGTGTGAAAATAGGATTTCAATCTGTATTCAATGACTAATCCGAAAAGATGAAAACGTAATTAAATTGCAGTAGCACCCCTCAGTTTAATTTAACCTTTAAGGGGCCTGGTCAATGTTCTCTTAAAATTAATTTCAACCTGTGACTTTCCAGGGAACAGAGAGAAATAGAACTTATACTTAAATACATGCATGCATATTTATAAACATAGTTTATTTACCTTTATGCTTTTTCTCCCAACAGGTAAGTCTAGATTGCTTTTTTAATTTATTTATTTTACTTTAAGTTCTGGGATACATGTGCAGAATGTGCAGGTTTGTTACATAGGCATACATGTGCTATGGTGGTTTGCTGCACCTATCAACCCATTATCTAGGTTTAAAGCCCTGCATGCATTAGGTATTTGTCCTAATGCTCTCGCTCCTCTTGCCCCCCTCCCCCGCCCCCGCCAACAGGCCCCAGTGTGTGATGTTCCCTTCCCTGTGTCCATGTGTTCGCATTGTTCAACTCCCCCTTATAAGTGAGAACGTGCAGTGTTTGGTTTTCTGTTCCTGTGTTAGTTTGCTGAGAATGATGGCTTCCAGCTTCATCCATGTCCCTGCAAAGGACATGAACTCATTCTTTTTTATGGCTGCATAGTATTCCATGGTGTATACGTGCCTCGATTAGAAATTTACCAAAAGTTTAATATCTCACAAGTTCAAAAAAAGTGTTCAGAGCTTGCTTTTCTCTACTTATTTTGGGTTTATCATTTCATTCCTTTTAAAAATATTAAAGAAGTAGAAATCAAATTATGTGCCAGTTTGACAAGATCCTCCCACCTTTAGGAACAGAAAAAATTTAATAAATTGTCATCACTAGCCTGAAATGATTGAATATATAATTTACCTAAAGTTTAATAAAATAGCTGAACTAGGACACAATGGGGAGAAGTGTTTCATGAAGAAAAATGTGGACTAATTCATATGAGAATTATTTTAAAGGCATACTTGGAACTCTTGCTTGATTAAGTTTAAGAAATAGTAACATTGCCAAGGGCTGGCACAAGAAGAAGGAAGCAGACACTCTCCTACACAGCAGTGGCAATTTAAGCTGTGTCCAAATTTCTAGAAGGCAATTTGGCAAGATATATCAAAAGCTGTAATAACAGATGTCCCCATTGACCACAACTGCCACTTTTCTTGGAATTTATCTTAAGAAAATGAATGAAGGATGTAATAAAATTTTGCACAACATTGATTACTCTGTTGTTTAAAATTAGAGAAAATTAGAAACAATGAAAATGCCTAACAATAAAGAATTGCTTAAATCGCAGGGCCCTCCCTCTCCCACCCTCACTCCCTTCAGTCTATTCTCAGTGCAGTGGCCAGTGTTATCCAATTAACAAGCAATGACCTGATGGTCACATCACTCGTGTGCTCCAAAGCCTCCAATGGTTCCCCTCACTCAGGGTCAAAGCCAAATCTTTACCATGATCTAGCACCACATTTTGCATAGTATAGAGTTGCTATTTAAGTGGCTCTTCCCTACAAGGGTATGTGATCCAGGTAACCTGTGGTCTTCACCTTAGACACAGAAGAGTCTAGAATTTTAAGTAGCTCCCTCTGAAAGTATATTCCAGATGATATTAGCCCTGAGAGACACATAAATGTTTAGTATTTTCTACAAAATTCTGAGTAGATTTGAGATATTGAACAGAACGCTGTTTTTCCCTATGAAGTGACTATTGAGTTCTGTATCACTATCAAGTGACTATCATCCATCATCTAGACTACTGCAAAGCTGCCTACTCCATTTCCTGGCCAGCCATTCCCTGTCCTCTCCAATCTATTCACCACAGTGCATTGAAAGTAATCTCTTTTTTAAAAAGCGGTCATAATTTCCTCATGCTTAAAACCTATCAAAGCCTTCCCATTTCTCTACATATCAAGATCTAATTTACTGATGGTCAAGGTTCTAGAACATTGCTATGTAATGGAAATATATTGGGAGCCATGTATGTAATTTTAAATTTCATAGTAGCCATTTTTTATTTTAAAAAATAGAATTAATTTTAATACTGTATTTTATTTTAGTCAATATTTTCAAAATAGTATCATCTTAATATGTAATAATTCAAAAATTATTGATGAGATGCTTTACATTCAGTTTTTCATAGCAAGTCTTTAAAATCTGGTGTGCGTTTTACCCTTACAGCACAACTCAAATTGGACTAGCCACCTTTGACATGCTCCATAATCCATCATGTCATGTGGTTAGCAGCCACCATACTGGATAGTGCAATTCTACAAGGTCAGGACCATGCCTACCTCTTTAGCCTTCTAATAAGATTCATGCTATAGGTATATCTAACCACCAGGTTCTCCAAGTTGCCATTCTCTCTTTCCCAGTCCTTTATTCATGTTGAGTTTTTATACAACAAATAATTTGAAAGAAGAAAAATAAGCAAATTTTTAAATAGGCAAAAGATTTGAAAAAACATTTTACCAAAAATATATACAAATAGCTAATAAGCAGATGAAAAGATACTCAACAACATTAGGCATTAGGAAAATGCAAGTCAAAACCAAAATAAAATAGCATTTCACAACCACTAGAATAGTTATAATTTAAAAGACAAACAGTAACAAGTATAGATGAGGATGTGAAGAAACTGGAAATCCTCATACATTGCTACCAAGATTGTAAAATAGTACACTTATTTTGGAAAACAGTCTTGTAGTTTCTCAAAATGTCAGAGAGTCACCATATGACCCAACAATTCCACTCCTAAGTATCTACCTAAGGGAAATGAATGAAGATGTATGTTTATAGAAGACATATGTCTCTACAAGACTTGTAGAAGCAATCAAAATGTTCATCGATAAATAAACTGTGGTATATTCATACAACACAGTACCATTCAGCAATAAAAAGGGACAAAGCACTGATACATGCTACAACTTGGATGAATCTCAGAAACATTATGCTAGTAAAAGAAGCCAAACACAAAAGACCACTGGATGTTAGGTCAGTGGCCTGGACCCAGCTCCACTAATCACTACCTGTGTTACATTGGCCAGCTACTACACCATTCTAAGATACAACTTCTGCTTCTGCAAAAGTCAGTTTAATAACAAGTGCCGTTTCAAACTTAAACAGCCTTGCACATCAAGAGAGGCAGCATATAAGAACAAGCCTTAAATGGCTTTTCTCAAAAATATAGAGAATAACAAGTGTTGGTGAGGATATAGAGAAAGAGGATGCCTTTACATTGTTGGTGGAAATGTAAATTAGTATAGCCATCATGGAAAATGGTATGGAGGTTCCTCAAAAAACTAAAACTAGAACTACCATATGATCCAGTAATCCCACTTCTGGGTATATTGCCAAAAGAATTGAAATCAATATGTCAAACGGATATCTGCACTCCCATGTTTATTGCAGCACTGTCCACAATAGCCAAGATATGGAATCAACCTAAGTATCCATCAACAGACGAATGGATAATTACAATGTGGTATATATACACAATGGAATATTATTCAGCCATGAAAAGAAGGAAATTCTGTCATTTGCAACAACATGGATGAACTTGGAGGACATTATGCTAAGTGAAATAAGCCAGTGCAGAAAAATAAATACCATGTGATCTCATTTATATGTGGAATCCTAAAAAGTTAAACTCACGGAAGTAGAAAGTAGAATGATGGTTACCAGGGACCAGTGGTAGAGGAAAAGAGAGAATGGGGAGCTGTTGGTCAAAGGGTACAAAATTTCAGATAGACAGAAGGACTAAGTTTTGAGATCTATTGCACAGCAGGGTGACTATAGTCAATAATAATGTATATTTCAAAGTAAGAGTAAATTTCAAATGTCACACAACAAAAAATGATAAGTGAGGTGATGGATATGTTAATTCATCTTGATTATCTTGATTTAATTATCCCATATTGTATACATACATCAAAACATCACATTATACCCTATAAATATGTACAATTATGATTTATTAAAAATAATATGAATAAAAATAAAATAAGAACATACTCCTTAGTTAGAAATGCTCCATGGGTCCAGAGTTGCTAATCATTGCCTTCCTTTCTGGTTTTCCTTTGCACTTTGCTCCAATGTTTAATTTAGTCCATTGGGATCTGCAAATTATATCCCAGATGCTATAGGACAAGGAACTACTTGATCTCTTTCAATCCAACTGGAGAAATGTACACTGAGCAAAGTCTATATAAAGGGCTTCACTCGGCTAAGCACTTGATACCTTTATTCCCTGAGTATCTTGAATGACCTTTCTCCAAAGCTGATCATAGTAGCTTGATTTAAAATAAAATGTGTTATTTCTAAAGTTGGCACAAAATCTAAGGGATGACATTTGTTCTCTTCTTTATAGTTTTCCTGTATTTTTTTCAGCTTTTCACAAAGAACATGTATTACTATTATATGTAGTGGAAGGTGTTATTCAAAAAGAAAACACTTTAATGCTGATTCCATTTTAGACCAAACATATATTGCTAGTACTTTCAAAACACTTACTAAATCATAGACCCTATCATAAGAAATGTGTACCTATTAATCCCCTCAACAACTCCATGAGGTAGGTTCTATCATTATCCCTTTTCGAGAAAATAGAGACACAAAGATTAAGGAACCTACACAGAGTCACACAGCTAGTAAGTGATGGAGCTGGGATTTAAGTTCAAGCGCTTTGGTTTTCAAGTTCATGCTTTTAACTAGTATTCCAGGAGTGAAAAACGAACGTGACTGCTATTACTGTCTCGTATGGCTCTAAGGGTCCAATTACACAAGCAGCCTGCCTTGGGAGCAAATTATTGGTCTCTTAGGCTGTGGAGTCCTGAAGGCAAGAACTATGTCTCATCCATCTGTGTTTTCATTAGCTTTTGCTGCGTAACAGTCCACCCTAAGCTTAGTGACCTAAAAACTACAGCCAACTACGTGACTCGCAATTCTGTGGGTTGGCAATTTGGGCTGGGCCTTTCTTTTGCTGGTCTTCTGCTATACTGAGTTAAGCCGTGCCAGTTGGCTGCTGGTCAACTAGGTGTCTCAGCTTCTGGAAGTTGGCTGGCTGTCAGCTGAGGTAATAGGAGCCCCTGGGGTCACGGATCTCTCATCATTCAGCAGGCTAGCTTGGGCTTCCTCACACGACAGCAGCGGCAGGGTCCCAAGAGCCTCAAGAGTGGATATGCCCCAGTGAGCAAGAGCTTTCAGGTCTCTGCTTGCATCACATTTGCTATTGACCCATTGGCCAAAGCAAATCAAATGGCTATGCCCAGAGTCAATGTGGGAGGGGACTGCCCAAAGGCATGGATACAGACAGGTAAATAATTTGTGGCCATTTATGCAATCTACCAATATCCCCATAATCAAACACAGAACCTTATAAATAGTAGACATGAAATAAATACTTATTGAACTGAATGCTATCTCCCCTTCATGAAAAATCGAGATAAGACCAATAATCTCTTTCCTCTCTACACTAAGTACACCACATCAAGGAGACAGAAGAGGCTGGCTGACCCCTCCTCACAGAGGGTTACCTCACCCTGGGTGATGGAGCCCATCACTTGACAGTCACCTCATAACCATGGTCTTCTCAGCTCCTGGGGTGAGGGGTGCGTTCTTACTGGTGGCTGCTTCCCTAATGCTCTTAGGATGGCAGGACTTGCTCTTCTCAGTGGTTCCATCAAGCTCCCAAGGGGAGTCCCTTGGCCCCCTGCTTCTGCCAAGTCCTGCAGTGACACCTTTATGAAGCAGCTCAAATTAGCAGCCCTGCTCGCCCTCTAGTGGTTTCTTAAGGCTGTACAGCCCTTTGAAGAAAAGTGTTCGAGGCCTTCTACAACTGTACCAGAATAAATAATTGCGGGTGCTTTGGATCAGTGGTTTTCAACAGGGCGTGATATTTTCCTGCAGTGGACATTTGGCAGTGTCTGGAGACATTTTTGGATGTCACAGCTTAGGGGTGGAGGCTGGCATCTAGTGGGTAGAGGCCGGGGATGCTGCCAAACATCCTACATTGCACAGGACACTCCCATAACACAAAATTGTCCAGTCCAAAATGTCAATAGTGCCACAGTTGAAAGATCTTGCCTTATATTCAGAGTGAGCCCTCATTTGTTTTAAGGATGCACCCACAGGCCCACCCAAGGTTGTTCCATGGATGGATCACCCACTCTGGGAAGAGTCAATCTGTAGGAAACAACCCTAAAGTCTCAATGTGAAACTTAAATCTCAGGAACAATTCCTGGGGCATCCCATGATTCTCCAGGTTGGACAGACAAACTAAGCGCTAAACAGGAGCTTGGTTACAGGCAAGAACATCTTACTGTCTCTTTCCATTATCTATGCTCAATCCCATTGATTCAGAGAGCAATTTTCTCAGGAAAGAAAAGTGCTTTAAAGTTTTTATTGTAAGCCAACTAATAGCCCTAGGAAATAAAAATGTCTTCCAGTGGAGAATTGCACCGTGGGACTTCTGTGTGAACCATCAGAAACCTTTGATAAAATTTATATTAGTTGTGTAAACTAAAAAAAAAATTCTAAGCCCCCCAACCATCTGAAAGGACCCCTTCTCTCAGCCAAGGACATTCCAAAGAACCTGAAAAACTAGTTCAGGCAATGATGGGATGCCGGGGCTGGCGGGGTTGGGGGGCAGTGGGGGGCATAGTTGGACATGCCTCCTTATACCCGCCTTGCTTTGGAATTCAGGCACAACTGACCAGCATTCACATTACAATAGACATCTTAAGACTTTGTAGCAATAAGACACCGAATTCCAGCCTGACTCTATTATAGCATCACTTGACAGATAGCAGGCCCTGAAAGAAATTGAAGTATTTTACCCTAAAATATATTTTTTGACATATTTTGAAATGGCCCTGCAATGCTGTCTCTTGTGGGGAAAATCTACATTCTGGAAAGAATCCCTTTACTTTTCCAGGTCTTCGTCCTGATCCAGGAGAGAATTAACTAATAGTCTGGCACCTTTTTAAGTCTAATAAGAAATATTTACAATCTATTTTCTCTGAAGCCTGCTACCTAAAGGCTTCATCTGCATAATAAGAACCTTGGTCTCCACAACCCCTTATCTTAGCCCAGACACTCCCTCCCATAGATTCCAGGCCTTTAGAAGAAGTCTTTCAACCAATTGCCAATTGGAAAATCTTTGAATTCACCTCTGACCTAGAAGCCCCCACTTCCAGTTGTCCCACCTTTCCAGACCAAACCAATGTACACCTTACATGTACTGATTGATATCTTATGTCTCCCTAAAATGTATAAAACCAAGCTGTGGCCCAACCACCTTGGGCACATGTTCTCAGGACCTCCTGAGGCTGTGTCATGAGTACGTCCTTAACCTTCTCAAAATAAACTTCTTTTTTTTTTTTGAGACGGAGTCTCGCTCTGTCTCCCAGGCTGCAGTGCAATGGCGCGATCTCAGCTCACTGCAACCTCTGCCTCCCAGGTTCAAGTGATTCCCCTGTTTCACCCTCCCTAGTAGCTGGGATTAAGGCGTGTGCCATCACACCCGGCTAATTTTTTGTATTTTAGTAGAGACGGGGTTTCACCATGTTGCCCAGGTTGGTCTCAAACTCCTGAGGTCAAGCAATCCACCCACCTCAGCCTCCCAAAGTGCTAGGATTACAGGCGTGAGCCACCGCACCCGGCCCTCAAAATAAACTTCTACATTGATTGAGACTTGTCTCAGTTCCTTTTTGGTTTACAGTTGCAAGGAATAAATGACAGGCATCCGGTTTTAACAAAATAACACTTGTTCCATGCAGGAAGAGAATTTCTTAATGTCAGAGAAAGAACACCAAGAGCCGAGGGAAGGAAAGCTACACAGACACTGATTGCTGTGGCAAGTCCATGTAAAAAGCAACAGGAAATGAAAGCTTTCACTCTAAGCTTTTAGCAATGTTAATTAGAGGAGAGTGGCTGACATTTCCCTAGAATGGAACATAAACTAAAATTTACCTAGGAATTTTACTTCTGAAATTTTCTCAGAAGAATTCAACAGTAAAGGTGCTTCTTATTAGCTCTGGACTTTATTCCTTATCTACTATTTTCTTATACTCCCTTATGCTAGTAGCTAGGAAAATCCTCCTCACTCATTACTTCAAGATCCTCATTCAAGAATGAGGCAGGGAGGACAAGCAGGAAATGAAGCGTTCGTGGCTCCTGCTGCTCTTTGCTTTCTCCTCTTCTTACCAGATCCTGAGGCTTCCAAACACCCTGCTCTCCCTCTCCTCTCTTCTTCCTCCTGTTTTCTTCACTTCACCCTTGCTGGACCCCAGAACCCCTGAATGGCAGAAACCCCAGGCATGGCGTGGAGATATGGTCAGCCTTGGGGTTAAAGGTACATCGCTCCCTCCACGCCCCCCAGGGTTTGCTGTGTGGCTCAGATAGGACTTGGGAAAAGGCCTTCCTGCTCTGATCATTCTCCCAATGCAAGGCCAGCTCTGGGATTTGGACCCATCCAAGGAAGAGCCAAGAGTCTGTCCCCAGCCTCTTGCCTTATGAACCCACCTCCTATGTTGGCCCTGTCCTCTAATATCCTCTACACTGGCTGCTACCTGTGACTGCCTAGACTTCTCCAAGGCTTTCCAGACCTTGCCCATAGTAAGCCATGGAGCAGCAGTCAAGTAGCACCCAGGCTCAGGCCTTAGGGGAAGAGTTTCTCAAGAAAAGTTCCCCATTGGGTTCCTGATTGGGATTCCATCACTACTGGTTATTATTCCAGAGGCATCTTACTTCAGAGAGACTTTAAGGAACAATGAGGCTGGGCTCTCTGTTTAGGTCAGGAGCCACCTCTGGCTGAACTTAATTTCCAGGATGTCACAATAAGGTCAGAATCCCTGTGTCAAGTGGTAGCTATGGAGTGGAAAGAACAAAGACAGCTTACAAGCTCAGACAAAATGGTGACCTGAATGTATATGGAAAACAACATGAGCTTTTGAGTTATAAAAAGCTCTCTATTGAGGGCTTATTCTGTACTAGATACTGCACTAGGCATTTTATAAACATTTTCTCACATGCTAGCTGTGTGACCTTGGGCAAGGTGGTTAACCTCTCTGTTTCTGTTTCCTTTGCCAGGTAGAAATACCTACCTTGAAGAGTTGTTTTGAGGATTAGTCAAAGCAACATACAGGAAGTTCCTGGCACATGGTAGGTATCTTAGCCCAGGCTGCCATAACAAAATACCACAGAATGGGTGACTTCAACAACAAAAATTTACTTTTCTCACAGTTCTGGAGGCTGGAAGTCTCAGATCAAGTTGCTGTTTGATTCAGTTCCTGGTAAGGGCTCTCTCCTTGGGTTGCAGACAGACAGCTGACAGATCTCTCTCTCTCTCTCTTCCCCTTCTTATAAGGGCATTAATTCCATCAAGAGGCCGGGCGCGGTGGCTCACACCTATAATCCCAGCACTTTGGGAGGCCAAGGCGGGCGGATCACAAGGTCAGAAGATTGAGACCATCCTGGCTAACACAGTGAAACCCCGTCTCTACTAAAAATACAAAAAATTAGCTGGGCGTGGTGGTGGGCACCTGTAGTCCCAGCTACTCCGGAGGCTGAGGCAGGAGAATGGTGTGAACCTGGGAGGCGGAGCTTGCAGCGAACTGAGATCGCGTCACCGCACTCCAGCCTGGGCGACAGAGCAAGACTCCGTCTTAAAAAAAAAAAAAAAAAAAAAAAAAAATTCCATCAAGAGGACCCCACCCTCATGATCTCATCTAACCCTAATTACCACCCAAAGGTGCCATCTCCAAATATCATCACTTTGGGAGTTAGGGCTTCAACATAAGAATTTCAGGGGCCACAAAATTCATTCCATAACAAAAGACAGTAAGCAAATGATAGCTAGTATTACTATTACAATTATTAATAATAAAATAGGTATAAACTACTCCTTGGCATTAGGAAAATAGCTACAACGCATGGCTTTGTCTAAATCAAAGAAAATATGGCTTGAGCACCCACTCAGCTGAATGGGTATTGGCAGAAACTAAAGCATCAATTTCTTGGTGCCTCCTCGAAGACTCTCAGTGCTGTAGCAGTGCTGAGCTATTTCTCCCTTCTGTGTCTTGAGACCTCTGATGAACAGTTCCCCCATCACTGATTGGGCACCATTGATCTGGTCAGCTGCTACAGCGCCTGCTAACCATGATGCTTTCCACCATCAACAGAGCATTCTCTGTGATCCTTCCACATCTAAAGTGCTACACTCCTGTGAGTGCCACTGTCTTCAATTGTGGAATTTCCATCCTGGTCCCTCTTCCTTATCCCCAGGATCCATAGCACCCAAGAATCAAGACTCTTCCCTCTTTAGACTTCCAAGCAGAAGTCTCCACCCACGCCCTTTCTTTGATAGTCCAACCCAGTTATGGGTTACCTTCAGGGCAGCCTTCCCACATCCCCAGTAAATTTGTCTTCTTCCACCCTGAGAAAGGTGAAAAGTATGTTTATTTCTGTCTTGATCAGCCTCAACTTCAAGTGAATAAGTCAAAAGTTAACTTGTCAATCATCTTCTACATGATTTTCAAAAAGATATTTGCTTACAAAGAGATACGATGCCGTAAAATTTTAAGAAATTTAGTTTAAGAGGAATAAACATCCTCATTTGTTTTCATGATATGTGGAATATGTTTTTTTTTTCTTGGAATATGGACTCTTTTAGGTTCTGAGAGGCCATCTAATCTATACTCCCAGATGAAAAATTAAGTTTTATTTCTCTCTGTCAATTAAACCCTTTGCCCTGCACTGTGCCAACAGAACATCCAGTGAAAAGAACATCAAGTTGGGCCTCAGGAGATTTGGACTCTGGACCAAATTTACTCACTATTTGAGGTTTCAGCTTCCCCATCTCTAAGGCTCCTTCCACCCTTAACATTCTGTATTGTTTTAAGAAACAAGATCCTGAATTCTGAAGTGGTTACAACATTCATCTAAATATGGCATTCTGTTCTACAATAAGCCCCCTTTCCAAACGTCTACTCTAATTCAAAGAGCAGTGAGAACCATCACTAATCATGAAGTCCAGCAAACACTGATAGAACTCCAACAGAATTCTTGATGAGTTCAAATATTTCAGAATTCCTCGAGCACCCATGGCTTTGTGCCTTTAACCAACGTTTTGTACATATGTTCCTCTTATTTATCACTGCTTTCTTAGGCATGAGTCTTAATGGCTATTGAACTATTGTGGAAAAGGGGTAAAATTTCAACATAGGTAGATATATGTTTGCTTTCTTGGAGCCAAACATTACCTCTGATTTTATTACCCAGATATAATATATAATCTTTGTGCTGAAAAGTGAAAATGAAACACAAAAGTGAAGGCTGTGTGACTGAAATAAGACTTATGCATTCGGATATAATGTATAAAGTAGAAGACAGTATCTAGCATAAATCCTCTAATATCTCTCCTATAGTGTGCAAGAATCTGGGAAGCAGAAGTATGGTAATTCAGGCTCATGGTTTTCCTATCTGGAAAACAAGGATAAAATTGTGGGTCTCAAAGGGAAGTTGTAAAAATAAAAATACATTTGAATCAGAAGTATTTACTGGGCATCCAGCCTGTATTCCACCATGCTGGGCCAAGAGGAGAAGCAGGAGAGCAAGAAAGTCCCTGTGTCCAATCTCACAGGTGGCAGCCTCTGTCCTCTCACCATAAGCAGGACTGAGCACTCTCCTCAGACATCATAAAGGATCCATTTGTGCTAAAGAATCAGTGAAAATCCACTGATCGTCTCCTGAGGAGATGAATAAGAAATCTGCACTGCACAGCACATAGCACATCTCATAAAATTTCCTATAAATACCTCTCCCCAAGTCTTTTCTCTGAGCCATGCAACTCCTGGGCTCATCTTTTTCCTCCAGCTCAGATATCACCATCTACCCTACTTATGTGGAAAATTTTCCCCATGTCCTGGCTTCTTTCTTCAGTCTTGTATAGCCCCACCCAATGGTGAGATCATAAGTTTCTTACAGTGAGGGATCATGTTTGTACTTAACTTGCACAATGAAAAGTACCTTTATAAAAAATCTTCAATTCACTCTATGATAGCAGTCGGCAGGCGGGCAGGTGCCGAGAGCTGGAGGCACCCCAAATGCTTTATCCTCAGTAAAATGGCCCCTCCATACCTAAGGAATCCTGCCTGTTGGGTGGCAGTAACAAGACTAAAGAAAGAAACCAGGACAGGGCTGAAATCTTCCCAGGGGAGGAATGAAAGAAGGGGAGAAGCCGCCTGAAGGGATAAGTGGTGTCGGGGCTGGAGCTGGGAAATTGAATGGCTGAGAGGAGAGACTTGGGAAGAGACATTTATAGAGATTTTTTTGAGTGTGTTGTACAAGGCACTCAAGGCCCTGGCACAGAGTACAGATTTTACATGCAAGCAGCAGTAGAAGTGAGACAATTGCCCAGAATGTGAATGGGCAATGGGAAGGAGTTCAAAATAAGGTGTTAATTTTTTTATTTATTTCTTTTTTTTTTTTTTTTTTTTTTGAGATGGAGTTTCATTCTTGTTGCCCAGACTGGAGTGCAATGGCGCGATCTCGGCTCACTGCAACCTCCACCTCCCGGGTTCAAGTGATTCTCCTGCCTCGGCCTCCTGAGTAGCTGGGATTACAGGCATGTGCCACCACCCCAGCTAATTTTGTATTTTTAGTAGAGACGGAGTTTCTCCGTGTTGGTCAGGCTGGTCTTGAACTCCCGACCTCAGATGATCTGCCTACCTCGGCCTCCCAAAGTGCTGGGATTATAGGCGTGAGCCACCGTGCCCGGCCAATTTTTTTATTTCTTAACGTGACTGGATGACAGTTCATAAACATCTCCCACCCTGGAATGACTCTCACCTCCCTCCAAATATCCTGTGCGTCCTTCAAGATTCAGATCAATTTCCAACCATCCCCTCCCTGAAGTCTCCTCAAACCCTCTGACCACAGTGGCACTTCCCCTGTCTCAATTTAGAGGTATAATTTGTAATGTTGAACTGCCGTTTTGGGGTTTCTTCCTCTCCTGCCATCCATCCAATACACAGTTGTGGGTCACTTCAACGATGGGAATACAATCCGAGAAATGCTTCTTTAGGTGATTTTTGTAATTGTGCAAACATCATAGAGTGTACTTATACAAACCTACACACCTAGGCTATGTGGTATGGCCTATTGCTTTAGACTACAAACCTGCACAGGATGTGACTACTGAATGCTATAGGCAGTTGTAACACAATGTTAAGTATCTTTTTTTTGCATTTAAACATAGAAAAAGTGCCAGGTGCGGTGGCTCATGCCTGTAATTCCAGCACTTCAGGAGGCTGAGGTGGGTGGATCGCTTGAACTCAGGAGTTCAAGACCAGCCTGGGCAACATGACGAAACCCTGTCTCTACAAAAAATACAAAAATTAGCCAGACATGGTGGTGCACATCTGTGGTCCCAGCTACTTGGGAAGCTGAGGCAGGAAAATTGCTTGAGCCCCAGAGGCAGAGGGTGCAATGAGCTGAGATCGCGCCATTGCACTCCAGCCTGGGTGACAGAGTGAGACTCTGTCTCTATATTTAGAGTAAATAAATAAATGTAGAAAAAGTACAGTAAAAATGCGGTATTATGATCGTACAGGACCACTGTTGCAAATGTGGTTTATCCTTGACCAAAACGTTATGTGGGGCGTGACTGTATTATTATAGAAGCAATCCTTAACCACAGTTTTTATCACGTCATACCTCCACTAAAAAAAAAGAAAAAAGAAAAAAGAAAAAATTGACTGGCTCTTCTCTGCCAACAGGATTTTTAAAACTGAAGGAAATAAGTCATTTATGATCATGACGAACGTATTCTGCAGATAATGACCCAGTACCTCCCCTATATAAGCATTTTCCCAGAGCCTGAATGAATGTGGCAAGCTGTCAAACTTCAAGCCTATTTTAATACTCTTTCACAGCTTATGATCCTGGCTTACTCGTCTACCTGTCAATTCTATGCAGCCTCCAAAAACCCAGAGCCATGGAGGACAAAATTTAATGCTCACATTAGTGTTTTTCAAAGCCTAGTCTAGGCCAACAAAGAACTACTCACTGTATCAACCACAGAAGTATGTAAGTGTCAGTAAAATGATTCTAGACCCCCTTTGGAAGCAATCATTCTGTAACTTCCATTGCTGGATTGTCGTGACCACCATTTAAATATTCCCAAACCTGTTGACCCAATCTAGTTATACAGTCCTCATTAGAGGATTTTCCTGAAAGTTTATTCTAACATTGGATGAAACTCAAAGGGGCTGGAACCAAAATTACAACTGATTAAAGTAGTATTTTCAACCCGAACTGCACATCAGAATCCCCAGTACCCGCTGTGAGGGCCAATTAATTCAAGATCTCTGGAGGTGGGCTTGCACATCAGCATTCAGATTCTAAAGTGTAGCCAGGGTTGGAAACTATTGCCTTGGAGGGGCTGCGTCTTGCTATCTCAATAGAAAGGGGGCATGCCCAGGCCAGCTTCAGGAACTCTGTAAGACATGGAAGCACATCAGCTCCTGAGAGGGCTGGCAAGAGCAAGAAAGGATGCCAGCTTCAGAGAACCTAGGCACTACACTGAGGACTGAGGCAGGAAGACACCAAAGAGGAGTAAGACATCTGCACCCCAACCACCCATGCTGCCTCCTGGAGGAAGCAGCCACGTTTCCGCAGTGAAATAAACACACAGAATCTTTCTGATATCAAGATAATCATGGCTGGGTGTGGTGGCTCACGCCTGTAATCCCAACACTTTGGAAGGCGAGGCGAGATCACCTGAGGTCGGGAGTTCAAGACCAGCCTGACCAACATGGAGAAACCCCATCTCTACTAAAAATACAAAATTAGCCGGGCGTGGTGGCACATGCCTGTAATCCCAGCCACTCAGGAGCCTGAGGCAGGAGAATCACTTGAACCTGGGAGGCGGAGGTTGCGGTGAGCTGAGATCCCACCATTGCACTCCAGCCTGGGCAACAAGAGTGAAACTCCATCTCAAAAAAACAAACAAACAAACAAACCATGTAGCAGTAAAGGGAATTGGTTAAACTTTCCTACAACACTATCTTGCTTCTAGAGAAAAATCTATATGATCTGTAATTCTGCAGGGAAGCCCTGTTGTCCTCTGACCTAATTTAAACCATTATTAAATTACTTCTTCTCAACTGATGTTGAAAACAGAAAAGACCTCGCTGAATGGCCATGTCTTAACATTGATTTTTACACCAACAACTCCTGACTCTGGGGCCAACCTCCCAGCCTGCATTTTCAGGGAGGTTCTGGGTAAACATCAACGAACAAACACAACCCTACACAGTGACACTGAAACTATCTGTCAGGCTTGCTTTAGCTCAATATTCTAGGTGACATTAGGCAAAAGAACAACAATGATTCAGCTCCAGTAATTAAAAACAATTGCAATCTTCAGATAATGGGACATTTTAATTCTGTTATGGTAACTTTCTGGTTTTACAACATTTAAATCATTTTTACACCATCCAGATATTTCTAAAACTTGAATCCAGTTATTGACAACAGACCATTTACATTCTTGTGAATCCTCAAATTGAGAAATACCACAGAAATTATAATTTCCTCCATAACATGCAATAAAAAATAACTGGGTAATTGTAAGTAAGCCTACTGGGCTCTGTGCCTAAGAAAGAAAAACAAAATCTTGTGGTCCTCCTTATCTCTAAAACTCAGGGTCCCACGACCCTCAATCTCTTATTTGTGTCATGCTCCCCCAACACACTCACCATGCTAGCCTGTCCTCTCCCCTCAGCCTGAAGTCCAGCCTGGAGCAAAGCCTGCCTTTGTAGTGCCTAGGTGTAGTGCCTAGGTTCTCTGAAGCTCGCATCCTTTCTTGTTCCTGCCAGCCCTCCCAGGAGCCTGTCTTCCACATTGTCCCTGGTTCTCTTGCCCTCAAATTTAACTTCATTCTCCCCAGATGGTGAAATTCTTCCATTCTGCTCTTCTTGGGAGGTCAGCATTAGGCATTTGAAATAGGAGTGTGCCACACTTCATGGGGCCACTTTGTTGCCTCCACTCTCTCACTGTGTTCATTCCTTTGCCCACCAGCCACAGAGCAAACAATATTCATAGATGTATATTTATATATACACACATGTACATGTGTGTATGTGTTTGTATATAAATATACATATATGTATATATATATATATATATATGTATGTGCATCACTGTGGTCAGTGAAAGAAAATACAGCATCCTTCCTCCCCACAACTTTCCCATCATCTCAACCCATTACTAGTATCTGGTTGTGGCAAAGAGTTGAAAGGAAAAACCACATACAAATAGGAAACTTCATTGTAGTACTACGTATCAACCAGCCAGTCAGTGGTCTTTGAAACCCCAAGACTCCAAAGACACATAATTTAAATGTTTATGGCCCCAAACACTACATTGTCCGTTCCCATTGTATGGGATGTGCAGGATGACACTAACATAAAACTAGTCCCAGAAACTCAAAGCAGGGAGCAAGCCCCTCCCTGCCTCCATTGGCCTTGTCATGCAAGAGAGGGACAATTTGTCCACAGCTTTATTCACTGCCTGTGATTGTTCTGCCTGGAGCTTTGGGATTGCCAGATCAAACTGTAAACTTCTGACATTGCTACCTTGAAAACGAGTGTGGGATTAGGGGAGTGATGGGGGAAGGGAAGGTGAGTGCAAAGAGAGGGAAGGAAGAAGGTACTTTCCTTGACTCAGAGATACTCAAGGATAAAGATTCTTATTGGATTTTTGTGGCTTATAAATGTCACACGAGTTCGTGTGAAAAGACCACCAAACAGGCTTTGTGTGAGCAATAAAGCTTTTTAATCACCTGGGTGCAGTCGGGCTGAATCTGAAAAGAGAGTCAGCAAAGGGTAGTGGGATTATCATTAGTTCTTATAGGTTTGGGATAGGCGGTTGAGTTAGGGGCAATTTTTTACAGGCAGGGGGTGGATCTTACAAAGTACATTCTAAAGGGTGGGGAGAATAATACGAAGTACCTTCTCAAGGGCAAGGGAGGATAATACAAAGTACCTTCTCAAGGGTGGGGAGGGTATATCGTACAAAGTACATTCACAAGGGCAGGGGAATATCACAAAATACATTATTGCAAGGGCAGGGAGGGTGTATTGTCACAAAGTCAATTGATCAGTTAGGGTGGGGCAGGAACAAATCACAATGGTGGAATGTCATCAGTTAAGGCAGGAACTGGCTAGTTTCACTTCTTTTGTGTATCTTCAGTTGCTTCAGGCCATCTGGATGTATACATGCAGGTCACAGGGAATATGATGGCTTAGCTTGGGCTCAGAGGCCTGACAATAATGACCTCAAATAAGTGATTATCCAACCTACAATCAATACCTTCTGAAGCAGCCCATTCTATTTTCTGACAGCTTTAATCATCGGATATGTGAAAATAAGTCTCTAGACCATAAACTCCACAAGGGCATGGATCTTAGGTCATGTTCATAGGTAGGTCTCAAGGGCCTAAACAGTGCCTGGTACAGAGTAGCTGCTCAAAAAATATTTGTCAAATGAATGCCTCCTGGTGGCTTCCCACAATGATTCTATTTCTACTCTAGAAATTTCAAAAGAAATCTGTTTCTTCATTATAACAACCCAACAAACATCTTAAGACAATTGTCATGTTTACCCCTCTTCAAACTCCACTATAATTTTTTTTTCTTTTGCAAGTTAAACATTCCTAGTTCACTCAACTATTTCTTATAGGTTGGATTTCCAGTCCCCACAACAAAGATTTACTGGATGCCTGTTATACAGTCACCAATGGGGAGGGGTGAGGCCATGAAAGAATTCTGGATAGTATCTACTCTATTCATCACAGCCCAGCTCTGTCATCCAACACATTGTCCTAATTTGTCCACCAGAACAGTAATGAAAAGTTTTGGCGAATGGCTGGCAGAAATCCACATGGACAGCATCTACTATTTTTCCCCAATAGAGTTGTCTGGCTACTTTATCCAAGAGGAGGAGGAGGAAAGGAAAGATAAGAAGAAGGAAGGGAGAGAGGGAGGGAGGGAGAAAGGGAAAGGAGGGAAGGAAGGAAGGAAGGAAGGGAGGGAGGGAGGGAAAAGGAAGGAAGGAGGGAGGGAGGGAAGGATGGAGGGAGGGAAGGAAGGAAAGAAGGGAGGGGGGAGGGAGGGATGGAGGGAGGAACGAAGGGAAGGAATAACAGGTGGGAAGGTCCAAATATTAAAAACAAAAACAAAAAACAAATAAACAATGGTGCCCTGGTTTTTCAAGAGAAAGGCTATGAACTTCCCAAACTACAGACTGATGAATTTGATATTGATTCTAAGCCAGAGATCAGCAAATTATTCTCCAAAGTGCCAAATAGCAACTATCAGAGGCTTTTCAGGAAAAAGAAGTGAGGTTAACCTGGCACTACTTCACAACTTCATACCGTGGTTCTCAACTGTGGCTTCATATTGGAATCACTTATGAATCCCCTAGAAATGATGAACTTCTGAGACCCCATCCCAGGGATTCTGATTTCATTAGTCTGGGATATAGGCCGAGCACCAGGATTTTTCAAGGTTCCCCAGTGATTCTAATGTGTAGCCTTGCTAGGCTAATGTGGTCCTTGCTGGCGCTGAGGACCACTGCGTTCATGCAAACTCCTGGGGATCAACACATCTCTTTTTAAGGACTCACAGTCTTTTTTTCTTTTAAGCCTATTCTAGAATATTGCATCTGGCCCTCCATCCATTTTTGAATATCAAGTTGTGTTGGCACACAGCCATGCTCATCCGCATACACATTGTCAGTGTCTGCTTTCACACTCCTGCAGCAGCGTGGAGTCGTTGTGACTGAGACCATGTGACCCACAAGCCTCAAATAGCTACTTACTCTCTGACACTTTTGAGAAAAGTTGGCTGACCTCTGGCTTAGAATCAATATCAAATTCACCAGTCTATAGTTTGGGGAATTCATGGCTTTTCTCTTAAAGAATCAAGGTACCACTGTTTGTTTATATATTTGTCTTTTTTTAAACTTTTAAGTTCAGGGGTACACGCGCAGGTTTGTTATATAGGTAAAAGCATGTCACAGGGGTTTGTTGTACAGATTATTTCATCACCCAGGTACTAAGCCTAATACCCATTAGTGATTTTTCCTGATCCTCTCCTTCCTCTCACCCTCCACGTCCAGTGGGTCCCATTGTCTGTTGTTCCCCCGACGTGTCCATGTGTTCTCATCATTTATCTCCCACTTATAAGTGAGAATATGCAGTGTTTGGTTTTCTATTCCTGTGTTAGTTTGCTAAGGACAATGGCTTCCAGCTCCATCCATGTTCCTGCAAAGGAAATGATCTCATTCTTTTTTATGGCTGCATAGGACCTTCTTACCTGTTACTCTCCTGAACCCTCTCCTACTCCTCATGATTACTTAGAAAGCCTGGCAATAAGGTGATTTTCACAGTATCACTTATCACAACACTGAAGAAGAGATGTAATAGATTTTATTCTGATGTATGAATGTATGTAATAGGAAGCCTTTTAAGATCACCTACAGTAGCATTTCATAATTGTTATATACACGAGGTTATTGACCAGAATGAGCATGTGTTTCATCAGTGTTTACATATTTCCTATCTGAGCATCCCACATACTGTATGCAGCCAAGCTTCCTACTCTACTCTCTGAAGCTGCAAGCTATTAAAACTCAAGATTATGATATATAACAAGTAATATTTGATATATAATGTCTACTATTTAACATACACTGGATGGTACATAATAGGCAATGTACGTCTGTGAGGCAGTTATTGTTGCTGTGGCACTGGCTTTTGGACATTTTTGGATTTCACTCTGCAGGCGTTTTTAAAACTTATGATCAATGATCCATGAAAAATGAGCCCTAAAATAAACCTGTGTTTCACTTTAGGCATGAATAGAATATATGGGAAGACACCTGTAAGCATATCCACCCCACCTGCCTTTACCTAGATCCTTCTCATATTGCATAATAATAATCTGAATTTCTGAGATCATTCAGCATGATCTGCTGGTAGCACAGAAGGTGCAGATGGATGACATGTGGCCAGAGCATTTATAATTCTGTGTAATGCATACGCATATCGCTTTACTCCAGGTGCATTAGAATTAGGGATAGTTTTGTCTCTCACTTGCACAGTAAATGTGGGCCTTCGTAGAGACTCATTTTCCATGGGATATTGATAAGCCCTAGAAATTTCCACAGCTGGAGAAACTGCATCACGGTGTGGACCTACTTCAATTATGGACTTGCTCTGGTCCTAATAGTTGCAGGTTCAAAGAACACAGCATTGAGGTAGGCTGCTGGCAGCCCTCAGATATTAAGTACATGAACATGCCTCCCACATGGGAATCACTCTCATTTCAGTCAATAACCCTTGAAGAAAATGGAATCATTAATTGGAGTAGTAAAATCTGAGAAAGCATTTTAATGCACTTACTGCGTGAAATGTTTTCACCATTAGAAAGTCCTTTGATTGAGGGGAAGAAAACTGCTGAGAATTTTCAAAATCTAAATGATCTTCAGAGCTACTCCTAAGCCTTTTACTAGCTTGATTTAAATCACAAGTAATGAATGACTATACAGTGTACCCCAACATAACATATACACAATTTATTAATATATATTTTGACAAGAAGATAAAGGAACCCATTCTGATTACCTTAAAGTCCCAAATATTCAGAATACCCAATGGCTCATGTGTCTGGTCTTGGAGTGACTGAGAAAGCTCCTCCCAGTCCCACCTCAGCTGAACTCCCATCTCATCACCAAGTGGCATCTGGCCCTGCTTCCGGGTCCCTCAAGTTGTGACAGTCTGAATCATCCTTGATTTCTGGAAATCCACTTTAAACCATCGCGAAGAGCTATCGATGTGCTTTGAGTACTGAGTTGATGTTTTTTGTGATCAAATTCTTTTCTAAAAGAATTCATCTATGGTGGGTCTGTGGTATTGTTCTCTCAGCCAGAATATTTAATTAACCAGAAGAACCCATTTCCATGTGTAGCTTAACTAAGTTTAGTACATCAAGTCACAGAAAAAAATCATTGTTCGGATTCCACCCTGAGCAGGGAAGACCGTACTCTGTTCTTTCCCCCATCAGAATGTGCCATAGCCCAGCTAACAATGGTAGAGGGGGGCTTTTACCTCAGTCCATCACCACATCTCAGGTAAAAACAGCAGAGGTGGAATCTGACCCTGGCTTGCCTGGCTCCAAAGCCCATGTTATCTGCACCTCACAATAATGTTTCAAATTATGTTTTTGTTGTTGTTGTTGTTATTGTTGTTTTGTTTGTTTGAGACGGAGTCTTACTCTGTCACCCAGGCTGGAGTGCGGTGGCACGATCTCAGCTCACTGAAACCTCTGCCTCCCTGGTTCAAGCAATTCTCCCGCCTCAGCCTCCCCAGTAGCTGGGATTACAGGCGTGCACCACCACGCCTGACTAACTTTTTGCATTTTTAGTACAGGCGGGGGTTTCACCATGTTGGCCAGGCTGGTCTCGATCTCCTGACCTCAGGTGATCCACCCTCTTCAGCCTCCCAGAGTGCTGGGATTTCAGGTATAAGCCACCGTGCCTGGCCTCAAATTATGTTTTTTAAATGTACCAAGGCTGCTTGTTAATTAAAATAAGACTGGGATAAATCTTTTAATAAGACAATTAACCACCTGACACTCTCTTTGGTCAAATCCAAAGTTAAACAGAGTCACCATATGACTCAGCAAGTCCACCTAAGGTAGATATCCAAGAAAAATGAACACATATGTCCACACCAAAACTTGTACATGAATGTTTACAGCAGCACTATTCCAATAACCAATAGGTGGAAACAAACCAAATGTCCATCAACTGATGAACGGATAAACAAAATGTGGTATATCCGTACAGTAGAATGTTATTCAGCCATAAACAGAAATGAAATTCTGATATATCCTACAACGTGAATGTAACCTGAAAATGTTATGCTAAGTGAAAGCTGCCTGACACACACACAAAAAAAACCATGTACATGTGAGTACATTTATATGAACTGCCCAGAAAAGGTAAATCTCTAGAGAGTAAAAGTGGATTCATGGTTGTCGGGAGCTAGGGGTGGTGCAGGGAATGGAGAATGGGGAGTGACTACTAATGGGTATAGGATTTCTTTTTTGGGGAGATGAAAATCTTCTGGATTACATTGTGGTGATAGTTGCACAACTTTGTGAAAACACTGACTTGTAAACTTTGAAAGGGTAAATTGTATCGTATGTGAATTATATCTCAAATGTAAAGGAAGGGAGGAAGGGAGGGAGGGAGGGAAAGGGGGAGGGAGGGATGGAGGAAGGAAACTAGGAAGGAAGAAGGAAGCAAGCAAGCAAGCTTTCAGGCTAAGGGAGACTAAGGAAGAAACCAACTTGAAATGGGATGCGGGAGAGGCCTCCCCAAGGCTAGGATTCAGCCTTCACTGGAGAGGATGGGCTACAGCCCACTTGGTGGAGGAGAAGTGTGTTGGGTTGTCCTGGGGTTGCACTGGGCCAGAGCTGGTCTGTGTACTGAGAGCCCTGGCCAGAAACTGTGGGCCACAGCTGGCAAGCTGGAAATCCCCCAACATGGGCCAGCAGGCCAAGGCTGGTAGGAAGGAAACTGCCCACTGGAGTCCTGATAATTCATGACAAAGTTTCCCTTGGGGAATGCTGTTGAATTTTCTGGGAAGCTGCCATGGCTGGACTCTCCAGAAAATCACAAAGGTGTCACCTGCAGGGGGTCCTGCTGAGCTCATGGGGAAGCCAGCCGGGGCACCTATGGAAGAGGTTGTCACTGAGCCCCACCACAGCTGGGGCACCTGCAAAACTTGCCATGAAGCTGCCCATGGAGTGCCATTGAAACTCACTGGCATGAGCTCCACTGGGTATCCCACATGCCCAGCCCACTGCCACAGGAACAAGGAGAAGCAAAGCATACCAACGCTAGAAAGAGAAGCCCTACCCTTCTCCCGAGTCATCCCAGCAGCCTCTACCAACAAAGCTCAGCATCACGCCAGTCAGCAAGGGGAAAACATCCCAGAATCACAATCTGGGCAACAAAGTGTGGGTTTGGAGCTGAGGGGCAAAAGATTGATATTAATGGCTATTCTTTAACTACGAAAGGAGTTTGTGTTCAAATAAGTTTGGAAAACCCTACTTAACACACCACCCTCTTGATATACATTATTAGCAGTGCTAACATGTTCTATGGGAACGCACCTTATTTAACTCTGCTTGACGTAGCATTTCCAAAATTCACTTGATCACAGAACTCTGTTCCTCCTGATCATTAACACCCACGCTCTCTGGGAAACTGCTCCGAGTGTGGTGTGGTGAAACTGGCAAAATAACCAGAACAGGAAAGAAGCCACGGCGGTTGGAGAGCAGCTTGTGCGCCTTCACTGAATCACATGGAGCCGTCTGCTGCTGAAGGGATTCCTCTGGAACAGAATGCACACAAATGGAGTCATCTGGCTGGGCTCCCTCATGGCATTCCATCATTTTATTTACTGCACACAAACCATAAGCTCTGCAGACACTGTGGAAATACAGTTTATTTAGGTAACTAAAAATATCCCCCAAATGGCATTTGGCCATTGCTGCATTTCCCAACTCCTCTGGCTTGCCCAGGCCCTGCTCTAAAAATTACCCCTTGCTGATCCAAGGAAAAGAAGATGGCATTTAACAACCAGATTGATGGTACTGAGGTCAGGGGGCTTGGGACGCCATAATCCTGCCTAGCTACTCAGTCAATTTTCCCTTTTTGAGATTCCTAAGGGAATCAGACGTACACAAAATCACAAATGAGAATCAAAACAGTGTTTTATTATCTGCCCGCTGGAAAGGGCAAAATGCAGCTAAGAAAAGAGTGAGCACACATGGGCTGTGTGGGGAGAGAGCCGCTACATCATTCAGTCATGGGTTCAAAACCCAGTTCACTCCATTTCTGGGCAGCTAGCCTCCAGATCCAACTGCTTATGCCCAAAATAACATGTCTATAACATTACTTATCGCAGCAGGGCTTTAAACAGCAAAAGAATGAGAATAACCTAAGTATTCATCAAAAGGGGACTGGTTGAATAAGCCATGGCACATCATGCAAAGAAAAACGATGGGCTGGGCGTGGTGGCTCACATCTATAATCCCAACATTTGGGGAGGCCAAGGCAGGCAGATTGTTTGAGCCCAAGAATTCAAGACCAGCCTGGGTAACGTAGGGAGACCCTGTCTCTCCAAAAAATATAGAAATTAGCCAGGCATGGTGACTTGCGCCTATAGTCTCAGCTACTTGGGGGCGCTGAGGCGGAAGGATCACTTGAGCCCACGAGGTGAAGGATGCAGTGAGCCATGTTTGCACCACTGCACTCCAGCCTGAGTGACAAGGCAAGACCCTGAAAAAAAAAGGAAGGAAGGAAAAGAAAAAACAATGAAAACTGTGCAGCTATAAAAAGAGAATGAGGGAGATGTCCACCTAATGCTACACAGAGAATTCCAGGAAATAATGGTAGGTGGAAAAAACAAGGTGAACAGCATTGTATATCATATACTCTTGTGTGTAAGAAGGGGGGAAATTACAAACCGTATTCATACTTGCATGTATTTGGCAAGATTCTTTCTAAAACCTGATGAAAGGAGTTACATAGGAGGCAAGAAGGAACCAAGAAGAAGCAAACGAGGAGAAAGCTTATCAGTCTGTATTTTTAAAACATTTTTTTAGTTTTTGAACTATGTCAACGTGTTATTACCAATTTGAATTTTTAAAATCTCCCCCCTCCCCCCCAAAAAAACACCAGTCTGCCACTTGCTAGGTACATGGTCCTAGCCAAGTCATTAACTTCCAATCTTAGGTTCCTGAATATGTAAATTGTCGGCAGTGATATGTATCTTGCAGAGTTGTTGTGAGTGTCGAATGTCACATTGTCAGTGAAAATGCTCTGCAATGGTGGGTTCTTTATTGAACTCCCAAAGCCTGCACCCATAGTTTTGTTAATCGAAAGTAATTATCAGGACAATGAAGTACATGGAGGCTCACAACATAATTGTTTTCTTTCAGTGCATGTATTTTAGAGGATGCACATATGCCTCTCTAAATCGAGCTCCTTCATTAGCAAATGATCAATTAAAGCAGTGTCTTTCTGTATTTAAAAAAAAGTACATTTCCAAAACATGTACCCCACATTCCCATGATCCTCTCCATTAACTTTATACTTAATCTTTTCAATGTGATCTATTAGAAATTTGATGTTCTAAACCCTAATAAATTACTGGCATTTTGATATAATAATTATTATTACTAATGAGGATTCAAATATACAAAATGTTTATTTAAAAAAAAATTATATTTTCTTATATTCCAAATAGAAAACTATTATTACAGGAAGGTACACACCATGCTTGTGTCCTCATAGAACTGTTCAACTGTTAGAAAAGAACAGATACATTTGTCAGGTAGAGGAACAAAAGAATTGGAAGACATGAATCAGAGATGAAGTGTATTTGACCATTTCAGTCCGCTCTCTACTCAAGAAGAGAAGGCAGAGAAGGAAAGGGCAGGATAGGATGAACACTTAGCTACATATCACGAACTAAAAAATAACAAATATGATAGGTTCTCCATCTTCTTTCCTGTTAACTCCCAGTGGACTTAGTTGTGAATTTGGCAGTGTCACATCTGACTCATGACATAAGAAAGTTGCTCATTGACTTAAGAAAACTGCCCTGTGAATTTCTATGCCCTATGAATATCAATCTGAAAAGTACATTAAAATAAATATGTCTACAGTCTTATTTGAACACTAAATATAATTGGTATTGAGCACATGCTTCAATGACTGTTGTCTGTTAAAAACGGCAACCTTGGAATAAGTTTTCATGGTAGTTTTTTTTTTTTTAATGTCCACAAAACCTTTGATAGTCCACAAAACCTTTGATATGCCTCCCTTCAAGAGGTAAAGCCTAACTCTCGTCTTTAGCCTGGGCTGGACTTGGTGACTCACCTCTAACAAATAGAATGTGGCTGAAGTGACTGTGGGTGGTGAGTTTGGGGATTAGGTCATAAAAAGGTACTGTGGCTTCCATCTTGGTCACGTCACCTCTAGCCCTCTCTTGGATCACTTGCTCTGGGGGAAGCCCTCTGCCATATTGTGAGCTGGCCTATGGAGGGGAACACATTGTAAGGAGCTGAGGGAGACCTCCAGCCAATGGTCATGAGGATCTAACACCTCCTGACAAGAGCCATGTGAATGCACCATCTTGGAAGCAAATTCTCCAGCCCCAGCCAAGTTTCCAGATGACTACAACCCCAGCCAACAGGTTGGCTGCAACCTCATGAGAGACCTGGAGCCAGAACCATCAGCCAAACCACTCTCAGATTCCCGACCCTCAGAAACTATAAAATTAATAAATTTTTGTTGTTGTAAGCCACAAATTTGGAGGTAATTTATTTCACAGCAAAAGATAACTAATGCAGATTCTCAAAATGTAATTCTGAGTAAATGATTGCAAACTGCAATTACATCTCATTTCTCCACAAAAAAAAAAAAATGTCTAAAACAGCCTTGAAAAAAATTCAAGATTGTGGTATCTGGTGAAACCAGAATTAACATTTCCAGCCAGGCGAAGTGGCTCACACCTGTAATCCCAGTACTTTGGGAGGCCAAGGCAGAAGGATTGCTTGAGTCCAGGAGTTCAAGACCAGCCTGGGCAACATAGGGAGACCCCCTCCGCCCCCCACCGCCCCATCTCTACAAAAAAATTTAAAAACTAGCTGGGCATGGTGGTGTGTGCCTGTAGTCCTATCTACTCAGGAGACAGGCAGAAGGATAGCTTGAGCTCGAAACGTCGAGGCTGCAGTGAGCAGTGATTGCTCCGCTGCACTCCAGCCTGGGTGACAGAGTAAGACCCTGTCTCAGAAAAAAAAAAAAGAAAAAAAACCCCTCCAAATTCCATCATATCACAACTATATTCCTTGCATTTATCCTCTCATTTATTCATTCAACAAACATTATCAAGCACTTACTCAGTGCCAGACAGTGTTCTCGACCCTGGGATACAGCAGCGAGTGAGACAAACCAAAATCTCTGCCCTCCTGAGGCTTACATACTAGTGAAAAAGAAATAAACAACAATACACAGCATACTAGGTAGTGATAAGAGCTAAGGAGCTCAAAGAATGCAATGAGTCAGGTCAATCAAACTTCATTTGCGGCTCTCAAAATAGCTCAGGGCAGTTTCCCTCCTTGTAGTGATTCAGAGACAGGCTCCTTCCATCTCATGGCTCCACCTTCCCAGGGACTGGGAGTCCTCTAAAGATTGTCAGTAGATGAGGAAAGTGAGGGAGAAGGTACACTTGCTTCTCAGTCACCTCCAACCAAGAGTGATACACAACCCTTCCACTCACAGGCCATGGCAATAAAATGTTATGTAGCCCCATTGCTTTGTAAAGCAATCTGGGGAACGTAGCCCCAACTATAGTGCTATGCTAGAAAGAACAGCAGAATCTTTGGTAGGCAGCCGTTTTTCTCTGCTACAGTCTCATTGATCTATTCCATCCCTGACTGTTCTACCTGCTGGCCCAGGCTTTGGCCCAGGCACAGTCATGCCAAGGGGAACAAATATCTCCCATCCGGATATCTGTAATCTCATTGTAAAAATTTCAATCCTTTTTGTGAGTCATTTCCTTGGTTTTTTTTTTAAATCACCTGTAGGGGCGACATATGGAGTTCTCAATCCTCAGAGAAGTTTATTAGATTTAATTTTTCATTCCTTGAGATAAGAAATCACCAGCTTACCTGGTAACTCAATGAGCTTTAATTGGGGACTGCAAGGGAGGTGGAGCGGGTATGTGCTGATGATAGCCACTCACAGCTTTGCTAAGGGTGAGTGTTTGGGGTCTCCATCACAAACTTTACTCCAGGCATCATCCTATCTACTTATCCACAGCCACTCTCCCAAGTCAAAGAAACACTTTGCAAATGCATATTCACTGCACATGGTCCTTCTCCAAGAGAAAAGAATGGCCCCCAGTTAATCGTACAGGCAGCTAAATGTCAGGAGCAATCACTGAGATGAGAGTGGCTCATCAAAGCAAGTCAGGAAAGAGGAGTCTTATTTAAAAGCTAAATGGGGTTCTGAAAGACAGACCCTGAGAAGAGCGATTTCTGGGCTGATTTCACTTTAATGCAAAGATCCACTCTCTGCTCTAACTCTCTATGATTATTTTATACAAATTGCATTACATCAATTCCTTGGGAAATACAGATGTAAGCTGCATTTCCATTTCCTAGAATTGAAAATGACTTCGGAGGGGCTCAATTGGAATTTTTTTAATCTTCTTTAAACATTCATATGTTCTGGAGGCAATAGATGCGAATACAGAGACACATTGCCTTGGTTGACAGTTTCAAAGTCTGTAACATCAGCCTGTAACCTTCTATGCTAAAGAAATCTGTTCGCCCAAGGAAGTTTAACAACTTCCCCTTGGAAAGGTAAATCATCAGCATATTTCTATAAAAGTGAATTAATTTGATACCACAAGGAAAAAATGCCACCCTGGGTTTTTAATTAGTTATCACATCTGTTCCGATTCTGAATTTAAAACTGAATGTTTAGTGTCAGTACACAATGTCACGGTCACTTTAACTCAGGAGAGTTAAAAATTTGCTATCTCTATGACGTTAGAACTGAGCACTGCAAGAACCGTACTCTCATCCCAATCCTGCTCTTTAAAGCCACAGACAGAAACATCTTTGAATGAGTGTATTCATTTTCTAGGTCTGCTATAACAAAGTACCGCAAATTTGGTGGATTTAAGCAACAGAAATTTTTTCTCTCCCAGTTCTGCACGTCAGAAGTCCAAAATCAAGGTGTTGTCAGAGCCATACTCCCTCCCAAGTCTGTAGGGAGGATCCTTCCTTGCCTCTTCCAGTTTCTGGTCACCCTAGGCATTCCTTGGCTTGTGTCAGTATCACTCCAATCTCTGCCCTATCTCCACGTGGTCATTTCTTCACCGTGTGTCTTCTGTCTTCACATGGTGTTTTTCTCTTCTTATAAAGACATCAGTCGCATTGAATTAGGGCTCACCCTAATGACCCATTTTACCTTGATTACATCTGCAAAGACTCTATTTCCAAAAAAAGGTCATAGTCACAGGTACTAGGGATTAGGACTTCAACCTATCTTTTGGGGGGACCCAGTTCAACCCATAATAGAAGGTATCCCAGATAAGGGGTTCAAAACATTATTGCAAAGATCATAAAACCTGCAAAGCTACTACAACAGCTTTGCAAAGTAACATTTGCAGAGCCTGGAGCAAGCATATGAATGCAGTCTCACATACCGTAGTCTAAAGATATAGAATTTACAAATCAAGCTACACCAACAGCTTGGCATACCTTCCCACCCAGCACCCCACACCCCTGGGGACCATCATTCCCTTGGATAGGCTAAAGAAACCTAAGTTTACCCCAAGGTCAGCTGTGTCTGTGAGTCTAAATACCAGAATGGGTCTTGTGGGACAGGGCATGGTGGAAGCTGGACCCAAGTCAAGGATGCCTAGGCAGTGTCAGGGTGACTGGATCCGCCCCTAGACCGACCAAGTCAAGCTCCCCAAGGAGCTGGGAAGGACACTTTCACAGCTCAAGATTTCCAGGCAGTTCTAAGCATTTTCCAAAACACCACCACCCAAGCAGAGGGGGAGGAGGGAACAGTTATTTGGGGCACCCCATCTGCCTAATCACCCACGTTGGGTGATTTAGAACAGCCAACTTAATGTGTTTTTTTCTTAATTTTAATTTTCATTTTTTTTTAGAGATGGAGTCTCACTCTGTCACCCAGGCTGGAGTCCAATGGCTGATCATAACTCACTGCAGCCTCAAACTCCTGGGCTCAAGAGAGTAGCTGGATCTACAGGTGTACCACACTGTGCCAGACTAGAATGGCCATCTTCAAATGAAAGCAGCCAATCTTCCTCTGGTTTCCTGGAGTGGAAGCTGTCTCCCCACCCTCCACCATGCACGCACGCGTGCACACACACGCGCACACACACACACACACACACACTTACAGGTTCTCAGCCCAGAATCCTCTGACCTGGGAGGCCTAGGAGAGTACATCTCTCTCCCGTAATTCCCAGTAACTTAATCAGTTATCGCACTTATAAAAACGTCTTTAAAAACATTAAAAATTCATCAAACTTTAAAACATTTCAAATTTTATGAGTTCAAAAACATTCCAAAAGTCATTGTCTTTCATTGCTTGTGGTGTATGGGGTCTTATAAGGTGTGGGGCCCAGGGCAGGGGCCCCTGGTGTCCTGGTCTGGGAGGGCAGCACTGCTACCTAGTTGTGATGCAGCTGTTCAAAAGAACTCTGGTTCCTTTGCAAGCCCCAGAGGGACATACAATTCCCTCAGTGCCCCAACCTTCGGCAAAAGTCAGCCCCAAATCATCTCACCACTAGGGGCCAGAATTTGTTACTGAGGCAAGTCTGATCCCACCAACTGAACTGCTGGGGGCAGATCGTGCCGGGTTCTTTAGACTCCCTGCAAGCAAGCCACCTGTTCCGCTTGGTTCCTGGGCAGGGCAACCTAGGTTGAAACGCTTTAGTGAAACCCTGAAGAAGCTGTGTGAGGTTCTGAGGTCCTGCTATAAGAAAGAGTCCCAGGCTTGGAGTGAAAAGAGATCAGATCCTACTCCTCCTCCTTTCCTCAAGTAGCCATATGAACTTGGGTGTGGCATTTATATTCTCTAAGCCTCGACTTTCCCCTGTAAAATGGAAATAATAAATCATAATATCTCTCCAGCATATGTCATAGAGGGTTGCTTCTGCTCTTGCACCATACACTGGGTTTGTTGGGTCATGACATCTTGTAGCTGTCATTAAGGAGCTATAATTTCCACTAAGGAGTTAGAGTCCTAGAATGGTTTACCCTCCAGGCCTAATAAATTCAAGCTTAGATGATGATGATGATGATAACAATATAATATAATCAATTAATATTTTATGTAAATACCAAAATAATACTGATAAAACAAGGGCAGGTTCTTTTTTTTTTTTTTTTTTTTTGAGACGGAGTCTCGCTCTGTCACCCAGGCTGGAGTACAGTGGCACAAACACAGCTCACTGCACCCTCGACCTCCCGGGATCAAGTGATCCTCCTGCCTCAGCCTCCAGTGTAGCTGAGACTACAAGCATGCACCACCATGCCTGGGTAATTTTTTTTTTTTTTTTTTTTTTTAGAGATGGGGTCTTAAAACTATGTTGCCGAGGCTGGCCTTGAACTCCTGGCCTCAGGTGATCCTCCCCCTACCCTGGCCTCCCAAAGTGCTGGGATTACAGGTGTGAGCCACCATGCCCAGCCCAAGGGCAGGTTCTGTTTGATGAAGGGGGTAATCATTTATGTGATATAATATAAAGGGAGAGGTGCTAGGAAAATCCCCAATATAAACATAATACCTCTTCTGTGCTGTTGTCTACAGTTCAATTATCAGAGTATTTTTTTCCTTTGGTTGAGTCGTGCCCACTTCTCATGTCCCACTTGAAAAGCCATAAACTTACTAACATGTCAGTACAAATGTGCTTATCACACAGTGCACTTTCCAGAGAGGTGACAAGCCCAAAAGACCCCCGTGCCCAGGAAGGGGTGGGGAGTTATGGGAGAAGAAATTAGTTAGGGAGCAGAAAGCAGGATCGGGGGCTGGTTAAAAGACAGATCAAAGGAAAACTGAAAGACCCCTCAAAGGTAGTTTCTACCAACCTCATACTTCACAGCCTCACAACCTGGCCCAGTCTCAGGACAAATGGAGATATATATATATATGCACTTATACAATTATATACGTAAATTATGCGTGTGGGTGTACTTTTTTCCCAGCACACTGATGTTAAGGGAGAAATGAAAAATACCATGTAAGTAGATAACACCTAAAAAGTAAGCATCACGAGTGAGCTATATAGACAGGATTTCCAGGAAGCTAATCATATCTCACAAAGAAATTGAGATGCCCTCTTTATCTTTATCTGAAAAGAAAGTCTTTCCAGCTATAATAAACTTATAATTTAGAAGAGCTCAAAAAGTCTTCCAGCTTTGTTAGTGAAAAGCAACCTGTCTTTAAGTGCCCCAGGTCATGTCTTCTTTTCTCATCTCAAATTATTCTGGGACAATCAGAAAGAAAGTGATCTACATCTGTTTACCTTGCTGAAAAAAGAAAAATGTCAGAGCTGCCTGCCAGGAGTTTTTTACAGTGTAGTTCCTCTTAGACACAGGAAATGGGGAGAAAGTCGCTGTCATTTAACAGATATTAATTTTGACCAGCCATGAATGAAACTTCTGCTGCTCCTGAAAAATATGTGTAGCTTGCCATGCCCTCAGACATGTGATTGGAATCAATTCTCCACCTGTCCATGACTTTTGCCATGTGGTTTTGCCGCGGAAAAATCACTAAAGCATCTCACTAAAGCAGCAGTCTATCTTTGCCCCTCCAGTCTGAGCCCCACCTGTAAAGGGCCTGGGAGTAATAGTTGAGGCTTTGCAAGCAAGACTGTCTCTTTTGCAACTACTTGTAGCACAAAAGTGGCTACAGAAAATATGTGTATAAATGGACATGAATGTATTCCAATGAAACTTTATTTACAAGAGCAGATGGCCAGCCAGATTTGGCCCACAGCCATAGTTTGCCTACTTCTAGCCTAGACACACTATTACCATAGCAATAATAGCTAATGATCATATTGACAAGAACTTACTTATGTCATTGTGATGTAGTGTTCCCTTCACCCAGAAGGCTCTGCCCACCTGTGCTTGTTGTCAATATCCTTTTTCTTTATGTCTTACACTCCTCTTCCAAGAAGCCTGAGACTGCTTACTTAGAAGAGTGTTCTAATCACCTATTTACTCATCCTTCTCCTTCATCACACTAAAAGTGTCTAAAAGCAAGGTTATGTCTTAATCACTTTTATATACCCAGAGCCTTGCGGAGAACCTAGACCATAGAAGATGCTCAGTAAGTGAATGTGAAGTGAATAATTCAAGGAAATACAATCACTTCAAGAGAATGAGAGGACAAGCCACAAACTAGGAGAAAATGTTTGCAAAAGACAGATCTGATAAAGAACTATAATCCAAAATACACAAAGAACTCTTAAAACCCCGCAATATGGAAAATGAACAATCCAGTTTAAAAAATGGGCAAAAGATCTGAACAGACATCTCACCAAAGAAGATATGAAGATGGCAAATAAACATATGAAAACATGCTCCATATCATCTGTCATCAAGAAAATGCAAATTAAAACAACAATGAAATAGCACTACATACCTATTAGAATGGTGAAAATCCAAAACACTGATAACACCAAATGCTGGCAAGAATGTGGAGCAACAAGAGCTCTCATTCATTACTAGTGGGACTACAATATGGTACAGCCACCTTGGAAGACAGTTCAGCAGTTTCTTGCAAAACTAAACATACTCTTACCATACAATCCAGCAATCATGCTCTTTGGTATTTACCCAAACAAGTAGAAAATTTATGTCTTCACAAAAACCTACATACAGATGTTTATAGCAGCCTTCTTCATAATTGCCAAAATTTGGAAGCAACCAAGATGTCCTTCAGTACCTGGATAAATGGTGGTACATCCAGACAATGAAATATCTTTCAATGCTAAAAAGAAATGAGCTATCAAGCTATGAAAAGACAGGAAAGAACCTTAAATACATATTACTAAGTGAAAGAAGCCAATCTGAAAAGTCTACATACTGTATGGTTCTAACTATATGACATTTTGGAAAAGGTGAAACTATGGAGATGGTAAAAAGGTCAGTTTTCTCCAGGGGTTGGGAAGAGGGAGGGATGAATAGGCAAAGCACAGAGGATGTATAGGAATGTGAAAGTATTCTGTATGATACTGTAATGGTGGATCCATATCATTATACATTTGTCCAAACCCATAGAATGTGCACCACTAAGAGTGAACCCTGATGCAAACTGCACTTTGGATGATAACGACATGTCAACGTAGGTTCATCAATTGTAACAAATGAACCACTGTGGTGTGGGATGTTGGTAATGGAGGAGGCCAGATGTGGTACAGGGGAAGGGGACATATGAAATTCTATGCTTTCTGCTTAATTTTGCTGTAAAATGAAAATTGCTCTAAAAATAGTCTATTTTTAAAAATGCACATGCAATTACATATCATTGTTGCAAGTCTTTACTCAGCCTCTTCTATGGCCCTTATTCTCAGGAGACACTGAAAGCTAATTACTTGATTAGACAATGGCTCCTTAGATCTGACAAGGTCGAAGCACAACCAAAAGCACAAGTGACAAAAGAAAAAATAGATAAATTGGACTTCACCAAAATTAAAAATGCTTGTGCTGCAAATGTTACTATCAAGAAAATCAAAACACAGAACAGGCAAGTGTTTTTTTTTTTCCCACATAAAAACGGCATCTGCTTTATTTGGTATACTTTCATTTCAGAACAAAATAAACAAAAAAGCACAATACACAACATCCAATATCCTGTTATAAAAGTAGAAAGAGAATGGGGCTTAAGGCTCTTGTTTCCTGCCTTAGACACACGGACAGGACAGAAAAAACACTAGACATCAGCAGAGGGAGCCAGGTGGGATAAGGCCACTCAAGGCCGCGGGACAGAGCCACTCAAGGAACCATGGGGACACTATACAAGGGCACAAGGTTTCCAAATATAAACTCCTAGTCTACTTCTTCCATGTAAGACCCATTCTCCTCACCCTCAAGCAGGGGTATCTCATCAGAAACAACAGCACTGGGTTCCTCTGTTGTCACTTCATCTTCATCAATACCTATACCTAGCTTGATCATGTGGTAGATGCAGGTGGAGGGTCTGGGGATCCTCAAGGGAGAAGCCAGAAGAAAACAGAGCAGTTTCAAACAGCAGCACCACCAGGTCCTTGACAGCTTTGCTGTTCTTGTCTGTCTCAGCCTTCTGCTGCAGCATCTCCACAATGGGGTGGTCGGGTTGATCTCCACGCGCTTTTTGGCCACCATGTAGCCCATTAGAGAGTTGTCTCCAAGTGTCTGAGCTTTCTTGATTCACTCCATATTGGCTGTCCAGCCATAGGGTGCTGATCACAATGCAGCAGGGTGAAGACACAAGCCTATTGGAGGCTGTCACCTTCTCAACCTTCTTATCTAAGATTTCTTTCATAAGCTTGCAGAGGTTCTCAAACTTTGCCTTGCTCTCCTCCATTTTCTTCTTCTCCTCTCATCCTCAGGTAGCTCGACCTGAGGTAATAGAGACCAGGCTTTTCTTATCAAACTCCTTGACCAGCTGCACGCAGTACTCATCAGTGAGCTTGGTCTAATATAACACCTCGAAGCCCCGCTTTGAGAGGTGTCTACC
Source organism: Homo sapiens (assembly GCF_000001405.40). Lineage (NCBI taxonomy): Eukaryota > Metazoa > Chordata > Mammalia > Primates > Hominidae > Homo > Homo sapiens. The sequence continues at coordinate 16,475,012 of NC_000023.11, forward strand.
TGCTCTTTGCTCTCACCAGTGATGTAATAGATGGACTTCTGTGCCTCCTTCATGTGAGAGAGATACTCTGACAGAGATGTCATCTCATCTTCAGACTGGGAGGTGTGATAGCACAGCAGCTCAGACAGACGTCCCTGGTTGGTGGAGTCCTCATGGATCCCAAGGTTTAGATTTTTAGAGAATGCCTCATAGAATTTCTTGTAATTCTCCTTCACTTCTGCCAGCTCAGAGAAGGGCTCAAGCCACTTCTTAACAACGTTTTCATGAATGACTTTCAAGATTTCGCTCTGCTGGAGCACTTCTCAGGAGATGTTCAGGGGCAGATCCTCAGGGTCCAATAGTTCAAATAATTAAACAGGAAAAGAGATTGACAGCAAAACTAACTATTAAAAGGAATGCATTCAATTCGCAATTGCAGATATGGAACCAACCTAAGTGCCCATCAACCAACAAGTGGATAAAGAAAATGTGGTATATATACACCATGGAATACTACTCAGCCATAAAAAGGAATAAAATAATGTCTTTTGCAGCAACTTGGATGGAGTGGAGGCCATTATCCTAAGTGGAATAACTCAGAAATGGAAAACCAAATATCGTATGTTCTCACTTATAAGTGGGTGCTAAGCTATGAGGATGCAAAGGCATAAGAATGATATAATGGACTTTGGGGACTGTGGAGGGGGAAGTTAGGAGGGGGTGAGAGATAAAAGACTACATATTGGGTACCGTGTACACTGCTTGGGTGATGGGGAGAGCAAAAGTCTCAGAAATCACCACTAAAGAATGTATCCATGTAACCAAAACCACCTGTACCCCCAAAACTATTGAAATAAAAATAAAAATTAAAAGAGTGCATTAAGTAGATATTTTTAGGAAAAAACATATAATCTCTTATCCCCACCAATGTTATACAGTCTTAGTAGCAAGTAGAATATATATAATTGTAATTGTTGCAAAATTGCTTTGTGTACTCTAAAAGTAAACAAAATAAGCTTTGAGAATTGTATTTAGTTTTTTGTTATCTAAAAAACACCTCAAAAACATTGCAGCTATGAAAACGGTGGAGAATTTCCAGGCCAATTTCTGCATGAAAGCCTGACCCTGTAGGGCTAAGGGGAAAAGCAAAGCCTCAAAACTTCTGGAGTCCTTTGTACCCTCATCAATAATGCAAACACTTGCCCTCAATTCCATAGCCTCCCTGGGCCGGAAGAACTGACGCTGAAGTCCAAAGCACACAGAAAAGGGGGTGTCCTGGGGTAAGGGCGGGGCCGGATCTAGACCTGCCTGCCCCACTTCTCACCGAACCCCCATCGCCACCACCAAGCCTCTTGGAACTGCTCTGATCTGAGCCAGAGCATCAGGAACGTCAAATGTCAAATCAAGCTTGGAGCAGCTAACTTTGAGGGATAGTTATCTACTTTAAATTTTGGATGTTTTAAAAATATTTGAAACAAAAGTCATCTCTGTAATCCCTTTTCAGCCATTTTTTAATCTTCTTTTGGACTAAGGTGTTTAAATCAATAATTTAAAGAAACTTGTATATATATATATATATATATATATATAAAATATAAAAAATATTAGAAATGACAATCAAAAAGTTCAACTTTAATTAACCACTTCATTGGTTGTGAGTTTCACTTCCTAGCAGTCATCCACTAATTAATATTTGTTAATCTCCATAGCAGAGTGAACAGACCCAAAAGTCACAAAAAAAGTCCTTTGACTTAAAAAGGAGAAGAATTTATTTCCTTTAAAAGAAAGAGCAAAGACAAATACCGTATGATCTTACTTATGTGTGGAATCTAATAAAGTTGAACTCATGGAAGCAGAGAATAGAATGGTGGTTACCAGGGGCTGTGGGCGGGGCAGATGTTGGTCAAAGAGTACAAAGTTTGTTAAACAGAAGGAATAAGTTAAGAGGTCTATTGTGCAACATGGAGACTGTAGTTAATAACAATATATTATATACTTGAAAATTGCTAAGATTTTGTGTTCTTACCACAAATAAATATTTAAGGTAATGCATATGTTAATTAGCTCAATTTAGCCATTCCACACAATGTAGACATAATTCCAAACCTCATGCCATACACCATAAACATATACACAATTATTTGTTAATTTAAATAAATAAATAAGGAGTGGCAATTTGATTAATCAAAAATGGGGGAGGGGGGATTTATACTAGATCCAGTCAACCAATAGCCAGGCTTTGTTTCCAGCTAATTAAATAGTAGAAAAGAATATGGTTTCCACCCATTCGACAAGAGTATGATAAGCTAAGGAGTAATGACAAAATGCAATTAATTTCACTATCTTTTCAATCATTTCAAGTGTTTGGTTCTATTCTATATGATTCTTTATTCAAGTTTGGTTCTATTCTATATGATTTTTTTTTCTTTTTAATTTTACTCCCAACATTTTTAACCTTATTATTAGGAACGTCATAGTTCCTAAAACATTGTTTTCTGGCTGAAGTATGAATTTTGCAAGTATAGTTTGTCGATATTAACTAGAAAAGAAAACGTGATCCTACATAATCACATGGGACAGTAACAAAAGAATATGGAAAGATGCTTTTAGGAAAAATTGCCAAAGACTTGGCAATGGGCAAAAGATTACTGAGTGTCCTTTCAGTGAAGTGCTTGCATATTATCCAAATGACCATCCCAGGATTGTCTGGCTCTATCCAGGTATGTACCTTTGACTGATTGTCTTCCTATTATTTAGGCTATTTTGTAACTCTGTAAGGGTAGAAGTTAAGCTATAGAAAACTGTTAGTAAAGCAAATAATTATTATCCATTGAAATGCAAATACACTGTATCTAGAAATATAATGAATTTCTGCCCTGTAGAAAGAATAATCTCGAACATTACATTTCATTGCCATACAAGACAGCAACATCCAACAAAATATATGTACAATGCAAGCCACAGATGTAATTTTACATTTTCTAGTAGCACACTGAAAAGGATAGAAAGAGGTGAAATTCATTTTAATAATACATTTTATGTAATTCAATTATGTTCAAAATATTATCATTTCAACAAGTAGTCAACATAAAAAATACTGAGATAGTTTACATTCTTTTTTTGTATACTATGCCTTTGAAATGCCTAATGTACTTTATGTTTACAGCACATCTCAATTTATGCTAGCCACAATTCACATGCTCAACAGTCATGTGGTTAGTGGCTACCATTTTGAACACTGCAGCTATAGTTTTTGTCTGCACAGGTCTGGATAATTCAACTATTACATCTCCCCATGCAACTATTTGTTAAAACACTTTTGGTGTCAACCCTAGATATTTCTTCAGCTCCTACTATGTTCCTGGCTGTTTGCTACTTATTAGGATGGGTATAAAAACTATAATAAATGTCCCCTGACCTCAAAAAGTAAGATGAGGTAAGACATATAAATCATTAAACAAAAAATTAGAAGCAAGACTACATGTAAATGAATTCTCAAATTTAGTGGACAATAGAGAAGTGAAAAATCAATATGATAGGCACATTCAAGGAGGAGACTTTGGAGGGAAGAGAGGAGCCAGGGATATTCCAGACTTAATAAACAGAATGAGGAAGGAAAGGGATGAGTTAATGGTTAGAGAAAACAAGGAGTTACTGGCCTGCTTTTATTTATTTATTTATTTATTTAGCCTGATTATGTCAAACATTCCATTTCTTTGTTTCAGATCATAGTTTTCATAATATATGGTTGCTCTTAGGTGGATAAATTAAAATAGCTTTAGATTGAATATAGATCTTATCCATTATATGTTGTATGATCTCAACTATGTTCTAAAAAATGCATTTTAAAAAACAGGAAGAAAACACCCAAAATGGTGCAGACAACTGGATTGATTATGGTGGGGTAGAGGATGATCCTGCTTCTTTGAAGTTTGCTATACCTTTTATTATCTTTTTTCAATAATCACATAATATTTTATAATTAGAAAAAATATATACTATTTATATTATGTAAAGAAGTTTTATTCATTTGATGGTTCCAGAAATTCTGAAATGATGTTGGACAAATAGATATATCTGACCACCCCAGTATGATCTCCTGATGTCTAAATACCAGAACAATAGTCCAAGATCTTTTATATCACATATTCCAGAACCACAGGCTATTGTACTGATAAACTGGAGTAAGATTTTATCTATTTTCCATCAATTTTGTCTGGCAACGTGAGAAGAGTCAAGTCTTGCTGAAGTTAATAAGTGGCCATCTGGGGCTTATTTTACTTTTGGAAAAGCAGATTGCTGAAGGTGACTGCCTCGTGTTAAGAAAGGTTCATGGCTAATGGTTTTGACAAGTAAAGCTGTTCAACTGCCTAAGGTGATTCATTTGATCACTCATCCCCTGTTAGTCACGCAGCTGATGGGAATTTTAAACACAACTTTCATCTTTGGCCTTTGCCTTCATGATTTCAGCTCATAGAGCAAACTATTGTCATATCTTCCAGTTAACTTGACTAAGCAGCCCTAGAAGAATAACTGGATACTTTACTTTCACTTTGCCCACCCTACCTCTAGCACAATCATTAGGCATACCTTATCCTTATTTGCTTTTGATATTTACTAATTACTATTAACCATTGCCCTTTGTCTACTTCATTCTGACTTTTTCCACCTACTCAGCTATTTCTCATCTTTCCCACACCCGCTCCTGATTTAGCCCAGTAGTTTCAAGTTAACTTCTTGAAATAAGCCTGGCACATTTTCAAAATGCTAGAACATTTAGTGGATTTATAATAAGATGGCTCTGTAAGTGTCAATTCGTCAAGTTTGCAATTTTTTGTTGATCAACCATGGTATTGATGGATTTATGAAGCTATAGGGAATTTTTTTAAGCAGGTATGGACCTAAAGAAGTCCTGAATAGCTTGCTTGTATTCATGGAGTTAGATGGGTGGGTTGGGGGGAGACCATGAACTATAGAAAAGAGTATGCAAATGGATATGAGTAAGGATGTCCACCACAGTGTTCTTTATGCTAACAAAAACTCTAGAAACAACCTGAATATCCAAAGGGGAATAGTGGAGGAAAATTATTGTATCTCTAAACATTGAAATATCAGGCAGCTATCTGCAAACTCATTGTGATATTATTTGAGCAAAGTGTTACTAAGAATAGACTCTTAACATTACTTGCTCTTACATATATGATCTCACTCACTTGCCTGTGAGTCTTTGATGATCCTCTGTCTTCTGGATGAGGTATCTTTGCTCTCCTCCTGCTTACCCCAGCCAATCTCCATGATTTGCATTTTCAAGTTTGTGGAGATAAATCACGTGTTGGTTGTGGTAGCCACATGGTCAATTCGCACATTTCCTTCATTAAGAAATTCAAACTGTTGTGCTAGGAGGGCGGAGGGGATTTCGGAAGACTCTTTGAGGAAAAAAATTGTTTGTACCACTGGAAACCTCTGTCCAAAGCATTGATGTCATTAGATTAACTCAGCTATATAAGAAGCTATTGACAGATTTCCATATAAATAATCTGTTTATTTCCCTGCATTCACAGCCTCCTTTCCCCATCGCTGGCCCCATTTAACTGCCATTCCAGAAACAAGATCCAATCAATGTGGCTGGAGCATTTATGGAAGGTTCCATAAAATAAGAAAGACCTGAGTGGGGCCTTGAGGAATGGCAAAACCTTTTGTAGGCAGGGCATATGGAGAACAGTCTATCACACTGGTGTTAAACGGCAGGGCTGAAAACGAGTGTGAGGTGCCCTGAAGTCAGAGTCTGATCCAGCCACAGTAATAGGTTCGGCTGGAAGGTGAGTGGGAGGTATGGTCTGGGGAGCCACATTAAGATCCTTGAATGTTTAATACAAGAGTTGACGTGTCATTCAGTACTTGATGGGAAGCCCCTGGCACAATCCTTCTCAATCAGCATCACACATGCAACTTATCCAAACTACGTGCGGCCTCCCCTGCTGCAGCTAAGAACCACTGCTATAAGAAAACAGTAGTCAGATAGAACCAGGTCAAGAAAGAGGCAGAGAAAAGCCCTTGACTGGAATTAAACAGCAGCAAAGTGATGATAACCTTGGTAAGAAGCCAACCCTCTCACCCCTGAGCTTTGTATTCAGCTTTCTGTTCTCTCATTTTGATTACTTCTGCGCCTTCCTCCAGGATACTCTTTCCTTCATTCTCTAGCTGAACAATTCAGGGAAAACCTTTTTCTTTGTGTTTCCATGGCAGAGTGGAAGCAGACTGACATTTTCCCAAATTGCATTATAAACTGCCAAGAGGGGGGGAAAAAAAGCAAGAAGATAAGAATAGCACAAAAAAGTCAACGTTCCCAAGTGAAGATTTGGAGTCCAAAATTCCCTAAGTAGGTAATGTCATTAAAGCAGTGGGCCTGAGAAGTGCTGCTGTTAAAGAAGCACCATCCAAACAGGAACCCCAATCCCTACATAAAGGGATCCAATGATATAGAGCGCACAACTCTTACTAAAATCCTCTTTCCTCTCCCATTTTCAGGCATCCCAAAATTCCCAGAAATGTTTCACTATCCTATCTGAGAAGTTACTCTCTCACCATGCTACTCTTAACTCTCTCTTCCACAAATCATCCCATATGTCACTTCCCAAAATATCACAAAGTCTGTGCTACAAACCACTACACTTCTCTCTCCCTCTCCTTCCCACTTCCCCTCCCTCTCTCTCTCCTTCATTAACCTGGGCCTTTCCTGAACACCCTGTCACAGGCAGGAAAAAACCAAAGGCTGTGAATGTCTAAATGCCATATTTTCATCTGACAGCCATTCTTCCTAATTCTTCACCTGCCTGTAAGCTATGTGATCACTAAACCCTGCCTGTTCTTCAGCACACAGAAAAAAATGGCAATGTTCACAAACCCAACCTTATTATTTTTCAAACCTCCTGTATTTGCTTGGGAGCTATTGCTCAGCTCCAGATTCCTGATGAAGGCAGATACCTACTTCATATCTGAAGCAGGGCAGTGGTCACTAGTACCCCTTGAGCACCAGTGAATGGTACAGCCAGGCCCAGATCAAGTCGCCAAAACCACCTGCTCTGCTACTCCTAAAATAACTCAAAAAAGACTTCTCTTCCTCTACCCTCAGCCCCCCAACACTTGCATACGTGTAACTGGAAAAGGTGTACTTGTAGAATTTCACAATATAACAATTCCTTAACTTTATTACAAGACTAAGATAGATTCGGGGTTGGGGGTGTGGGGGGAGGGGGACTGGTAAGCATAAGAGAAAGGAAAAGAAAAGAGAAACTTAGATAACTAGTGTCAAAGCTCTGTTTTGAGAAGGCCTTAAAAATGTTTATGGACTTCCCTTCCAGTAGACTTTTTCGGCAAAACATATTAGAAAGTTATGGGAACTACAATGCCATCAGGAACTCTTAGTATTCACCTGGAAGTGAGAACCAAGCACAGTATCCTACTCAGTGTCCCGCCGAAAGAAAACCGTAGTACTTGCAGCCAAGTTGAAAATGGAAATCAACTCTTGTGGTAGATCATTTCCAAAGGTGGCCACCAACAATCCTTCTATCCCTGTACACCCCTCCCCCATCAAGAGGTGAGGTCTATTTTCTCCTGAACTGGTCTCATGACTTGTTTTGGCCAATCAAATGAGGCAGAAGTGATGTTCTAGTACTCCTAAGAGCTACAAGAACTATAAGGCTTTAAGAACACTTGTAGTTTCTGCTTTTGTGTTTCTGGAATCAGCCGATAGGTTAAAAAGCTCAGGCGAGGCCACTAAATGAGAAGACAGGGCATAACCAGCCCCTAGCCCTTCCAGCTGAGGCCAGGCATGTATGTATGCCATCTTAGTCAGTCCATCCCAAGCTGAGCTCCCAGTTGAATACAGCCAACACCATGTCTAGCAGAAGAACTACCTAGCTGAGCCCAGTGAATCCACAGAATCCATGAGAATTAATAGACTGTTATTGTTTTAATCCACTAAGGTTTGAGGGAGTTTTTATACACAGCAAGAGATAACTGAGACAACTCTGGTTATCAATTCAACCAATCTCACTCAAGGATTTCAACAAATCTGCATCCTAGATAGCCTTTTAATTTTCCTAGTTTTTATGTTTAAGCTGTTCTTTTGTTACTTGACTGTTCTATATTGATCTCAGTCATGCATTCCAGACAGTTTTGATTTCAAATATTATCCCCCATAGTTCCCATAAAAACAATCAAACTTATTAGAGCTTACTTTAGGATCAAAAACTCTGATCACTTTATCTATATTATTCCCTTAATAGAGTTAATACCTAAACTTCCTCTTTGATTCTGAAGATACTTTGGATTTTATTATTGGCCTGATTTTTAAATTTTTACTTTGAAAATTTCTGGGTCTGTATTTGCAGTGATAATTTCCTTTTGAATGTGTTTTTTGCAAGTTTATTCATGCTTTTCAAATGTAAATTCACTGATGTGAGAGCAATATGTATTCAGACAATAGCATTCATCAGATGTCACTGCTGAACTGGAAGGATTCCCCAGGGTTTAGTTCTAATCCTTCTCCCTTCCTTACTCTATAGAATCTCTGTGTGACTTTATCAATGTCAATGACTTCAATTATCATCTTTAAATGATGACTGTCAAATCCAGACTTCCCATTTGGACTTCCCCACTGACAGTCAGATACAACTCCAACTGCCCACCAGGCATCTCCACTTAAATGCTCTACAGACTTCACAAACTTCTCTCCAAAATGAAATTCCTTGTCCTCCAAAACTTGCTCTTCCTCCCTTAATCTTTTGCTCAATCAATAGTAGCAGCATCCATCCAAAAATATGGCATGTGGGTCTCCTCACCCAATTATGAGCCCTAGGTCCCATTCATTTCCATATCCCCAAATCTTAGCACAGGACCTAATACACAGTAATGATCACTTTTTTTTTAAATTAATAACTGAATGAACAATGAGGTTCTGGTTACCTCAATAAGAAATATCAGCTGTTGTCTAACCCAGATGTGCCAATACTTTTAGCACTATCTAGTCTTATTCAAGGCAAGACTTCCACTAACAGAAAGAGGCAGAACTAAATGGGTCACCATAGGCCACATGCTTGAAAAAGTCTTGACCTCAACATGCTTATGAAGTACAGCCTTCCTTATCAGGACTGATGTTAATTTGAACAGGTTGCATGATGAACCTATTCCCTCAGTTCCTGAGCCCCTGCTGCACCCAAGCCCTGTTCTGAGCAAAGCATGTCACCTTCCTGATTTCAGAAATGAGACCTCTTCCTGGTCATTCATGCTACCATAACCCCAAGATAGTCTTGTACTCTACAGCTGCACCATACCAAATAGCTCCACCTTCTGGGATACAAGCTTTTAACATTTTTTCCCCAAATCACAAATTTCCAGCCAGGTCCAAGTAGTTCAATGCCAACTCAGTTGAAATCTGTGATTTCTTTAAGGCACTGTGTTGCAGATGTTAATTCCTCTTTATTCCTGAGTCATATGTGCAGACCCAAGTCCTGGCTGATTCACTGTGCACCACTTCCTCTCTCAGTAGCTCTACAAGTACAACCTGCTTCAAAGCCAAACCAGTCTGAGTCACAGGCATTTTAAGTTTGTCTTTGTAGCCTAAATGTCTCATTCTCTTGGTAGGATCATGACTGACAGCTTGTGAACAACATTTTTTAGTATTTATTTCTACAATAACTGCTTTTGTACTCCCAGATTAATTTGTAGCATCTTCAATAATAAATTATTTGATCTGGCAACTTCTTTATGAAATCAAGCACAGTCCCACATATCCATGACATACCCTCTGGGTTTATAATCCTAGACGCTTAAACATAACTACTTTTTTTCATTCAAATACATTTGCTTTTCTGGAGTTGGGGGTGATTATAATGGTTCATTCAAAATACTTTTTAGTAAAACAGTACTTCCCAATTTTGTAACATCTGAATAAAAAAGCTATTTAATCTCCCTGAAAACATTTTTTGGCATTAAAATTCCTTATATCCATTTACATAACGATGAGGAAAGCTCAATGAAACTACCAATCTATTTAACATCTCATGTTTGATGAAGCACATTAAAACATGTATGTACGGTCAAAAGACAGGTTATTTCACTACCAGACCATGTCATACTACTTCTCTAACAAATTCTTATCACCTTCTTCCTGTCCTTTGCTTTTCCGTACAGTCTATACAACTACATCATTACAAATTGAATAAACTAAGAAGGATGTATAAGATTTAACACATTAGTGAAATGTGAATTATATATAAATCAATGCCAATGTGCTAACAGCAAAGATCTTAACAGCTCTACTTTACTTATAGAGTAAAATAAACATATTAACAATTTACATGAGAATGGTTGAAACTCAAAAACCTGAAAACAAAAATTTGGTTTAGCAATCTTTTTATTAAAGTCTAAAATTAATCTTTGGATCTCCCTATCAAAATCCCAGCTGGCTTTTGTTTTTTCCAGAAGTTGACAAGTTGATTCTAAAATTCATATGGAAATGCAAGAGACTCATAATAGTCAAAACAATCTGAAAAAGAAGAACAAAGTTGGAGGACTCACACTTCCCAATGTCAAAACCTACTTTAAAGTTATAGTAATCAAGATGGTGTCGCACTGGCATACGGATAGACACATAGGCCAATGGAATAGAATTGAGAGTCCAGAAATAAACCCTTACATTTATGGTCAATTGATTTTTGACAAGGGTGCCAAGACAAATCAATGGGGAAAAATAGTCTTTTCAACAAATGGTGCTGAGACAACATGCAAAAGATTGAAGTTGGACTTCTTCCTCACACTATATGGAAAAATTAACTTAATGTGGATCATAGACCTCAATGTAAGGGCTAAAATTATCAAGCACTTAAAAGAAATAGGAGTATATCTTCCTGACCTTGGGTTAGCCAATGATTTCTCAGATATGACACCAAAAGCACAAGTGACAAAAGAAAAAATAGATAATCATGTATCTAACTGGTATCCTTAATGTATAAAGAATTCCTACAATTCAATAATAGAAAGACTAATAACTCAATTTAAAAATGGGCAAAAAAATTGAATAGACATTTCTCTGAAAAGATACACAAATGACCAATAAGCACATGAAAAGTTATTCAACATCATTAGTCATCAGGGAAATTCAAATCAAAAGGATAATAAGATAGTATTTCACACCCAGTAGGATGGCTGTAATCAAAAAGAGAGACAATAACAAGTGTTGGTGAGGATGTGGAGAAGCTGAAACCTTCCTCATACACTGCTGGTGAGAGTATAAAAGGGCACAGCTGCTTTGGGAAACAGTTTGACAATTCTTCAAAATGTTAAATATAGTGTTACAAATGACCTAGAAATCCTACACCTAAGTGTACACTCAAAAGAAATGAAAATACATGTCCATACAAAAATATGTATGTTCACACCAGCACTATTCATAATAGCCAAAAAGTAGAAACAACCTAAATGTCCATCAACTGACAGTTGGTTAAATAAGAAGTGCTATACCCACACAATGAAATATTACTCAGCAATAAAAAGAAATGAAGTATTGATTAGTGAACCTTGAAAACATTATGCTAAGTGCTAGTTGAAAGAATCCAGTCACAAATACCGCATACTAATATGATTCTGTTTCTAGGAAATGTCTACAATAGGCAAATCTACAGGGACAGAGTGTAGATTAGTGATTTCTTAGGGCTAAAGGATGTAATGGGGTGAGGAATGAGGAGTGATTTTTAATGGGTACCAAGTTTCTTTTAGCAGAATGAAAGCATTCTCAAGTTAGATTGTGATTGTGATTCTACACCTATTTTAAATAGGTGAAAATAACAAAAAAAATTAATTATACACTTTAAATAGGTGAATTGTATGGTATGTAAATTATATCTCAATATAGCTGTTAAAAAATAAAAGTAATTTTCTTCCCACTTCTTGTCACAATTCATTATGAAATCTGAACCAGGGAGTTCATTAAAAAGGAAGTTTCATGAACTTCCTTTTTTCCCTCAATAGGTTTTATTTGTAGCTGAACATTCTGTAACTGAAGTGCCTGCTAAATTGATTCTGTTCCTCTTCATGGGGCAAATTTCATCAAATTTTCCTTCAATTGTTCTTTCCCTAATATAGATCAGTACTCTTGTATTTAGAAGATGCAGTTCCAAATGATTCCTCACTTATACCCTGGGTAGTATGTAATGTTGCCACAAGAAGCTACTTTTCTTTTGATTCAAAAGACTTGGCCAGTCTGCAATCTATTTTCTGCTTCCAGAAAGACTACTCAGAAAACATTACTTCTATCAGGAGCACTTGTGAAAGACTTTGAAATGGGCCAAAAAAATATGTCTGAGTGTCCTGTCTGGTACATTCTTTCAGGTTATCTGATTCTACAGGGGTTTGTGCTTTTTTTTTTTTTTTTTTTTTTTTTTGAGACCGAGTCTCACTCTCTTCCAGACTGGAGTACAGTAGCGTGATCTCCGCCCACTGCAACCTCTGCCTCCTGGGGTTCAAGCAATTCTCCTACCTCAGCCTCCCGAGAAGCTGGGATTATAGGCAGGTGCCACCATGCCCAGCTAATTTTTGTATTTTTAGTAGAGACAGGGTTTCACCATGTTGGCCAGGCTGGTCTTGAACTCCTGACCTCAGGTGATCTGCCTGCCTCAGCCTACCAAAGTGCTGGAATTACAGGCGTAAGCCACCACACCCAGCCTGGTTTGTGCCTTTTGATGCCTTCAACCTATTTTACAACTCTGTACATTGTAGAAAAAAACAGATAATAATGTAAATGATTCATGTACATAGAAATGCAAATGAATTGTGTCAGTGGAATGGAATGGACATCAAGCAGTTTTGCATCTATTTCTGAATTTATGTAAGCATTCCTGATGTGTTCTTTGAATTCTCCTTTGAACTGATTATAAAGTCTTACTGGTTCCCTTAGTAATTAATTTGATAAATAAGATATTTTATAAGTGTTCACTTTATTTTTGTCCTGGTTTTAACATTTCTTCGAAGAGTATGTCTTAGTTCAGGCTGCTATAACAAAAATACCATAGACTGGGTGACTTAAATGACAATTTCTCACAGTTCTGGAGACTGGAAGTTCAAGATCAAGGCACAAGCAGATTCAGTGTCTGGTGAGGACTCTCTTCCTGATTTGCAGAAAGCCTGTCTTCTCATTGTATTGTCACATGGTAAGAGGGGTGAGCCATAGCAAGTTCTTGTGTCTTCCCTTATAAGGGCACTAATACCATTCATGAAGTCTCTACCCTCATTATCTCATCTAAATTCAATCACTTCCCAAAGGTTCCACCTTCTAATACCATTACATTGGGAGTTAGGATTTCAACAAATGAATCTGGGGGTGAGGGACACAGTCAGTCCATAACAGTATCTTTTAACATTTCTTCTCTTACTTTACACACTAAAGTAGAAAATTTGGTTTCCCCCAAATTAGTCCCAAAGAAAGTGACAGATAATAAATAAATTAACTAGCAATCCCTAGTTCAATACCAATGTAGTTTTATTGTGTTGTGGCTGGGAGTGTAACATTAGCACAATACCTAAATATTGTTGGTGCTTGATAAATATTTGCTTGTTAAGTAGTCCTTTTTCTGTTATGTTTTATATCTGGGAGTCTTATCTCTGGTCAATGGAGCCCTCTCATGTACATTTAGCTCACATCAGCCTAAATCAACTCTTTCTCAATGATGTTGGCACTACCTTTTGCCAAGCAAGGTCTTCACACACTGCAGATCCGGCCTCTATTTGTGTGATTTGAGGAATCGCAGCCTACTCCCCCACCCCCAACTTGTTCCAAATTAGCCTCCTAGCCACCCACAGGCCTGCTGCCATCCCTGACATTCCCACCAAGATAACCATTCCTTTAGGTTAATACATAGTTTCCAGAGTAGAAAGGAACCAAAACCAGGGACAACAGATGTCAAAACAAACAACTCTATAATTGAAGAACACACTTGTCATCCCACCCCCTAACTCCCCAACCTCTACTAGCACGGACGGCAGAAGGTAGTATTTCCCATCTAAGAACTTCACTGTGCCTTTGCAAGTTAATTTCCAGTCTTCACAGTCAGTCTTCATGAAGCTAAATGAGTTGCTATTAAAAGGCTCAGTGATTCACCCTTTTCTCATTCTTGGCAGGGCTAAAGGGAGAAAAGAGGGCAGAGGAGGTGGATGTATAACATTGTGAGGCGCTAACTTTATTATGAGAGGACCAGCCTTATAGTTATGGGGCAGTTAAGGAAAGGTCTGTCTCATCAAGTTTAGACTACAGTTTGAGAACTAAAGCTCATCTTTAAACAATGTGTGTTTATTCATTCATTCAATAAGTATTTATCAAGCACCTACTATGGGTCTACCACCATGTTGGGCTGTATAGCAGGTGCTGAAATCTGCCATGCCCATACCCCTGGGATCTTCCCATAGGCCGCCTACAGAGAATTCTTTTACAGGCTAATGGACTCCCTCTGAAGGTGTTCGTTAACCTCTAAAGAGTGTGCTCACCCTGTCTGGGACAGGCCAGAAGTACCAGGATGGAAGTGGATGAGGACTCCAACTTCCTACCCCTCAAGGTAGTCCACAGTCTTTCAGAAGGTTCCAGGAGGGATTAAGTCCCTGTTGCCTCCAGTGGTAACCTGCTAATTCATGCACTTTTGACTGATTTTCCACCTTCCCTCCTGCTTTTCCTACAATCACATCCCAAATAAACCAAATCCTTGTCTCAGAGTCTGTTTTGAGAGAAGCCCAAACTAGGACAAGAAACGTCTGTGTACGTGTGGTAAGCTGACGTGCACTATAATATCTTTAGACATAGAGTGCCCAAGACTACTCTTCTGGAGCCCTGAAAAGTGAGTAACACAGAATGGGGGCATGTCTTGCTGTGGGTGAGAACTGTACCACCTAGGCCTACACAGTTTACTGTCTGCATTAACATAGCTTTCCTATTCAGCCCACTTTACTAACTTTACTAACATCACTTTACAATTCTGCTGTCTTTATCAACATTGACTTTACTATTCCAAAAAAAAATTTTGTCTAAGAGGATAAAAGTTGCAAATAAGGTTTTTCCAGAAACCTTCCCCAAGAAAATTGTTTAAGTGAAAATCAAACTATTCAATTCAATAGACAGCATCAACAGCTATTTACTCCCTAAGACTCTTTAATAAAAACATTCACCTCAAAATCTCCCCTTGCTGTGTCCACCAATTTTAAACTACTATATCATGATTCTTATCCAATGATGATCAATCCTCTGCATGAAAGGCCCACTTTAAACTAGTATCTGAAGCCTCATAAACATCACAACTTAGCCCTTTCCCCTAAGGAAGCTACTAAGACTGCATTGAGGTAATGCTCACCCTTACTGCGGTAAGAGTAAACTTAACTTTGTCTTATTAACAGGTTGTTAGGGTAGTATTCTCAGGAATCCAGCATTCAAAGGCAGTGGAAAACAGGGTTGGGGGTGAATATCCTTAGATAAGACCATCTCTGTGAGTTCTTGGTAGAGTTTCATACAAGATGCGTAGCATGCCAGGTGCAGTGGCACCCACCTGTAGTCCCAGCTACTTGGGATGCTGAGGCAGAAGGATCACTTGACCCCAGGGTTTCAAGTCCAGCCTCAGCAATATAACAAGACTCTATCTCAAAAAAAAAAAAAAAAAAAGAGTAGCAGATTTTCATGACAGATATTAGAAGATGGTAGTCTCCTGGAGGGGTAAAGACTCAAGGTCAGAAGAGCAAGGTTAAGGATGCACAAAGGGATCCCCTGTGAAGGGTTTCAATCCCTGAGTACATTTTTCAAAGACCATGGAAATAAGACACAATCAATACACAGTTTGAAAGTCCTTCCCCCATAGGTTGTAATTCCCTTTAGCATTCTTTGACCCTTCCATAAAGCCTGAATTACCTACAAAACTTTGTGAGTGGCAAAGTGAGTGGCAAAACTTTGTAAAGGCAAGTAGAGGACAAGGTCATGAGAGGAAAGGTAAGTCTTGACTATATCCCTGCTCCTCCCATCTGAAAACACTCTGGTTAGGGGCAGCAGAGTACATCAAGGAGGACTGCAGTTTAATGCAGGTCAATGGCCCAGGCCATGCCCAACTGAGGTCCATGAGAAAACAGGAAATCAATAACACAGCCTTTGGAGTATAATAAGGAGAACCTCAGGGAGCCTCCTCTCTTGCTCAAAGGTACCTATCCAAGAGAAATATCACATGAGCCACACATGTGAGCCACATGTGTAACTTAAAATTTCTTGAAGCATATATTAAAATGTAAAAAGAAATAGGTGAAATTAATGTTCGTATTTTATTAAAATAATGTATTCAAAATATTATCATTTCAACATGTAATCAATATAAAAAGTATTAATGAGATTATTTTCCCTTTTACTAAGTCTTTGAAATTCAATGTGTATTTTGCACTTACAGCACATTTCAGTTTAGCCACATTTTAAATGCTGCATTGCCACATGTAGCTCATGGCTGCAGTATTGAACAGCATAGGACTATGGAAAGGTGACCCTGGGAAAAAAACAGACCCTGGGATAACAACCCCTCATTCACTATGTTTCATTTAGCAGCTGAACCAGTGCCCTCTATAGAAACCAGAGACCAAAACCAGCAGGAGTGAGCCATGGGGGAGGAATAAGGAATGAACCGGAAGCCAGCCCTCCTCTTAGAGATAATTGTGTGTGTAGCCAGCTCTACTGTCTGGGCTACACATCTGCTGTGTCAAAACCCAATTTGGATTCTCACTTTCTACTCTGTCAGGAACAAGTTGTACTTCCTGATCCCTTTATTTTCCTCTATTATTCCCTCTGTAAATTTCTCTTTCAAAACAAGAAAAAAAGATTCTGGCTCATTCTGCTTGCTGTGCTGTGAGCAATAAAGTCTTTGTTTCTGATCCGAGGGTCTTATATCTTCTGCCAGTATCCATGAAACTGTGGCAAGCTAACTTGTCAGCTTTCAAGTAGGGTCAAATCTCAGACCTTTCACAATTCTTGACATTATCATTCCATCCTTCAATGCCTAACCAAGGTCTAACTCCAAGGAGGAATTAGAGGCACCTTTACTCAGAGCTATTAACACTTCTTGTTTCTACTCAGCCTTTAGCATTTACAATATAGAATTTTAAAATAATTTTTAAATAATTTTGTGTGTCTACCTTTTAATATCTCCAATTCCCCCATTGCTCTATGCATAATATTCATTAAAATGCTTGCTGAGTGACTCATTGATTTTGTCCCACACATGTGAAACATCGGAGAAATTTCACACCGTGTGATCACCGAGTCCTACCTTTCCCACTTCCTACATTCAGATGTGCTGATGGTGTGTGCCCATCTCTTCTCCTCCCATGCACCATCAACCTTCCTCCTTCATTCCCACTCTTCTTAATTTTCCTTTCTTCTATAGTAACTTACCATGCTTTCACCTTAAAACACTAAACCAGATCAACTCAGTGAAAAAAAAAAAAACCCTTGAACCTGGAGTTATGGGATGCAGAAGCTAAAGATCACTTTTTAGTGAAATCGATGAATGCCCTAAGCACACTTGCCTTTAGGTTGCCTCAGGTAAAAAATCCTTCCTTTTCTTTACAAATGCAAATCCCATTAGAAAGAGGCTGCACTTAACGTACTAAAGTTAACAGATTTTTGGCAGGGTGTGGTAGCTCACACCTGTAATCCCAGAACTTTGGGAGGCCGAGGCAGGCAGATCACCTGAGGTCAGGAGTTCAAGACCTGCCTGGTCAACATGGCAAAACTCCATCTTTACTAAAAAATACAAAAATTAGCCGGGTGTGGTGGCATGCGCCTGTAATCCCAGATACTTGGGAGCCTGAGGCAGGAGAATTGCTTGAACCTGGGTGGCGGAGGTTGCAGTGAGCCAAGATTGTGCCATTGCACTCCAGCACTCCGGCGACAGAGAAAGACTCCATCTCAAAATAAATAAATAAATTAAATTAAATAAAAATAAATAAAACAGATTTCCAGTCCTTTTTTTCCATAGAAAAAATAAATAATTATGGCATGAGTCCAATGACAGATGAAGGATATTTGCCATTCTACTGCAAGTTAATTACACCAGAAAATTCCAATTATTTTAACCTACCCACTACATAATATTTGAAAAGATAATCTTTTATTCTCTAAATATGAGTTTTTTTTTCTTCCCTTCCTACTTTTTCTTTCCTTCTTTTTCCCTTCCTTTCTTCCTCTTTTATTTCTTGTTTTCAAGTCCATAGCAGTTAACATGCATTTTTTTCATAGCTTTTCTTGGTGGGGTACATGGTAAGCAGCTCAGATTAGTCTATAATATCAGAACTTTCTAAGTTATATTAGAGATACGGAATTGTGCTCTCAAACTACAAGATGTGTCTATAACCTGATTGAGGGTTAATCTATGAGAATTGGAGTTTGTCAGCTATAGACAGAGTAGAAGGATAAGGTAGGTTGAACTAAAACTTCTCCCCAACATTCCCTTCCTTCGTGATCAGAGTTAGAGGCAGGAAGAACACTGAGCTTTGGAGAAGAGCAACTTCACTGTGGCACCATTCATAGTCCATTATCATAGGAAGTTCTGTACTGAAACTCAAGATGTATAAGCAATGAATGCAGCTTAGTTTAATAAGGAGGAGAAAGATCATATTGATATTATCGTGCAATTTTTAAGTAGTCTTTCAAAGGCCATTCATCCCTTAGATGGTGTATTAGTCCGTTCTCACATTGCTATAAAGAAATACCTGAGACTGGGTAATTTATAAAGAAAAGTTTAATTGGCTCACAGTTCCACAGGCTGTACGGGAAGCATGGTGGCATCTGTTTCTGGGGAGGCCTCAGGAAACTTACAATCATGGCAGAAGGCGAAGTGGGAGCCAGCACATCACATGGCAGGAGCAGGACCAAGAGAGAGAGTGGGTAGACGTCACACACTTTTTTTTTTTTTTTTTTTTTTTTTGAGACAGAGTCTCGCTCTTTCGTCCAGGCTGGACTGCAGTGGCACTATCTCGGCTCACTGCAAGCTCCGCCTCCCAGGTTCACGCCATTCTCCTGCCTCAGCCTCCTGAGTAGCTGGGACTACAGGCGCCCGCCACCACGCCCAGCTAATTTTTTGTATTTTTAGTAGAGACGGGGTTTCACTGTGTTAGCCAGGATGGTCTCGATCTCCTGACCTCGTGATCCTCCCACCTGGGCCTCCCAAAGTGCTGGCATTACAGGCGTCAGCCCCCACGCCCCGTCACACACTTTTAAACAACCAAATCTCATGAGAACTCACTCACTACACAGTACCAAGGCGGGGATGGTGCTAAACCATTCATGAGAACTCCACCCCCATGATCCAATCACCTCCCATCAGGCCCCTCCTCCAACACTGGGGATTACAATTTGACATGAGATTTGGGCAGGGACACATATCCAAACCATATCAGATGGTGACTGGTGCTCAATTTTTAGGAACCTAAAAGGAATTCTTCTGCACTCTACTGTCTTTTCTCCACCCCATTCATAAGACCAGAGCTTCCCATACTGTGATAACCAGCTAAAGTGAAGGGAAAAGTCCTCTACATCCAGGAGACTACTGGGGTGTCTGAATTCAAAAGTCTCAAGAAGAGATGGGAATTTTACTACTCTGTAGGGAGGGTTAGCAATCTCTAGGGAAGTGCTGGGAGGGGCACTCAACAGGGAAGATCTTAAGAGAGGACTGAAGGAGAAGTGGAAGAGCAAGAGAACAAGGGGAATTCACATGAGACATACTCTAACGGCTCACAGAGTGATGCTTTTGCCTCTATGTATAATACAAAGGACCAAAGAAGCTAAACCAGAGTTGTAATACTTGCTTTCCTTCTCACACCATTCTCCAACTATTTAAATTGTGATCATTTCCTGAACCACTGGATAAAGAACTGCTCCATCAAGGTGCTATGAGTATTTGGCTTACGGAAGACAGAAAGGGCAGGATTCACAATGGACAGATGATAAACCCCACTCCAAGGTCATCTGAGGGTCACTGGCTCAACCATCACAGTGAAGAGTCTCAACCAGCCAACTTGGGTGGGCATGAAACTGTCTCCCCCAACCTTTTCTTTCCCAAGAGGGTAGCTAGCAACCTGCCCTGTGGGAAAGACAGTAGTGACAGTCAAAATCACCATATCCAACTAAACACCAGCCAGGTGAGGGTATGTCTAGATGCTCATAATGCACACATTACTGATGGCAAAAATGTCTCTATGGTGGAGTAGTAGACATCAGACTTACTCAGCCTGATCTCATTTGTGGTGGATATTTGTTGTTTTTTTTACAACATGGGTTCCAAACACTCTTCTTTTGTGGGGAGTCCCCAGATGTCAGGTCCTAGTCTCCCATCATGAAGTCAAGGAAAGTGCTGCTCTATTTAGTAGTACACTGTTTAATTAAACTGACACTTTTTCCACAGCAAAGCTGCCTAAGTAGGAAAAGCACTAAATTGATTTACATTCGAGCATGAGTTCCTTGCCTCATCACAAAATAAAAATGATCATTCCAAGGCCTGGCACCAGTCTGCAGATGACACTTTGAGAAGCACAGGTCTGGGGGCCATATATTTCCTCTTCTAGCATCCCAATAGCTGTGTAGATGCATATGACCTGAACTCAGCAACCAGATGTTCCTAGCCAGGTCTTTGGATCTTGAAGGAGAGAAACGAAGATGCAAGGACAGCTGAGAAGCTATACATGGTGGTGTGAGCATTTCCCAAAAAATCAGCAGTAGCATCAGGCATTGAGAGTCCAAAGGTAGTAGCAGCATCAACTGCTCAGATTTCTGACAGCAGTGGAACACTGAACTGATGATAATGTGTCTGCCATTCATAGCCTCTCTTGGTTCCCATTGTCTTCTGAGCCTGGCTTTCCAGCCTACTCATCACGTCTGTGTACTGACCAAGAAGTACCAATGAATTTCTTTTCTGCTTAGGTGAGTCAATAGGGAATTTTGTTGCCTGCACTCAAGAAACTTGACCAACAAACCCTTTAACATTCAAATCAGGTGACTGATGATGCCTGTTCAGATTCCAAGCTCACCAAGCAATTTCATGATGGTAATTTGGCTTCTCGTGTGTTAGCTAGAAATTCTGGATTTCCTGGTAACTATGTTTGTCGTTAAAATTAACTAATTGGCATTAGGTTTTAAACTTCACATGATGAGTAGGAATAATGTGACTGCACACCAGAGAGAAAGATCTACTCTCTATATGTTGACACAATTGGATTTTATATGCTACAATGCTGCCACCCAGAAAGCGCATTGTGGCAAATTTACCACAATAAGGGTATCCTATGGAGAACCTTCCTGGCTAGCCACCTGGCCCCGCCCAGGTGAGCCCTTCTGCATAGTTAGAACTCCTACACTGCCTTCTGACACCTGAGGTCAGTCAGCCCTATGGCTTTCTTACAGAGTTGTTGGGGGTTGAATCAAATTTATTTACAGTCTTCTAAGTCCGAAACAGGCAATGGACTGAGCAGGTTTGACTGAAGCTCTTAGAAGTCCATAGCTTGCCAGCAAGGCAAGCTATGAATCTTAAAATAAATGTGTGCACATGCATCACATTTGCATAGTTCCCCATTTATCACCCATAAACATCCCATATCAAAGCCATATGGGAAGAAATCATTATCAAAAGGCAATCTGTGTCTCCTTTTTGACTACACCTCATTAATTTCCAACTTGATTCTCTCTAAATTGTGTCATTGAACATTTGTTTTTTGGTTTCACTTCTTTAAACACGAGTAATGATAAAAACTATACACCTTATATATATGGAGTTGTTCATGGTTTTCAGAGAATTTTCTCACCCAATGTTTCATTCCATCCTTCACAATGATCCCTAGAAGAACTTTTATCCTTTTTTTTTTTACAAATGATAAAATAGCAAGCCTCATGTTGCACAGCTACTATGTGGCAGAATGTGGACTTAAACATGGATCTTTCAAAACCCAACAGTCCAATGCAGTGGAAGTTCCTGCCATTATCTGGCAAATTCATGACAATTCTACATTGCATAAGCATTACTTTAAAATACTTGGATAAAGGTGCCTCCAAAATATTCCAATATTACCCCTCCACTGTCAATGAAGGCACTGGACAAATAAATTTGTATTGGCATCTTCCTTTTAAAAACAAACGAATAATCAAACAATCTTCTGTCAGACAAATCTTTTTTTAAATCATTTTGGCTTTTCTCTTTTATTTTGATATAATAGTCCATATGAAATCTCCTATGGTGGAATGAATTCTTGTTTATGGTATATACATTTAATCTGTTAATGTTTCACTTAGAAATTTTAAAAATTGCTCCTAAGCAGCCAAGATGGCCGAATAGGAACAGCTCCGGTCTACAGCTCCCAGCGTGAGCGATGCAGAAGATGGGTGATTTCTGCATTTCCATCTGACGTACCGGGTTCATCTCACTAGGGAGTGCCAGACAGTGGGCGCAGGACAGTGGGTGCAGCGCACCATGCACGAGCCGAAGCAGGGCGAGGCATTGCCTCACTCGGGAAGCGCAAGGGGTCAGGGAGTTCCCTTTCCTAGTCAAAGAAAGGGGTGACAGATGGCACCTGGAAAATCGGGTCACTCCCACCTGAATACTGCGCTTTTCTGACAGGCTTAAAAAACGGCGCACCAGGAAATTATATCCCACACCTGGCTCGGGGGGTACTACACCCACAGAGTCTCGCTGATTGCTAGCACAGCAGTCTGAGATCAAACTGCAAGGCAGCAGTGAGGCTGGAGGAGGGGCGCCCGCCATTGCCCAGGCTTGCTTAGGTAAACAAAGCAGCTGAGAAGCTCCAACTGGGTGGAGCCCACCACAGCTCAAGGAGGCCTGCCTGCCTCTGTAGGCTCCACCTCTGAGGGCAGGACACAGACAAACAAAAAGACAGCAGTAACCTCTGCAGACTTAAATGTCCCTGTCTGACAGCTTTGAAGAGAGCAGTGGTTCTCCCAGCACGCAGCTGGAGATCTGAGAACAGGCAGACTGCCTCCTCAAGTGTGTCCCTGACCCCTGACCCCCGAGTAGCCTAACTGGGAGGCACCCCCCAGTAGGGGCAGACTGACACCTCACATGGCCGGGTACTCCTCTGAGACAAAACTTCCAGAGGAACGATCAGACAGCAACATTCGCGGTTCATGAAAATCCGCGGTTCTGCAGCCACCGCTGCTGTTACCCAGGCAAACAGGGTCTGGAGTGGACCTCTAGCAAACTCCAACAGACCTGCAGCTGAGGGTCCTGTCTGTTAGAAGGAAAACTAACAAACAGAAAGGACATCCACACCAAAAACCCATCTGTACATCACCATCATCAAAGACCAAAAGTAGATAAAACCACAAAGATGGGGAAAAGACAGAGCAGAAGAACTGGAAACTCTAAAAAGCAGAGCACCTCTCCTCCTCCAAAGGAACACAGTTCCTCACCAGCAACGGAACAAAGCTGGATGGAGAATGACTTTGACGAGTTGAGAGAAGAAGGCTTTAGACGATCAAACTACTCCGAGCTACAGGAGGAAATTCAAACCAAAGGCAAAGAAGTTGAAAACTTTGAAAAAAATTTAGATGAATGTATAACTAGAATAACCAATACAAAGAAGTGCTTAAAGGAGCTGATGGAGCTGAATGCCAAGGCTCGAGAACTACGTGAAGAATGCAGAAGCCTCAGGAGCCGATGCGATCAACTGGAAGAAAGGGTATCAGTGATGGAAGACAAAATGAATGAAATGAAGCGAGAAGGGAACTTTAGAGAAAAAATGAACAAAGCCTCCAAGAAATATGGGACTATGTGAAAAGACCAAATCTACGTCTGATTGGTGTACCTGAAAGTGATGGGGAGAATGGAACCAAGTTGGAAAACACTCTGCAGGATATTATCCAGCAGAACTTCCCCAATCTAGCAAGGCAGGCCAACATTCAGATTCAGGAAATACAGAGAATGCCAGAAAGATACTCCTCGAGAAGAGCAACTCCAAGACACATAATTGTCAGATTCACCAAAGTGGAAATGAAGGAAAAAATGTTAAGGGTAGCCAGAGAGAAAGGTCGGGTTACCCACAAAGGCAAGCCCATCAGACTAACAGCAGATCTCTTGGCAGAAACTCTACAAGCCAGAGGAGAGTGGGGGCCAATATTCAACATTCTTAAAGAAAAGAATTTTCAACCCAGAATTTCATATCCAGCCACACTAAGCTTCATAAGTGAAGGAGAAATAAAATACTTTACAGACAAGCAAATGCTGAGAGATTTTGTCACCACCAGGCCTGCCCTAAAAGAGCTCCTGAAGGAAGCACTAAACATGGAAAGGAACAAGCAGTACCAGCCGCTGCAAAATCATGCCAAATTGTAAAGACCATCGAGGCTAGGAAGAAACTGCATCAACTAACAAACAAAATAACCAGCTAACATCATAATGACAGGATCAAATTCACACATAACAATATTAACTTTAAATGTAAATGGACTAAATGCTCCAATTAAAAGACACAGACTGGCAAATTGGATAAAGAGTCAAGACCCATCAGTGTGCTGTATTCAGGAAACCCATCTCACATGCAGAGACACACATAGGCTCAAAATAAAAGGATGGAGGAAGATCTACCAAGCAAATGGAAAACAAAAAAAGGCAGGGGTTGCAATCCTAGTCTCTGATAAAACAGACTTTAAACCAACAAAGATCAAAAGAGACAAAGAAGGCCATTACATAATAGTAAAGGGATCAATTCAACAAGAAGAGCTAACTATCCTAAATATATATGCACCCAATACAGGAGCACCCAGATTCATAAAGCAAGTCCTAAGTGACCTACAAAGAGACTTAGACTCCCACACAATAATAATGGGACACTTTAACACCCCACTGTCAACATTAGACAGATCAACGAGACAGAAAGTTCACAAGGATACCCCGGAATTGAACGCAGCTCTCCACCAAGTGGACCTAATAGACATCTACAGAACTCTCCACCCCAAATCAACAGAATATACATTTTTTTCAGCACCACACCACACCTATTCCAAAATGGACCACATAGTTGGAAGTAAAGCTCTCCTCAGCAAATGTAAAAGAACAGAAATTATAACAAACTGTCTCTCAGACCACAGTCCAATCAAACTAGAACTCAGGATTAAGAAACTCACTCAAAACTGCTCAACTACATGGAAACTGAACAACCTGCTCCTGAATGACTACTGGGTACATAACGAAATGAAGGCAGAAATAAAGATGTTCTTTGAAACCAACGAGAACAAAGACACAACATACCAGAATCTCTGGGACACATTCAAAGCAGTGTGTAGAGGGAAATTTACAGCACTAAATGCCCACAAGAGAAAGCAGGAAAGATCCAAAATTGACACCCTAACATCACAATTAAAAGAACTAGAAAAGCAAGAGCAAACACACTCAAAAGCTACCAGAAGGCAAGAAATAACTAAAATCAGAGCAGAACTGAAGGAAATAGAGGCAAAAAAAACCCTTCAAAAAATTAATGAACCAGGAGCTGGTTTTTTGAAAGGATCAACAAAATTGACAGACCGCTGGCAAGGCTAATAAAGAAGAATAGAGAGAAGAATCAAATAGATGCAATAAAAAATGATAAAGGGGATATCACCACCGATCCCACAGAAATACAAACTACCATCAGAGAATACTACAAACAACTCTATGCAAATAAACTAGAAAATCTAGAAGAAATGGATAAATTCCTTGACACATACACCCTCCCAAGACTAAACCAGGAAGAAGTTGAATCTCTGAATAGACCAATAACAGGCTCTGAAATTGTGGCAATAATCAATAGCTTACCAGCCAAAAAGAGTCCACAACCAGATGGATTCACAGCCGAATTCTACCAGAGGTACAAGGAGGAATTGGTACCATTCCTTCTGAAACTCTTCCAATCAATAGAAAAAGAGGGAATCCTCCCTAACTCATTTTATGAGGCCAGCATCATCCTGATACCAAAGCTGGGCAGAGACACAACCAAAAAAGAGAATTTTAGACCAATATCCTCGATGAACATTGATGCAAAAATCCTCAATAAAATACTGGCAAACCGAATCCAGCAGCACATCAAAAAGCTTATCCACCATGATCAAGTGGGCTTCATCCCTGGGATGCAAGGCTGGTTCAATACACGCAAATCAATAACTGTAATCCAGCATATAAACAGAACCAAAGACAAAAACCACATGATTATCTCAATAGATGCAGAAAAGGCCTTTGACAAAATTCAACAACGCTTCATGCTAAAAATTCTCAATAAATTCAGTATTGATGGGACATATCTCAAAATAATAAGAGCTATCTATGACAAACCCACAGCCAATATCATACTGAATGGGCAAAAACTGGAAGCATTCCCTTTGAAAACTGGCACAAGACACGGATGCCCTCTCTCACCACTCCTATTCAACATAGTGTTGGAAGTTCTGGCCAGGACAATTAGGCAGGAGAAGGAAATAAAGGGTATTCAATTAGGAAAAGAGGAAGTCAAATTGTCCCTGTTTGCAGATGACATGATTGTAGATCTAGAAAACCCCATTGTCTCAGCCCAAAATCTCCTTAAGCTGATAAGCAACTTCAGCAAAGTCTCAGGATACAAAACCAATGTACAAAAATCACAAGCATTCTTATACACCAATAACAGACAAACAGAGAGCCAAATCATGAGTGAACTCCCATTCACAATTGCTTCAAAGAGAATAAAATACCTAGGAATCCAACTTACAAGGGACGTGAAGGACCTCTTCAAGGAGAACTACAAACCACTGCTCAATGAAATAAAAGAGGATACAAACAAATGGAAGAACATTCCACGCTCATGGGTAGGAAGAATCAATATCGTGAAAATGGCCATACTGCCCAAGGTAATTTATAGAGTCAATGCCATCCCCATCAAGCTGCCAATGACTTTCTTCACAGAATTGGAAAAAACTACTTTAAAGTTCATATGGAACCAAAAAAGAGCCCGCATCGCCAAGTCAATCCTAAGCCAAAAGAACAAAGCTGGAGGCATCACACTACCTGACTTCAAACTATACTACAAGGCTACAGTAACCAAAACAGCATGGTACTGGTACCAAAACAGAGATATAGATCAATGGAACAGAACAGAGCCCTCAGAAATAACGCCACATATCTACAACTATCTGATCTTTGACAAACCTGAGAAAAACAAGCAATGGGGAAAGGATTCCCTATTTAATAAATGGTGCTGGGAAAACTGACTAGCCATATGGAGAAAGCTGAAACTGGATCCCTTCCTTACACCTTATACCAAAATCAATTCAAGATGGATTAAAGACTTAAATGTTAGACCTAAAACCACAAAAACCCTAGAAGAAAACCTAGGCATTACCATTCAGGACATAGGCATTGGCAAGGACTTCATGTCTAAAACACCAAAAGCAATGACAACAAAAGCCAAAATTGACAAACGGGATCTAATTAAACTAAAGAGCTTCTGCACAGCAAAAGAAACTACCATCAGAGTGAACAGGCAACCTACAGAATGGGAGAAAATTTTCGCAACCTACTCATCTGACAAAGGGCTAATATCCAGAATCTACAATGAACTCAAACAAATTTACAAGAAAAACAAACAACCCCATCAAAAAGTGGGCGAAGGACATGAACAGACACTTCTCAAAAGAAGACATTTATGCAGCCAAAAAACACATGAAAAAATGCTTACCATCACTGGCCATCAGAGAATTGCAAATCAAAACCACAATGAGATATCATCTCACACCAGTTAGAATGGCAATCATTAAAAAGTCAGGAAACAACAGGTGCTGGAGAGGATGTGGAGAAATAGGAACACTTTTACACTGTTGGTGGGACTGTCAACTAGTTCAACCATTGTGGAAGACAGTGTGGCCATTCCTCAGGGATCTAGAACTAGAAATAGCATTTGACCCAGCCATCCCATTACTGGGTATATACCCAAAGGACTATAAATCATGCTGCTATAAAGACACATGCACACGTATGTTTATTGCGGCACTATTCACAATAGCAAAGACTTGGAACCAACCCAAATGTCCAACAATGATAGACTGGATTAAGAAAATGTGGCACATATACACCATGGAATACTATGCAGCCATAAAAAATGATGAGTTCATGTCCTTTGTAGGGACATGGATGAAATTGGAAATCATCATTCTCAGTAAACTATCACAAGAACAAAAAACCAAACACCGCATATTCTCACTCATAGGTGGGAATTGAACAATGAGAACACATGGACACAGGAAGGGGAACATCACACTCTGAGGACTGTTGTGGGGTGGGGGGAGGGGGGAGGGATAGCATTAGGAGATATACCTAATGCTAAATGACGAGTTAATGGGTGCAACACACCAGTATGGCACATGTATACATATGTAACTAACCTGTGCACATGTACCCTAAACCTGTGCACATGTACCCTAAAACTTAAAGTATAATAATAATAAAATAAAATAAAAAGAAATTTTAAAAATTTATTTTTAATTTTTGTGAGTAGATAGTAGGTATATATATTTATGGAGGGTACATGAAATGTTTTGATACAGGCATGCAATGCATAATAATCGCATCATAAAGAATGAGGTATCCATTCCCTCAAGCATTTATCCCTTGAGTTATAAACAATCCAATCACACTCTTTAAGTCAGGGGTCCCCAGTGCACGTGCCTTGGACTGGTACTGGCCTGTGACCTGTTAGGAACCGGGACATACAACAGGAGGTTAAGTGGTGGGCAAGCAAGCACTACCACCTGAGCTCCGCTTCCTGTCACATCAGTGGTG
This sequence comes from Homo sapiens, assembly GCF_000001405.40. Classification (NCBI taxonomy): domain Eukaryota; kingdom Metazoa; phylum Chordata; class Mammalia; order Primates; family Hominidae; genus Homo; species Homo sapiens. Next base: position 16,503,841 of record NC_000023.11, read on the forward strand.
GCTTTAGATTCTCACAGGAGCATGAACCCTATTGCGAACTACACGTGAGGGATCTAGATTGTGCACTCCTTATAAAAATCTAACTGGGCCAGGCGCGGTGGCTCACACCTGTAATCCTAGCATTTTGGGAGGCCAAGGCAGGCGGATCACCTGAGGTCAGGAGTTCAAGACCAGCCTGGCCAACATGGTGAAACCCCATGTCTACTAAAAATACAAAAATTAGCCGGGTATAGTGGGGCATGCCTGTAATCCCAGCTACCTGAGAGGCCGAGGCAGGAGAATTGCTGGAACCTAGGAGGCAGAGGCTGCAGTGAGCGAAGATCACGCCACTGCACTCCAGCCTGGGTAACAGAGTGAGACTCTGTCTCAAAAAAAAAAAAAAAAAAAAAAGAATCTAACTAATGCCTGATGATCTGAGATGGAGCAGTTTTGTCCTGAAACCATCCCCCACCCCTCAACATGGAAAAATTGTCTTCCACAAAACCGGTCCCCAGTGTCAAAAAGGTTGGGGACCGCTGTTTTATTTGAAAATGTACAATTAAGTTATTGACTATAGTCACCCTGTTGTGCTGTCAAATAGTAGGTCTTACTCATTCTTTCTATTTTTTATACCCATTAACCATCCTCACCTCCCCACCAACCCCCCGTTGCCATTCCCAGCCTCTGGTAACTATCCTTCTACTCTCTATGTTCATGAGTTCAGTTGTTTTGGTTTTTAGATCCCCTAAATAAGTGAGAACATGCAATATTTGTCTTTCTATGCCTCTGCCAGACAAATCTTGAACCTCCAAGTCAATAAACTTTGGATTCCCAATAATGCCATTAGGAGGTCAACTTTTAAGTTTGATATTTTATACTCTCCTGATGCTACAAAATCATGTCTTCATTTTCAGTGAAGTATCAGTGTGTAGTATCTATGTATAGTACTTTACAGCTTGTACAGTGCTTTTATGCACATTTTGTTAAATTCTTACAGCTACCTCCATGTGATTGCTGGTCTCTCCTGCAAGTATTTTTACCTCAGTTTTGCAGATAAGGAAAGCAGGGCTCATGATGATAAGATACCTTTCTCAAAATAACTCATGTCAGAACTGCTAGGGCCAAGACTGGTTCAAACCTCAGTAATCCACCCTTTTCATCTTGACAGCATAAAAAGCAATGGACCCCATGGGTGCATTCTTTTTTCCCTAAGCAAACAAAAGGCGTAATATTACTGCCTTGGTGCATGGCATCCTATTTTTCTCTGAGTTTCCTTTTCTTCACAGTTGCCTCCTCCAAAGGATTAGTACAAATCTGCTCTTCATAGATCTTTTTCTTCCTCCTCATTTTATGAGATAGTTATGAGGATTAAATTTTTAAATATATGTAAGAGTACTTTGTAATTATATACAGCATGAGTATATCTAGGAAAGTGTCATTATGAAAATTACAGGTTATTCAGAAGCCAACAATAGCAGCTCTCCTTCCTCCTCCCTTCTCTCTTCTCCTTTCTCCCTTCTCTCTCTCCTTCCCTCCATCCTAAATAATTCAGAGCAAAAAATGGTAACCCGTAGAATCAACAGCCAACATAGATACCACAGGGCACAAAAGGCCAGGAATACAAAACATCACAGTCTCCTGAGACACATAAATGACTCTGAGATTGGCCTAAGCTCAGGGCAGAGCCATGACCATAGCTTCATAAAGCTGAGTCCCTTCTTCCTACCCTAATTATTTGTGGGATAAGTTAAGTGATGAAAGACAGCAAAGTAAATGCAATATGCTTAGACATCAGTGAAGTATGCCTTGTATTGTTCTACTAAATATCAAAAGTAAACATGTAATCATTTTAAATTAGATAAAATTATTAGAAAAATAATAAAATGCATAGTTTTCTTTTTAGAGGACAAACTTAGCCTTTATCCACACATCTCAGTTTTGGTGGGGGGGTTCCCAGAAAGATAAGGTCTCCAAGAGTTCTTGGCTTTGTCAAGAGAAAAATAATTATGGCAATAGAAACAGAGCTAGCCTTTCTCAAACACAGGTTATAACACATGGTTTTTTCTATATGTTAACACATTCTTCAATCCACACAAAAACCCTAAAAATATACTATTATTCTTACCTTGAGATTAGAAAAATTGAGGCTCAAAAAAGGAAATAGCTTCCCACAGGTCTTTGATGCCAAAGCCAAGGCAAATGGTGATGAACTGAGTGAAGTGAAAAGACAAGGAAGAAGGGGAACAATAAATGGAACCAGGAGCAGGGGAGGCATGAGAAGTTTTCGAGTGTCAATCAGCAAGTAAATCCATTACATGACCAAGACAATGTCAAACTGTGGAACCAACAAGCTAGAAGACATTGCGTGTCACAGGAGTAGCACCACTGTCTGCACCCCACCCGTATTTCCCACACTTAGCATTTCCACGCACACCAACCTGGCTTCCAACTGCCAGCACCTGCAATTGTCTGCCCTTGGACTTTCTCTGGCTGCTAGAGCAGCTCTTTCTGCTGGAAGTGCTGAAGGATTAAGATCCCCCTGGGAAGAGCCCTCAACCAATGACTGACAAGAGTGGGTGGATACATACCCCAGCTTCCTTGCCCCTCAAGTGGGATGACTCTGAGATGTGTGTTCTACAATGCTTCCCAGGGTTTCTCCCAGTGAGATTGCACCCCTGTTGTCTGCAATAGTAATTGGCTTAATAACTCTCCCTTTACTGGCTACCGTCTTATTTCTGTCTCACTTCCGCACTCCCCTACCAGTGTTTCTTAGAACTAACTTACCAATGAACTACAGAATTTGCATAGAATCTTGTCTCAATATCTTCTTCCTGGGGGGATCTCACATCAAGAAAACAGCATATCCTATGAATTTAGAGCAGTGGCTAACTTGTGTTGGAGTCATCTAACACTAATAAATTCATGCAGTAGAATTCATTCAAGAACTAGTCTGTAAAACAGAAGTTACTACATAACCCGTTTCCTGGGCTGCACTAGCTGGTGGGTATTCTGCAGAACATGAGCCACATCTCACTCCCTCCTGTTCCTACATTTGAGGCTCCTCTAAGTCATTTTCAGGAAGACTCTAATGTGTCTCACATAACCTGCAAACAAGTCAGTCAGGTCTCTGCCAATTGAGCTGGTTCTGCCCCCAGCATCCACTGCTTCCAGTAAGGGCCACCCTCCTTCCTCCGGGGTTCTTACCACACTGATATTACACTGAGTACCACAGAAAGGGAAAGAAATGTCCTCTTCCCCACTGTAGTTACACTTCCTCACATGGGCACCTAGATGATACTGTTTGTGCCCCTGTGTCACAAACTCTTTATGGAAAAGCCTCTCTCACGTCTTCTGCCTATGGCCCCACCAACCACAGACCTCCACCATGAGCCCATAGGGCCATTTTGGAGAGCATGTCCAAGACAGACACCATGCTGTCCTCTCCAGTATTTTCCAGTAATCATCCTTGAGCTCTCTTGTCCTTATTCCTCCTCAAACTCTCCTGCTTATAGACCTTTGGTACCCGTTAATCATCCTTTCCCAGATATTTGTGAATTACAGGGCTGGTAACAGCTTAGGCCCAGGCAGGCATCCTCAGTTCACCTATTATCCAACAAAGACACACACACATCTTTCACACTCCCTATCTTTACTCAGCTGACCTCAAAAAACAGAGCCCAAGTAATGTGGGACACCGAAGTCAATTGGATACAGTGATGAATTGGTCTGATAATTACCATCATAAAACCAGCACTATAATGTGTGGTCATAGACTTGGTGACTTTCATTCTGTTCTGTCTGAAAACCTATAACCTTTTCTGAAGAACATAAGGTACCTCCACTTTGCCCTGGAAATTTTGCAAAGGCTTTTGATCCAAAGTTGTAAAGTTCTGAGCCGGTTAGACTTGGATAGATAATGGGAGACATCAGAGGTCCAGGAGTTTTGAAGTGTTTCAAGCAGAGTATAATTGGAATGTTAAGAAAAGATCAAGATGTAACAAATTGAACATAAAATGACATAAAACCAGAAAGATATAGCTCAAATGCCACAACCTCTTTAAAATCCCATTTCTGTTCCCTACATACACACATGCACACACGCATGCACACTCATGCATGAGCATACAGAATCACTCACTCATTTGAATAGGAACATTCAGATGAATGGAACTTGGTTTAACCTAGGCAAGGTAGCATGCCAATTCTAGAACCGGACTCTCTGGATCAAGTGGATCAAATCCCAGATCTGCCACTTACTACTTTGGTAACTTGGACAAATTACTCACCCTCTCTGTGTCTCAGTTTCCACATATGAAAATGGAGATAATAATAATTGTTTAAGGTTTTAATGAATTAACTATTTTTAAACTGCTTTTAAAAGAGTGACTGGCAAAGAGTAAGTACTTTACATAGTGGTATATATTTTGCTATTTTCTGCCTCATTTTAGTGACCTATGCATTTTACCTTATCCTTTCTACTGAATTTTAGTTGCCAGAGAACAGGGATTCAATCTTCATACTGATATTTCTCCTGCAGGGTCTGGCATTTGCAAGATGCCTAACAATAAATGACTGCAGAATTGGATATGCTTTGGTGTTCACCAAAACTTCCTCCAGCTCCACGGGAAATATTTTTATCATGGCTTGAAGCCATAATGATGAAATTAATTCAGTAAAATAAAAATAGATGAAAAGGGAATTTGAAATAATATGCAAATATACAACTAAGATGATGGCTCAACTGTAGCATAACTAATGGTAGGGACCAGGTCTGATACCACAAAGATGACCCTAATAATGTCAACAATGCTTGAGGAGCTCCTGTTTCCTTGTATTCCTACCAAGATAAGCTCGGGATTTTCAAATTGAATACTCATTACAAAACTAAAAGGAAACAAAGAACCCAAAAATTCATTAAAGCATAAAATACATGTGCATTTCACATGTACTGAGTAAACAGATTTATCCACATTTATCAGAAGTCCAATCTCCTACAGAGAAATTAATGAAATAGGCATGAGGGGGTGGCTCAGGACTGTAATCCCAGCACTTTGAGAGGCAGAGGCAGGCAGATTGCTTGAGCTCAGGAGTTTGAGATCAGCCTGAACAACATGGCGTGAAACCTTGTCTTGACAAGAAATACAAAAATTGGCTGGGTGTGGTGGTGCACACCCGTGGTCCCAATGGCTCAAGAGGCTGAGGTGGAAGGATCACCCGAGCCTGGGGAGGTAGAGGCTGCAGTGAGCTGAGATCCCACCACTGCACTCCATCCTGGGTGACAGAGTGAAAAAAGAAATGAAATGAATGAAATAACATTAGTTCAGCAGTCCCCAACCATTTTGGCACCAGGGACCGGTTTCATGGAAGACAATTTTTCCACGGACTGGGGGACCATTGTGGAGGGTTGTGGGGGTTTGGGGATGAAACTATTCTACCTTAGATCATCGGGAATTAAATTATCATAAGGAGTGTGCAACCTAGATCCCTTGCATGCGCTATTCACAATAGGGTTCACATTCCTATGAGAATCTAAGGCCGCCGCTGATCTGACAGGAGGCAGAGCTCAGGAAGTAATGCTCGCTGGCCCGCTGCTCACCTCCTGCTGTGGGGCCCAGTTCCAGGGGGTTGGAGACCCCTGTATAAGTTGATTCCTCATGCTCCACCACCCTCCTCCCCACAATAATAATCACTACCATTTATTGGGTACCTAATCTGGGCCAGGCACTTTAAAGATATAATGGTACCTTCCAAGTTAAAATAATAGATTAAAAACACATCTACTTTTGTTACTTCCCCAAACCACATTAAAATTATCAAGAAGAGATTTTTTTTAACTAGGGGGAAAGAGAAAGGGGAAAAAATATCAAAACTTTGGAAATTTGGAGAAATACTATGCAAACTATTGGAGGAGTTCTTTGAAAATAATACTACTAACAGTGACATGTAGGCTGGACATGGTGGCTCACGCCTGTAATCCTAACACTTTGGGAGGCCAAGGTGGGCAGATCACCTGAGGTCAGGAGTTCAAGACCAGCCTGGCCAACATGGTAAAACCCCATCTCTACCAAAAATACAAAATAAGCCAGGCATGGTGGAATGAGTCTGTAATCCCAGCTACTCAGGAGGCTGAGGCAGGAGAATTGCTTGAACCTGGGAGGCAGAGGTTGCAGTGGGCCAAGATTGCGCCACTGCACTTCAGCCTGGGCAACAGAGTGAGACTCTGTCTCAAAACAACAACAAAAAAAAACAGTGGATTGTAGTGAACAGGTGCGTGAAACAGAGTCTTCAATGCCTGAACAGAAAAATAATACTTAATGACTTATCAAAAATTGTTACTTTAAGTGCAAGTAATTATCTGTCAGTATTAACACATCATTTACATATCATTAGATAGTTGTGAATTGCATAGGCAAAGTTTATAGCTTAGGAAACTATTTGTAAAATTTCCTTGGCCAAGGATCTAATCTACTAATCTACTATGTCCAGTAAGTCTACATGACCATAAAGACTAGATTGTCACACCCAAATATATCTACCAATAATGAAAATATAAATTTAAAAATACTTTATCTGATCCCCTTATGTTTAAAACCCACATATGCCAATGATCGACTAAAATCTGAGAAATACAGTAATCATGAATTAACATAATTGGATGCTTGGATGTAAACATGGCAGGAAATATTCCCTCTCTTCAAAGGATAAATTTGTAAAAAGTAGTTTACATTCTAGAAAATAAGTTGACCTACTTGTAAATATATATGTACTTTCTTAGTTACTAACACCATTTGCCCTTATATATTATCTACATATAAGACTTTGACATAATATTTATTAAATATATATATGTGTTATATCAGTCAAGCATTTGTGGTTGAAAGTGATAGTAAAACCAACTCAAACCCACTTATACTAAGATGGGAATTTGTTGGCTTAATTGAAAAGTACAGGCAAGGAAGTCTCATTTCAGTCACAGTTGTATCAAATAATGTCATTGGGACTCACTACAGTCTGCCCCTTGACTTCCTAGCATTTATACACCTTTTTTTATACATACAGGTTTTAAAATGCATCCTACCATCATTATGCAACTGTTCCATGGACTGCCAAAGTTGCACTTACCCCCTTCCCAAAAGAATATACTCCAATGCTAAGTCTCATTAACTTATTATACTCAAGATACCTCGGTGATGTCTCCCAGACAAGTCTAAATGCAGCTCCTTATTGTCTGAAGTCTATAAATAAGTTATTTAACCACAACCAACAGACCCAGTGTATGAAGTTGCATGGACAACAGGACCACTTTAGAAAAACAGCTCCCATTTGAAAAAAGAGAAGGGAAGAAAAAACACAATGATCACAAGCAATAATATATACTCCTTAAGAATTTCAGCAACTCCCTTCCCTAGAAAACCAGCTGCCCCTGGTTTTGCTCTCTGGGAAAAGCTGCCTTACTCATCATCTTTCACACCTACAGCTGAGGTGGGCATTAGTAGGGGAGTCTCCTATTAGGGGACTGCACCTTTTAGCAGTTTAATCCTCATTGTTGCAGGTGTGGAGGCCTGAAAATAACCTTTTAGGTTAAATAGGAGATCATGACCTTTACTCATCGGATCTAGGGTTTCTCCTGCAATACAGCTTACTTAAAAGCTTGATCAGTTTTTGCTTATGTTCATTCAGTGGATTCTTCAAGCTAAAAACCAAAGTCAGAGATTTTATCAAGTCATGGTCCACGAATCCAGACCCTAAACTAAAAATTTCTGTCTTTCAGAAACAAATCTCAGTGCTCTGCCTGCAGCCTCCAGCTTAATGGCCTCCATCTTGACATCTGATTTAGAGAAATGCAAAACAATAGCAGAATTGGGGAGGCCCAGATACTCTGTATTCCCAGACTGCATGTTCTAAACCTTTGTCAGGCAGGGAACATACAGCAGAAGATGCCCAGGAGAGGCAGGGATGTGGAGGCTTCCCAGGCCCCAGTTTCATTACCAACTTTGTTTTCTGCCTCTCCCTTTTCACTTTAGTGAAAACAAAGAATTCACCTTTTCCAACCCTGCATGTGTTGTGATTTCCTGACTCGCAGACAACTTAAATTGCTGGCTGCAGGCCAAAGGACTTCTAACAGTAAAGTTTTGAAATAGCCCCAAGTTGAGATGCTTTTCTCTTTCTTGTAAAAGTTAATGGAAACCACAGAAAATCACCAGCATATTCCAACATCTCCATTTGTTTACCTACCAGTTCCCCCAAAGCTTCGGCTTCAGTAGACATGAGGTCTTGGTCCAAAAATGCCATGGGTGACACTTTAACCAACTTCTTTGCTAATACAAAACAGAAACTGCCAACTTCTCAGCCAGGAATGGGCAATCCCCGTAGCCCCATCCACGACTTGATTATCCAGTTCCATATCTTAGCTCTGTTGCCCATTTACTGGTACACGTTTTGACAGTCTGGGCAATGCACTGTACCAGGCTCATCAGAAATCTCCTGACATGCTCATCCCCTTCTGCATTATCACACGCCCTTCCCTTTTTATTCCGCTTTCCCCTCATGTTACCATTTCAAAGAAATGCTGGGGAGTCCCAAGGCAGGCGCTTGAAGCCCAGCTTGCTTTTTGCTTGCAAGAGTTCTGATTTTCTCAAGCTCACATCCCTCCGACCACCCCAGCACACAGCTTCTGTATTTAGGGTCCTCCGTGAGGCCTCTAGGCATCTATTACTGAATCCCCTCCCCCACTTAGCCACTCCCACCCCACACACATTTCAAACCCACATTGCAATCCCCAGCACATAATGGCCTAGTCATTGTGTGGCAGGCCAGGTCTCACTAACGCAGGCCTCCATAACAACTGTTTCAGTACTGACTGAATAGTTAAGTTAAATATTAAAAGCTGAAAGAGCCAGTGCCCTATACAAAGGCTGGAATATAACAAAAGCCCACCAAGAGTTTTGCCTAGTCCTTTCCTGGGCCTTAACCCATTTAGAATTAAACAAGTTTTACTGGGGGCCTCAAGAAACTCCACAGGCCTCCACAAACAAGTTTATTGGAGGTCTGAAGGAACTCCCCAAACCTCCATGATTTAGCAGGAGACAAGATAAGGCTAATCACCCCAGCACCTGGACCCATTTAGATTAAGTAAATTTACTGAGGCTCCAGAGGAAGGTCTTCAGGACTCAGACCTTAGTTATAGATTAAAAGAAGTTAATCACTTGTGTCTTTAGATGAATGCACACTTACACGTAGGCATATAGCTTAGAAGGTATATAAGCTCTGGAAAACATTGTAATTTTGAGGTTGGCCTGGCAATGTTTTCCAGGCCTTCTCCCTGTAACTGGTTACAGAAATAAAAACTCTCTTCCTCCCCAGTTCATCTGCATGTTGTTATTGCGCTTCGAAAAATAGCAGCCCGACCCTCAGTTTGGTCCAGGAACAATGGCCTTAATTGGCTTCTTACCCTCACACATAAATAGATATCGAATGTGGTAATTTCAAAGTCAAAAGTCCAGTCAAATTATCTTAATAAGATAAAAAGAGATCCTCCCTGCTCTTTTAAGTTGTTAATACATAGCTGCTGTGTCCCCAGAGCAAATCAACTTCTCAGGCTCCCTAAATAGAAGCTTCCCTTCTAAGATGTAAATAAATAGGTAGACAGAAAGAGGGATTAAATATATGCCAAAATAGCAGTGGTTGCCTGTAGATTGTGGAATGAGGGATTTTTTTTTATTTAGTTCTTTCTGCTTTTATGTATTTTCTAAAATATCTGAAGTAACTTTAAGAAATGGGGTCACTCTGTGTTGCCCAGGCTGGAGGGCAATGACTATTCACAGGCATGATTATAGCTCGCTACAGCCTCAGACTCCTGGCCTCAAGTGATCCTCCCCACCTCATCCTACCTAGTAGCTGAGACTACAGGCATGTGCCACCATGTCCAGCTTTAAAGTAACTTTCTATTGTTTTTATAACAAGAGAAGGTAAAAAACAATACGTTAAGAAATTCAGTCAGCCCTGGAGACTTTTTGGGATCATGGAAATGTTCTAAAACTAGATTGTGGTGATGGTTGCACAACTCTAAATTTACTGAAAATCATTGAATTGTGCACTTAAAATGGATGAATTTTATGGTATGTAAATTATACCTCAATAACGCTGTTAGCAAAGACAGAACTTCTATTTGACTAATTTAAAGGACAGCGATCCCATCAGAATACTCATATAGAACCTCACAGAGTTTAGAGCAAGAATAACAAGGAGAGGTCAGATGAGAAAGTGATGTGGAGAAGGAAGGAAGAAGGAAGAAAGGAAGGAGAAGGAGGGAAGGAAGGGAGGGAAGGAGGAAGGGGGGAGGGAAGGGGGGAGGGAAGGAGGAAGGGAGGAAGGACGGCAGGAAGGGAGGGATGGAGGGAGGAGAGAATGAGAGAGGAAAGGAAGGAGGAAAAGTGTGTAGGGAGAAAGTGTGTGGGGAGAAAAAAGCTTAAAAAATTAAGCAAGAGATATCCTACTACAGCATAGCTAAAGACAGCGTAAGGGTACAGCTCCCTCTTCCTCACATTGTGGGATCTTTGTGGTACTTCCCACTTTGTACTTCGTGGTACTTCCCATGTTGGTAACTGAATTTTTCTTGGCCCTCCAATATAGCCACAGAAGGCTGGGACTTTGAAGATGTTGATATAATTTGGAAATTTTACCACCAATTCCGTCAGGATGCCCTCCACATGGCAATTTTGGATTATGTCTTTGAAAGACAGATTTTACACAACAAATAAAATGCTATAATGATGTTGATGTGTCACATGGGCACAAACAACTCCAAGTGTTTGTCTCAGCTAAAATGGAGAAATGCTGTCTTCACATCATTTCATTCAGCATTTGTTGAACACATGTTGGGCCCAGTGAAATAGGCATCCTGTTTTGAAGGATACAGAAATGAGCAAGGTATGCTTCCTACTCTCTAGCCATTTACAATCAAACGCAGCAAATACATTCTATTTTAGGGGCGCTGCCATACTTTCTGAAGAAGGTAATGTATGAAAATAAGCGTAGGACTTTTGTGGAGGATTTGAAAAGAAAGATAAGGAAGTACTTTCCAGCCTGGGGTAAGAGCATCCATGAAGGTACAGAGAATGGTAGATTTAGGGTATGATTAATAAAAGGTGAGTCCTGATCATTAGAGAAATGCAAATCAACACCATGAGATACCATCTCACACAAGTCACAATGGCTATTATTCAAAAGTCCAAACACAACAGATGTTGGCAAGGTTATGGAGTAAAAGGAACACTTATACACTGTTGGTGGAAGTGTAAATTAGTTAAACCATTGTGGAAAGCAGCGTGGCGATTCCTCAAAGATGTAAAAACAGAAATGCCATTTGACCCAGCAATCCCATTACTGGGTATATCGCCCTGTATTAGTCCATTCTTGCATTGCTATAAAGAAATACCTAAGACTGGGTAATTTATAAAGAAAAGAGGTTTAATTGGCTCACAGTTCTGCAGGCTGTACAGGAAGCATAGTAGCTTCCATTCATCTTCTGGGGAAGCCTCAGGAAACTTACAGTTATGGCAGAAGGTGAAAGGGAAGCAAGCATGTCTTACATGGCCAGAGCACAAGGAAGTGTGGAGGGAGGTGCCACACACTTTTAAACAACCAGATCTCACAACAACTCACTCACTAGCATCACAAGAACAGCACCCAGGGGAAATCCACCTCCATGATCCAATCACCTCCCACCAGGCCCCACCTCCAACATTAGGGATTACAATTCAACATAAGATTTGAATGGGGACACAGACCCAAACTATATCACACCCAGAGAAATATAAATCATTCTACCAAAAAGACACATGCACGAATATGTTCATTGCAGCACTATTCACAATTGCAAAGACATGGAATCAACCTAAATGTCCATCAATGATAGACTGGATAAAGAAGATGTGATACATATACACCATGAAATACTATGCAGGCATAAAAAAGAACGAGATCATATCTTTTGTGGGAATGTGGATGGAACTGGAGGCCATCATCCTCAGCAAACTAACACAGGAACAGAAAACCAAATACCACATGTTCTCACTTATAAGCGGGAGCTAAATGAAGAGAACTCATGGACACAATGAAGGGAACGACAGACACTGGGGCCTACTTGAGGGTGGAGGGTTGGAGGAGGGAGAAGAGTAGAAAAAAATAACTATTGGGTACTGGACTCAGTACCTGGGTAACAAAGTAACCTGTACAAGCAACCCACATGACACAAGTTTGCCTGTATAACAAACACGCACACATACCCTCGAACCTAAAATAAAAGTTTTAAAACAGAAAGTGATAGGTACTCAATACAGAATGGTTAATATGATGGCTCTGTCCCTCCCCCACCCCAGCCTGCCTTCAAAATGTGCTGCCTGCAGAGAATCCAGGCATATCCCACTGCCTCGGGGGTTTTTGTATTTTTTACAAAAAGTTATAATTAAATATACAGTAAATCTTCTTAAACAAAAGAAAGAAAGAAAAGAAATGGTGAATCATTTGATTTGACTGTATGCAGGATTCATAAGCAAGTGGCGGAAAATATGTAAGTAGGACCAGATGGTGGAGGATCTGGGGAGTTTGAGCCCTCCCATGTATGTAAAATGGAGTCACTGAAAGATATGTCTCAAGATCCCAGTTTCTGTGAAGTGTAAGATGGTGTAGTTTTAAATATATGCCCACAAATTCTTTGACATGTATTTTGCATGTGGGAGGAAGACAAATAATTTGTGGCCAGAAAACAGATTTTGGTGGTTTTGAAGATACATTCACAAATTCTTCCATACTCCTCTCCTCAAGAGATGGAACTTGGTTCCCCTTTTCTTGACTGTGGGCTATATTTAGTGACACTCTGTTAATGAATAAAATATGGCAGAAGAGATGGGATCTCACTTTCAAGATTACACAATAAAAAGACTGCAACTTCCATCTGGGAGACTCACTCTCTAATTACTCTGCAGGAGAAGCCACCTTCCATGTGCTAAGGCAGCCCTGTGGCAAGGCTCATGTGGTAAAACACGGAGGCCTACAAAAAACCATATGAGTGGGAGGTGGAACAAAATGGCTGAATAGAAGCCTCCAGCGAACATCCCCCCTGCAGGAACACCAAATTGAACAACTATCCACACACAAAAAAAGCACCTTCATGAGAACTAAAACTCAGGTGAGCGATCATAGTACCTGGTTTCAACATTATGTTAAGGAAAGAGGCACTGAAGAGGGTGGGAAAGACAGTCTTGAACTGCTGACACCACTCCTCCCCCCTTCTCTAACAATGACCACATGGCACAGAAAGAGAATCTGTGTGTGCTTGGGGGAGAGACAGCCCAATGATTGTGGGACTTTGCATTGGAACTCAGTGCTGCCCAGTCGCAGCAGAAAGAAACAGGGCAGAACTCAGCCAGCACCCACAGAGGGAACATTTAGACTAGCCCTAGCCAGAGGCAAATCATCCATCCTCATGATTGGAACCTACGTTCTGGCAAGCCCTATCACTGTGAGATAAAGGCAAAGCACTCTGGGGCCTAAATAAACTTAAAAGACAGTCTAGGTCACAAGGACTGCTATTCCTAGGCAAGTTCCAGTGCTGGACTGGGCTTAGAGCCAGTGGACTTGGGGTACATATGACCTAGTGAGACACCAGCTGAGGCAGCAAAGGGAATGATTGTGTCACCTCTTCCCAACCTCAGGCAGCACAGCTCACAACTCTAGAAGATACTCCTTCCTTCAGCTTGAGGACAAGAATGGGGAGAGTAAAGAGGACTTTGTCTTGTATCTTGGACACCAGCTTAGCCATTTTTTGTATTATTCCCTTCTGATATTGCTCTAAAGAGATACCTGAGACTGGGTAATTTATAAAGAAAAGAGGTTAACTGGCTCATGGTTCTGCATGCTGTAGAGGAAGCACAACAGCTTCTGCTTTTGGAGAGGCCTCAGGAAGCTTCCAATCATGGTGGAAGGCAAAGGGGGAGCAGCTGTCTTACATGGTGGGAGCAGAAGCAAGAGAGAGCAAAGGGAAAGGTGCTACAGACTTTTAAACACCCAGACCACGTAAGAACTCACTATTGTGGGGACAGCATCAAGAGGATGGTGCCAAACCATTCATGAGAAACTGCCCCCATGATCCAATCACCTCCCACCAGGTCCCACTTCCAACACTGGGGATTACAAATGAACATGAGATTTGGGCACAGATCCAAACCATGTCTGAAGACTTTGTCTTGTATCTTGGATATCAGTTCAGCCACAGTAGAATAGGGTACCAGACAGAGCCATGAGGCCCCCATTCCAGGCCCTAACTCCCAGATGACATTTCTAGACACACCCTAGGACAGAAGGGAATCCACTACCTTGAAGGGAAAGACCCAGTGCTGGCAGGATTCACCACCTGATGATTAAAGAGACCTTGGGCCCCTGAATAATCAGCAGTGGTAGCCAGGCAGTACTTGTCGTGGACTTTAGATGGGACCCAGTTCCATGTTGGCTTCAGGGGTGACCCAGCACATTCCTAGGTGTGGTGGCTATGGGGAGAGACTCCTTCTGCTTCAGGTAAGAAGATAAAAGAGTAAAGGGAACTTTGTCCTGCAGCTTGGGTACCAGCTCAGCCACAGTCGGGTAAAGCACCAAGTGGACTCCTGAGATCTCTGGTTCCAGGCCTTGGCTCCTCGATGGCATTTCTGGACCTGCCCTGGGCCAGATGGGAGCCCACTGCCCTGAAGAGAGAGACCCAGGCCTGGCAGCATTCACCACAAGCTGACAAGCTGATTGAAGAGCCCTTGGGCCTTGAGTGAACATCAGCAGTAGCCAGGCAGTACTTGCTATGGGCCTGAAGCAGTGGTAGCCATAAGGACAGACTCTTTTGCTTGAGGAAACAGGAGAGAAAAGTGGGAAGGACTTTGTCTTGTGTCTTGAGTACCAGCTCAGCTGCAGTAGAATAGAGCCCCAGGAAGATTCCTAAGGTTCCCGACTCTAGGTCCTGGCTTCCAGATGGCATCTCTGGACCCACCCAGGGACAGGGGGGAGACTTGATGCCCTGAAGGGAAGAACACAAGCTGGCTGGCTTCACTGCTTGCTGATTATAGAGTTCTTGGGCATTGAATGAACATAGGCACTAACCAGGCAGTGGTCACTACAGGCCTTGGACGAGACCCAGTGCTGTGCTGGCATTGAGTATAACCCCACACAGTCCCAGTGGTGGTGGCCACAGGGTTGCTTGTGTCACCCCTCCCCCAGCTCCAGGCAGCTCAGCAAAGAGACAGACTCCAGTTGTTTGAGGGAAAGTAAGTGGAGAGAACAAGACCCTTTACCTGGCAATCCAGAAAATTCTCCTGGATCTCACCCAAGACCAGCAAAGCAGTACCTCTACGAGTCCCCAAAAGCCACAGCATTATTGGGTTTGGGATAGCCCCTAATGCAGATATGGTTACAGTGACCAAAGACTTAGATCACAACACCCAGGTCCCTTTGAATACTTGGAAAGCCTTCCCAAGAATGGCAAATACAAACAAGCCCAGATGGTGAAGACTACAATAAATACCTAACTCTTCAATGTCCAGATACCAAAAAACATCCAAAAACATCAGGAACTTCTAGGAAAACATGACCTCACCAAACAAACTAAATAAGGCACCAGGGACCAATCCCAGAGAGACAGAGATATGTGACCTTTCAGTCAGAGAATTCAAAGTAGCTGTTTTGAGGAAGCTCAATGAAATCCAAGATAAAACAGAGAGGAAACTCAGAATCCTATGAGATAAATGTAACAAAGAGATTGAAATAATTTAAAAAGAATGAGGCAGAAATTCTGGAGCTGAAAAATTCAATTGATATAATGAAGAATGAATTAGAGTCTCTCTCTTTTTTTTTTTTTTTTTTTTTTTTTTGAGAAAGAGTATCACTCTGTCGCCCAGGCTGGAGTGCAATGGCGCAATCTCAGCTCACTGCAAGCTCCGCCTCCCGGGTTCACACCATTCTCCTGCCTCAGCCTCCCGAGTAGCTGGGACCACAGGTGCCCACCACCATGCCCAGCTAATTTTTGTTTTGTATTTTTGGTAGAGATGGGGTTTCATCATGTTAGCCAGGATGGTCTCGATCTCCTGACCTCGTGATCCGCCCACCTTGGCCTCCCAAAGTGCTGGGATTACAGGCGTAAGCGACTGTGCCTGGCCGCATTAGAGTCTCTTTACAGCAGAACTGATCAAGCAGAAGAAGGGATTAGTGAGCTCGAAGACAGGCTATTTGAAAAATACACAGAGGAGACAAAAGGAAGAGAACAAAAAAGAATGAAGCACACCTATAAGATCTAGAAAATAGCCTCAAAAGGGCAAATCTAAGAGGTATTGGCATTAAAGAGGAGGTAGAGAGAGAGATAAGAGTAGAAAGTTAATTAAGTGGATAATAACAGAGAACTTGCAAAACCTAGAGCAGGATACCAATGTTCAAATACAAGATTATTATAAAACACAAAGTAAATTTAACCCAAAGAAGACTACCTCAAGATATTTAATAATCAAATTCCTAAAGGTTGAGGATAAAGAAAGGACCCTAAAAGCAGCAAGAGAAACAACAGACAAAGGAACTTCAATACATCTGGAAGCAGACTTCTCAGTGGAAACGTTACAGGACAGGAGAGAATGGCAGGACACATTTAAAGTGCTGAAGGAAAAACACTTTTACCCTAGAATAGTACATCCAGTGAAAGTATCCTTCAAACATAAAGGAGAAATACAGACTTTCCCAGATAAACAAAAGCTGAGGGATTTTATCAACACCAGACCTGTCCTACAAGAAATCCTGAAGAGAGTTCTTCAATCTGAAAGAAAAGGACATTATTGAGCAATAAGAAATTATCTGAAGCTACAAAACTCATGAGTAATAGTAAGTCCACAGCCAGGCACGGTGGCTCACACCTGTAATCCCAGCACTTTGGAAGGCCAAGGCGGGCGGATCACGAGGTCAGGAGATTGAGACCATCCTGGCCAACATGGTGAAACCCCGTCTCTACTAAAATACAAAAAAAATTAGCCAGGCATGGTGGCAGACACCTGTAGTCCCAGCTACTCGGGAGGCTGAGGCAGGGGAATTGCTTGAACCTGGGAGGTGGAGGTTGCACTGAGCCAAGATTGCACCACTGCACTCCAGCCTGGACAACAGAGCGAGACTCCATCTCAGAAAAAAAAAAAAATAGTAAGTACACAGAAAAACACAGAATATTATAACACTGTAACTGTGTGTGTCAACTACTCATATCTTGAGTAGGAAGACTAAAAGGTGAACCTATCAAAAATAATAACTATCACAACTTTTTAATATACAGACAGTACAATAAGATATAAATACAAACAATAAAAACTTAAAAAGCTGGGAGATGAAATTAAAGTGTGGAGTTTTAGTTTTTTCTTTGCTGGTTTGTTAATTTGTTTGTTTATGCAATCAGTGTTGTCAGCAGTTTAAAGTAATAGGTTATAAGATAGTACTGCAAGCCTCATGGTAATCTCAAATGAAAAAACATAAAACAGACACACAAAAAATAAAAAGCAAGAAGTTAAATCATAACAACATAAAAAATCACCTTCACTAAAAGGAAGACAGGATGAAAGGAAAGAAGGGAGAGAAGACCACAAAAGAACTAGAAAACAAATAACAAAATGGCAGAGTAAGTCCTTACTTATCAACAACAACATTGAATGTAAAGGGACTAAACTCTCCAATCAAAAGACATAGAATGGTTGAATGGATTTAAAAAAAAACAAGACCCAATAATCTGTTGCCTACAAGAAACACCCCTACCTATAAAGACACACATAGACTGAAAATAAAGAGATGGAAAAGATATTCCATGCAAATAAAAACCAAAAAAAAAAAAAAAAAAAACCAAGCAGGAGTGGCTATACTTATATCAGACAAAATAGATTTCAAGGCAAAAACTATACAAAGAGACAAAGAAGGTCACTATATAATGACAAAGGGGCCATTGCAGCAAGAGGATATAACAATTGTAATATATATATGCACCCGACACTGGAACACCTAGATATATAAAATAAATTTTATTAGAGCTAAAGAGAGGTAGACTCCAATACAATAATAACTGGAGACTTCAACACCCCACTTTCAGCATTGGACACATCATCCAGACAAAGAATCAACAAAGAAACATTAGATTTAATCTGCACTATATAAACCAAATGGATCTAATAGATATTTACAGAACATTTCCTCCAAGATCTGCAGAATACTCATTCTTCTACTCAGCACATGGATCATTCTCAAGGATTTACCATATGTTAGGCCACCAAAACAAGTCTTAAAATTTTCAAAAAAAAATTGAAATTATATCAGGTATCTTCTCCAACCACAATGGAATAAAACTAGAAATCAGTAACAGGAGAAATTTTGGAAACTATATGAACACATAGAAATTAAACAATGTGCTCCAGAATGGCCAGTGGGTCAATGAAAAAACTAAGAAGGAATAACACAGAAACAGAAAACCAAATACCACATGTTATCACTTATAAGTGGGTGTTAAACATTGGGTACACACAGACATAAAGATGGAAACAGTAGACACTGGGGACTCCAAAAGGAGGGAGGAAGGGGAGCAAGGATTGAAAAACTACCTATTGGGTGCTATGTTTACTATTTGGGTGACAGGTTCAATAAACGCTCAAACCTCAACATCACGCAATATATCCATGTAAACATCCTGCATATGTACTCCCTGAATCTAAAATTAAAAAAAAAAATTACAAAAAGAAGGAAGAGAGACTGGAGAAGGCAAAGAGATAAGTTAGGAGAGTTGGCATTAGGCAAGGCAAGAGATAATGAAAATGTAAATCAGAACAGCAACAATGAATAGAGAAGAAGGAATCTATGCCCAGGGCTTGATGGAAGTTTAATTCACAGGATGTATGGGCTGATTAAATTGGAGGTAGCATTGAGAGAGCTATATTATAATGCTTTTTCTATGTCCCATTGAGATGACCATAAAGATGGCAATATCATCATCAAAGAAAAATGGAATATAGAAAAAGAATCATGTGAAGGGGATAATGATAAGTTAAATGTGTTTTGCTGTATTTGTGTGTGTCTTGATTTTAAGCATGCTGAGGCTGGGCACAGTGGCTCACGCCTCTAATACCAACACTTTGGGAGCCCAAGGTGAGAGGACCACTTGAGCCCAGGAGTTCAAGACCAGTCCAGGCAACATAAACATAGCAAGACTTCATCTCTATTTTCAAAAAATAAAAATAAAGGCCTGTTGACTCTGCTACACTAGCTGACATCCACACAGAGATATCCAAAAAGCTACTGGAAAAATATATCTGGTACACTTAGGGCACAGATGATTAAGAAGAGAGATTGAGATTCAATCATTAACAGAGACAGGGTGAAATGATCCACACTTTGAGTAGCAAGGCTCTAAAGTACCTTCCAGACGTTCAATTCTGTAATTGCCCAAAAATAAGGGAAAGTCATTGACAACATAATAAAGGCTCTGGAGGTCTAGTGGAAGGGAATTTGAAAGAAAAAAGATTGAGATTGGTAGAATGAAAGTATAAAAGAGGATCCTTTGTCATTGAGATCATTAAAGCTGGAAAAATTCTTCCTGTATATATATCAACAAAGTTTTATTTTTAAAATTTGTTGGTATGTGAAAAGGCGAATGATGAAAATAAGAAAAGGAATGCTTTAGGATACTTAGTCCCACTACTAACAAGGTAATGGTATAAACAAATGATTTAACAATAATGTAATAAAAAAGCCAGAACTCTGAAAGGAAATAAATATTCAAGACCTTCCTATGACACCTTACATCATTAATACTTTCCTATAGAAGTTTATTTACATGAAAATAGGCATTTGTATATGAAATAGGATACATCTAGACAGCCAATTTATTCACTTAAATAAAATCACAACCTGAAATGCTTTGTGTGTGTCTTGATTTTAAGCATGCTGAGGCTGGGCACAGTGGCTCACGCCTCTAATACCAACACTTTGGGAGCCCAAGGTGAGAGGACCACTTGAGCCCAGGAGTTCAAGACCAGTCCAGCCAATATTTGAAAACACATCAATGATTCAAAGTTAATATAGAGGACTTTAAGGAAAGAATTAAAAGCCTCAGGAAAAATCATGCTGCCAAAAGCAGAACGATAATGAGCTGAAGTTTCAAATTTTGTTCTTGCATTAGGTAATGCAGTTGGGCAGAAACATTGGTCAGAGTAAATTTATTTCAGGGCTGCTAGTAGCCAAATGTCTTTCTTTTTCAGTCTCTGCACACTGCAAAATCCCAAGTCCCTCAGGTGCCCTTCTTTAAGTCAAATAACCCTATGAGTCTACCCTCTCTTGCACACGAATCTTTATTTCTCTACTTCCTCTGCAGTCAGAAGTGGTCACATCCATCTTGGCAATCTAGTGCATCAGATCATTTTTGCTTCAACAGCTGAGAGTCTCCCAGCGCACTGGGACAGATTCAGGGAGCTAAATAATTATTCCCTACACTAAAAGATACCATTTATTGGACATTTTTAATAAGAAACAGGTGTGGATCTCAGCTAGAAAATTTAACTGTGCATGAAAAGCCACACTTTTAAATTGTTTTTAAGTCAACCTAAATTGGACTCTGAGCCCTAGTTCCTCCCAGCTGGCAAGAATCCAAATCTTAATCATCTGTGCCCACTTCCCCTCCCTTCCCCATGGGTTGTAAAACGTCCCAACACCAAACCAGTTATTAGCCATTGGTTATCAGCCACTGTTTACAGCTGAGAAGTCCAGTAACCCATGAGTTACAACTGAAACCACCTTTGCAAAAATTATAATAGTGAGAAAATTATGACAGTGAAAGAGATCTAACCTAACAAACTCCATCTTGCCTTTAATCTCCAAATTTCCCTTGGTCATTCCTCAGCATGGGCCAAGCTAACTTTGGGAGAAATTTACTTTATAGTTTAAATGGTAGTAGCCCGTCCCAAAACTAAACTGCCTTTGTAAAACTAATAAAAGGCCACCAGGTTAGGAGGATGAGAGGAGCCCTAATTCTGCTAAGATATAGATGTAGTTAAATGATTACCAGCCATTATTCCAGAGGTCACAAGATTTGCAACGTCCCCAATTACTAGAGCCTAAGTGTATTAGTCCATTTTCACACCGCTATAAAGAACTTCCCTGAGACTACATAATTTATAAAGGAAAGAGGTTTAATTGACTCACAGTTTCGCATGGCTGGTGTGGGGGTGGAGCTCAGGAAACTTACAATCATGGCAGAAGGGGAAGCAGTCACCTTCTTCACAAGGCAGCAGGAGAGAGAAGAAGTGAAGGGGGGAAAGCCTCTTATAAAACCGTCAGATCTCATGAGAACTCACTCACTATCACAAGAACAGCATGGGGGAAAATGCCTCCATGATCCAATCACCTTCCTCCCTTTAAACATGGGGATTACAGGTCCCTCCCTCAACACGTGGGGATTACAATTCAAGATGAGGTTTGATTGGGGACACAGAGCCAAACCATATCATTCCACCCCGGCCCCTCCAAAAGCTCATGTCTTTTCTCATTTCAACACCAATCATGCCTTCCCAGAGTCTCCCAAGTACTTAACTCACTCCAGCATTAACCCAAAAGTCCAAGTCCAAATTCTCATCAGAAACAAGGCAAGTCCCTTCTGTCTATGAGCCTGTAAAATCAAAAAACAAGTTAGTTACTTCCAAGACACAATGGGGGTACAGGCATTGGATAAATGCTCCCATTCCAAAAGGGAGAAATTGGCCAAAAAAGGGGGCTACAGACCCCAAGTAAATCTGAAATCCAACAGGGCAGTCATTAAATCTTAAAGCTCCAAAATGATTTCCTTTGACTCCATGTCAAACATCCAGAGCACACTGATGCAAGTGGTGGGCTCCCATAGCCTTGGGCAGCTCCTTTGCGGCTAGCATTGAGTGCCTGTGGCTTTTCCAAGCACACGGTGCAAGCCGTTAGTGGATCTACCATCCTGGGGTCTGGAGGATGATGGCCCTCTTCTCACAGCTCCACTAAGCAGTGCCCCAGTTGGGGTTCTCTTGTCAGGGCTCCAACCCCACATTTCCCCTCTGCACTCCCCTAGCAGATGTTCTCCATAAGGGCTCTGCCCCTGCAGCTGACTTCTGCTTGAACATCCAGGCATTTTCATACATCCTTGGAAATCTAGGTGGAAGTTCCCAAAGCTCAATTCTTGTCTTCTGTGCACCCACAGGCCCAACACCACATAGAAGCCACCAAGGCTTGATGCTTGCACCCTCTGATGCAACAGCCTGAGCTGTACTTTGGCCCCTTTTAGCCATGGCTGGAGCTGCAGCAGCTGGGACAAAGGACACCAAGTCCCTAGGCTGCACAGAGCAGGGGGGTCCTGGGCCCAGGCCACAAAACCATTTTTTCCTCCCAGGCCTCTGTGCCTGTGATGCGAGGGGCTGTTGTGAAGGTCTCTGACATGCCCTGGAGACATTTTTCCCATTGTCTGGGCTATTAACATTCAGCTCCTTGTTACTTACGCAAATTTCTGCAGCCAGCTTGAATTCTTTCCCAGAAAATGGGTTTTTCTTTTCTACCTCATGGTCATATTCCATATTTTCCAAGCTTTTATGCTCTACTTCCTCTTGAATGCTTTGCCACTTAGAAATTTCTTCTGCCAGATACTCTAAATTATCTCTCTAAGGTTCTAAGTTCCATAGATCTCTAGAGCAGGGTAAAAATGCCACCAGTCTCTTCACTAAAGCATAGCAAGAGTAACCTTTGCTCCAGTTCCCAAGAAGTTCCTCATCTCCATCTGAGACCACCTCAGCCTGGACTTCATTGTCCACATCTCTATCAGCATTTTGGCCACAACCATTCAATGAGTCTCTAGGAAGTTCCAAACTTTCCCACATCTTCCTGTCTTCTGAGCCCTCCAAACTGTTCCAGCCTCTGCCTGTTACCCAATTCCAAAGTCACTTCCACATTTTCAGGTATCTTTATAGCAGTATCCAAATCCTGGTACCAATTAACTGTATTAGTCCGTTTTCACACTGCTATAAAGAACGTCCCTGAGACTGGGGAATTTATAAAGGAAAGAAGTTTAACTGACTCACATTTCTGCATGGCTGGGGAGGCCTCAGGAAACTTACAATCATGGCAGAAGGGGAAGCAGACACAGAAACAAACCATGTCACTAAGATTGGCCTTTTGGGATGTCTTTACAGGCTTTTGCATTTCTGAAGACCAGATGACCCCACTTGTACCAGCAACTTCTCTGTGGCCCTACCCAGAAGGGGACTCAGCGCAAAACAACTGTTTTCCACAACCCTATGATTGCATCCCCAACCAAGCAACAGCACCCATTCCCTAGCCCCACCTGCCCACCAAACTATCTTTGAAAAACCCTAGCCTCTGAATTTTCAGGGAGGTTGATTTGAGTAAAAGTAAAACTCCAGTCTCTTGTTTAGCTAGGTCTATGTGTATCAAACTCTTTCTCTATTGCAATTCCTCTGTCTTGATAAATCAGCTCTATCTAGGCACTGAGCAAGATGAACCCACTGGGCAGTTTCACAATTACTTCCTGCCTCCTGGGTTACATACATTCATCAGGAAGCAAAACAGAAGCCATATAAAAGTCTCTTTAATAACTTCTCAATGACTGTGCCATGGTCTTGTGTGTGTGTCTGTGTATGTGTGTGTGTGTGTTTATTCGTTTGTCTTTTGCTTTTTGTTTTTTTGACACAGGGTCTCACTCTGTCGCCCAAGCTGGAGTGCAGTGGCACAATCCTAGCTCATTGTAACCTTGAATTCCCGGGCTCAAGCAATCCTCCCACCTCAGCCTTCCAAGTAGCTGGGACTACAGGCACATTCCACTATGCCCAGCTATTTTTTTTTTTATTTTATTTTTTGTAGAGACATTGCCTCACTATGTTGCCCAGGCTGGTGTCAAACTCCTGGACTCAAGCAGTCTTTCTGCCTCAGCCTCCCAAGGTGCTGGGATTACAGCGTGAACCACCATGCCTGGTCCACATATATCTATATAAAATTAAGGTGTACAACATCATTTTGTACATGAGGCAAAGATTTTAAGGTGTACATCATGTTGTACACCTTAATTTTATACAATAAAAAATAGCTATATGTGGGCCAGGCTGAGGTGGGAGGATCACTTGAGCTCAGCAGTTCGACACTAGCCTGGGCAACACCACTGCAGTGATGTTGAGCTCAAGCGGTCCTCCCTCCTCAGTCTCACAAAGTGCTGGGATTACAGTCGTGAGCCACTGTGCTCAGTCCCACAGTCTAACCCGTAGGTTACATCTCAGACTTTTGCCTACCCTGATTCTACATTTTCACCTAGAAAAATATCCAAGTTCCTAGGCCCTTGTTGCCATCATGAGGAATGTGGACAATCTTAGGCAAGGATTACAGGAACTGAAATAAGACTGAGTATAAAGGACAGAGTCAAGGAACCAGCCAGGCCTATACAAGGGCCCAGGAGTTCATGTTCAAGGTGTATGTAGAGCTCTTGGGGTACAGGAGTAATCCAGTGGTGGGTGCCAGAGGAGTGGAAAGAGCCCATTGGATTGAGCAGTTAAGGAGGTCATCGGTCACTTTGATGAAAGCCACTTCAGAGGAGTGATAGGAAGGGAAATCTGATTGAAATGGGCTTAAGTGTTTTTAAGAAGTAAGAAATGGATGCAGCCAGTTTAGTCTGTTCTTTTGAAAATACGATAGCTAGAGGTGATTTCGGGGTTTGTCAAGACTTGTTATAGTTTTTTCTTTTGTTTTGTTCTGTTTTTTGAGGTAATAGCAGCTTGAGTATCTTTAAAGGCTACAGAGAAGATGCCAGGTTGAACACATAAGAAAGAGAAATATCAGAGGAAGCTCTCTTTATTCTAGCAGAGATGGGAGAGAAGAGACTTAAAAGCACAGAGAAAAGGGCTGGTTTGTAAGAGAAGGGAAAAGGATGTGCCCGTATGAATACAGGAAAGGCAGTGACGGTGGGGGCCAACTTAGGTAAGTTTGAGGTCATGAGATCAGGAAGTTGTGGGAGTTCAAACCTCAGGGCCTCATTTTTCTGTAGTATAAGACAACATTATCTGCCAAGTTATGGAGTGGGCAGTGGCTTTGAGGCATGAGGCAAAGATTTTAGTCTTATTTAGTTTATTTGTTCTTGCACGTAAACATACAGTGACCTCATTTAAATTCACTCATTAATTCTAATAGTTTGAGAATTATTTTAGATTTGATAGATACACATTCATGGAACCTACAAGTAATGACAGTTTTATTTCTTCCTTTATAAACGTTGTGCCTCTTATTTATTTTCCTTGCCTTGTGGCATTGGTTGCAGCTAGTCTTACATTAATTCTTTGGCAGGGGAGTGCCACACCACATGGAGACCACAGATTTTGGCCCCATACCTTGTATGAAACAGGTTTGGGGTCTCAGTTGCTCACAGGAAACTTATTTTTCTTCATCCCACACCACATCTGGGACAAGATCACTTCTTTCCTAGCCCTATGGCAGAGTTTTCTAGTTACCCTCACTAGAAAACTTTGTTTCCTAGGTGGCAGCTTTGGTCTGGGATCCTAATTCCAGCTCCCCACCTCCCACACAGCCAAGGCCACCTCTCTTGAGGGGATGGGCCTAGCCTCCCGTGGTCCTCCTGGGGTGCCAACCTGGGGTTGCCTTCATTCCTTGCAGTGGCAAAACGGACTTAGTAACCTGGATATTTTTCTAGGTTGTGGATGTTCAATGGTAGCCCCCATATCCGATGCTTGCGCCCAGTCTTTTGGGCCACCCGAACATCAGCTTGGGTGCTATGAGTTCTTTTCTTCTTACTGGCACCTGGTGTCTTCCCTTTCTTATTTCCAGTTCAGCTCTGAAATTATACCATTTTAACCAACATTGTAGTGAAGTGGAGTGGGCACTGGGATCACATTGGCTCAGTCTGCCTTGCTGCTGGTTCCTTCATGGTGCAAATCTACAGATTTACATGGTTTTCTTCAAGAGCTCTCAACAACCCAGGTGGAAAGATGGAGAGAGCAAAGGTTGCATTTATGTTAGTCTGGGCTTTGTAGGGCGGACAAGATAGAAAGACGGGAATGGGATGGCATTGAGGATAGTGGCAGGAGGATGGTGAAGTGATATACTATGAAATCTCCATTGGAGGGGGAAGGAATTGAGTCCAGGAAGGGGGTAAAAACCTGAGAGAGAGGGAGGGGTAAAGGAATTGTGCAAGTAAGTTAGGAGAGCAGATGTTCTAGAAATAAAAGAGTATGGGAACAGGCAGGCCAGGAGATTGTGCTCAGAGGGCATGGATAATGGAGCATAAGCCTTAAGAAGAAGGTCATTTCCAAAGGGTGTCCAGACCGTGGAAATGGATTACCAAAGTGTAAAGCGAGCAAAGCCTGCTGGAATTTGATCCTGACTGGTGATGCTTCAGATTTCCCCCATCTTGTGTCTTATCTTCCAGACTCTTGGGTCAACTATTTCTAGTCCTTACAGTCATCTATGAAAATGTGATCTTAGCCAGAGGGTATCAAAGGCTGATCCAGGAGCCCCTGAAATCAGTGCTGCCTAGAAGCTAGGGACATGAACTTGGGAGTCGGACTGCCTGAAATTGCATCCCTCCCTGATGTGTTTCCCTTGGACAGGTTCTCTAACACCTCTGAACCTCAGTTCCCTCATTTCTAAAATGGGGATACTAGCACTGTCTACCAGATAGGGTCATTTTGAAGAGTAAATGAGATGATATGTGTAAAGTGGTTGTGTCTGAACCTGGCACATAGGAAACGCTAAGAAAATGTCAACTGCTACACTTGGAGGTGAGGAAAGTGCTACTGCAGAAATACAACCATTTCTTTGGTTCTTACAGAAAAAAGGATGATTCCAAATACTTCATTATTTCATTTAAATAAAAGACTATTTGTTTACTTGTGATTTTAATAAAGTTACTAAAATCTGGAGTTCACACCCTAGAATTTGCCCTTTACCTGAGTTTCATGGGGACTCGAAGCCTCCTATATGGGCCTTGTCCCCATCCCCAGGAACACAGCAAATCACTTCTGCACATTTGCACGTGCTGATAACATTCCCCCAGTTTGGAGGAAGGATGCTTTGTTTTGCCGCATTATCGAAGTGTCTTGAGGTTGATGAGATTTTCTCTTGCTGTTGTTCTTGCCTTTGAGTTATAAATTACTTTTTGGCTTCATCAACCTCAATTTAAGTTGGGAAGGGTTGTCTGGCTAACTCTGTAGTGGGCAGTGAAACATTTTGCAGCCACAGTATTGGGAGGCCATAATGTTCCAATAAATGGATATTTAAATGCATATCCATTGACTTCCATGATTCCTTACCACCATCCTGATGTCTCTACAGATACTGAAAGGAAATTGTCATTTGAAAAGGCTGACTTGTTTGAGATGTGCTAATCTCCCCCCATAAACACTGAAGAGCATATATGCAGTGATTTTCTAAGTCACATATTTTGCAGACTTTTAACTTGGGAATGCTGTGCTAAATAAATCGGAAAAGCCCAGGCAGGTCAAGAAAACAAGGGCATTAGGTATCTCAAAGTGACAAGGTCACTTTGATTCTTCCTGAAACACAAAGATCACAAACATCCATAGTCGCCTGGTGACTGAGCTGGGCTTAGAAGTCAAGTGCTGTGCAACCTCGTTGGAAATGGAGGCTATTATTCTAAGTGAAGTAACTCAGGAATGGAAAACCAAACATCATATGTTCTCACTCATATGTGGGAGCTAAGCTATGAGGATGCAAAGGCATAAGAATGACACGTTGGACTTTGGGGACTTGGGGGGAAAGGGTGAGGGGTGGCAAGGGATAAAAGACTGCACACTGGGTACAGTGTACACTGCTCAGGCGATGGGTGCATCAAAATCTCAGAAATCACCACTAAAGAACTTAATCATGTAACCAAACAGTACCTGTTCCCACAAAAACCTATTGAAATTAAAAAATTAAAAATTAAAAGAAAAAAATAAGAGATGAAAGGAGACACTGCACAGTGACAAAATATTCAAATGCCTTCTGCATTTACCCCAATCTGAAACTACTAACTGAAGTTCTTTGAAATCCATTTATGCCTGGAGCTCTCTCCCAAGGACAGCCTTCCCCATTTCAAAAACTTGAACAAAAATTCCACAATAATATCAAATATCCATTTGGTGTTCATATTTCTCTGAATACTCAAAATTATTTTCAACAATTGGCTTATTTTGATAGGAACCAAAATCCACAATTGGGCTGATTGTGTTATCTCTACACTGCCTTTAATATATTGCTTCCTTTTTCTCTGTTTTTTCTTCTTTCATTTATTAAGGACACAGAGCTGTTTGTTCTACAGAAATCCCTCATTCTATATTTTGCTGATTAAATTGCCATGGTGCTGTTTAGCATGTCCTTCTGTCCTGTATTTCCTGTATTTGATTAAATTTGGAAGCTTGAAAAAAAAAGAAAAAAGTCAAGTGCTGTGGATCTCAGTCTAGGGCTCCTTTGCATGACCCACTTTGTGGCGTGAACTTGGAGCTCAGTTGATCTGCAATGTCTCATCAACATAAATAACTGCTTGGCGGGTAGAAACCTCAAAGGGCACACAATTTTGTATTAAAGAGTAAGACCTGGAGAATTCAAATCCAAGTCTATTCTACTATGTAAATTAGCCAATTTCACGATGGATAATAGGAAGCACTACTTTTCAACGCCTGTCTGAAACTAGGAAGTCTTTTGCAGCAGTATATTTTGTTTGTAGCAAAACATCTTTTACTGTGCACTCCCAGAATCATGATCCCATTTTCCAAAGTGTTAGTTCTGAAAATATAACCAGCTGAAAGAAATTCATTCCTTTACATAAATTAATTTTGCAGAAAATTTTTCGTAGACACCTCCCTTAAAGGCTAACACTAAATGAGATACAGTTATGCTTGCAACTACAATTTATCTTAGTTAACGGGCCTTTTTGCTCTGTGAGGGGGAATTTTAATCTTCTGTCAAAGCAAAGGGACTTGGGAGTGAGCAGGTATGTCGAACTGTCCACAAAGAAAATAACCAGAGAAACCAGTTTAAACTAATTCAAGGCAAGGGGGAAGTTGCCATCTGTAGGAAGTATTTTGGGGCTTTATCTCCAGATTAATCCTGTGTATTGTCTCCTGACATATAATCCCCTTGCCCTCCCACTTAGCAATACGTTCGCTCATTGTTGTAGTTGATATATCTCCCTACAGAAATCAGGAGTCCCACCAAACAACCAATTTTACTAGAAAGGTCTCAAATCCAGGGTGTTCAATATAGAAATAGTTCCATGCCGATTGATAAGTAGCTGCTTCTCCAAGCCCCTTTGAGTGCTCCCTACCACACTAGCCTGACCATCCTAGGCCTGGAGAGCCCCAAACGAGTGTTGCCTGGGCACTTAGTGTCCATTGGCCTTCAAGCTAGCCCACTACAACACCCATGCACCAGCATCCATCTTTATGTATCCTCCTAGCCAGAGAAGGCTCAATCCCCTGCTAGGGAGATGACACTCCAGCGGGCAATGTTGGCACCCACTGAACAAATGCTCAAGTGTCCATCTGGTCTCCAAGGCTGTGGCCCACCATTGCAGGCTCGCA
Organism: Homo sapiens; assembly: GCF_000001405.40. NCBI lineage: Eukaryota > Metazoa > Chordata > Mammalia > Primates > Hominidae > Homo > Homo sapiens. The sequence goes on from NC_000023.11 coordinate 16,533,468, forward strand.
CTTTCTAGCAGTTGCCCTTGCATGGACACCTGTGGAAACTACATCCTCCGCATAGTACCAAAAAGATTATTCTATATTTTGAATACCACCTCTGATTGAAAGCATGCTCACTATTTTATTTTCTCCAACATATTTCATTTTCATTGAGTGCAACGCTGTTCTATTTTCTTCAAGAAAACATGCATCCTCATTCCCTCACTCCAACATGAAAAGTCCACATGAACTTTCTGAAATGATTCATTTCACAGAAGAATCTGAAATTGCTTCCAATCTCTGCAGTTCTTCCCTATGCTTGCATTTCAGTTAAGATGACTATAGGAAGGTGCCCCTCATCTCCATCTCCAAAGAGAAAGAAGAACATGCATAAGAAGTTTGCCTCTCTGAGTTCTCTTATTTTTCTCCCTCTAACCCTCATTGTCTACAATGCTGTGAAGAAAAAGTTCATTTCATTAAATATATTAATAGAGGGAAGTGGAATGACATAAATAATACGCCATTGGATGTTTAAACAAGACCAAGCTAGTTTTATTAAAAACAGTTTGCCACACAGATTTAAGCAATTATACGTTTATGTGATTGTTTCTCTTCTCTCTATAATTCTCTCTCTGGCTAGATACTATTGTCTGTCATAGACTATGGCAAAATATCATCTTTCCCCACCTTGTTTTTCCCTTAAGCTATCTAATTCTTAGTGTTTGACTTCATAAACTGCAAGATATTTCAGGAATATAGATGTTAGATTATGGCAGAAACACCATTATTTTGATTTATTTCTCGCCTGTTGTTTAGTGCTTTCTATTTCCTGCTATTTCTATACTTTCTTCTTTTTAAATTCTTTTTTTTTTTTTTTTTTCCCAGACGGAGTCTCGCTCTGTTGCCCAGGCTGGAGTGCAGTGGCACGATCTCGGCTCACTGCAAGCTCCGCCTCCCGGGTTCACGCCATTCTCCTGCCTCAACCTCCCAAGTAGCTGGGACTACAGGCACCCGCCACTGCGCCCGGCTAATTTTTTTTGTATTTTCAGTAGAGACGGCGTTTCACCATGGTCTCGATTTCCTGACCTCGTGATCTGCCCGCCTCGGCCTCCCAAAGTGCTGGGATTACAGGCGTAAGTCACTGCGCCCGGCTTTTTTAAATTCTTTACTTCTTTTCTGTTAATTAAGGCTTTCTTTCTTTATTCCTATTGGTTTGGAAGCTATAGATACTATTCCTTTCGTGATTTTTCCTTGAAATTTTAATATTTTAACATTCATATCTTGCTCAACAAAGTTAAATTAAAATATTTCTATTCTAGGCCAGGCGCGGTGGTTCATGCCTGCAATCCCAGCACTTTGGGAGGCCGAGGCGGGCAGATCACCTGAGGTCGGGAGTTCGAGACCAGCCTGACCAACATGGAGAAACCTTGCCTCTACTAAAAATACAAAATTAGCCGGGTGTGGCGGTGCATGCCTGTAATCTCAGCCACTCAGGAGGCTGAAGCAGGAGAATCGCTTGAACCCGGGAGGTGGAAGTTGCGGTGAGCCGAGATCACGCCATTGCACTCCAGTCTGGGCAACAAGAGCAAAACTCTGTCTCAAAAAAAAAAAAAAAAAAATCTTTATTCTAAAGCAATGTAATCCATAGAAGAATTTTTTTTTTTTTTTTGGACATAGGGTGTCACTCTGTCACCAAGGCTGGAGTGCATTAGTGCAATCATGGCTCACTACAGCTTCCACCTCCTAAGCTCAAGTGATCGTCCCACCTCAGCTTCCCAAGGAGCTGGGACTACAGGTGCAAGCCACCATGCCCTGCTATTTTTTTAATTTTTTGTAGAGATGGGGGTGGATCTCACTATGTTGCCCAGGCTGGTCTCAAACTCCTGGGCTCAAGCACTCCTCCTGCCTCAGCCTCCCAAAGTGCTGGGGTTACAGACGTGGGCCACTGTGCCCGGGCCACAGAAGGGTTCTTTTCTGATCATCTCCACTCTTCTTTTACATTGCTTTGGATCAACGTTTTAATTTTGCCTCTCTTCTGTTTCCAAGAGTTAATATTTGTATAGTTATTTCACATTATCAGCATTTTCGATTTGCCCATCTGTTTACCAATTTTTAATCATCACTCCTTCTTGCATCTTACTTCATTCTGGATTCAACTTACTTCTTACTGAAGTACATACCTTTGTAGCTTTTTCAGTGAGAGTATGTGAGTTGTAGATTTAATTGTTGCTTCTCTGAAAACATTTCTCTTTGACTTTCATTCTTCTATGATAGTTTAGTTGCATATAAAATTCTGGATGGATCATAACTTTATCTCAGCAGGACAAATATTGTACTATATTATGACTTCTTTTGTTGCAATTGAGACATCTGCTTTCAATCTAATTGTCTTTCTTTCATAGGTAACCTATTTATTTGTTTTTTCCTCTCTGGTTCCTTTTAAACTTTTACTTCATTTGCCATTTGACCACTATGTGTCCTCGCGTGGATTTATTTTTTTAATTATTTTACCCAGAACCAATTCTGGAAAATTTGGGGCCATTATCTCTTTGAATATCACATCTTCCCCATTCTCTCTCTCTCTCATTCATTTCTTCTTCTGGAACTTCTCCTGGGTATATATTTTAGAAGTCCTCATTTGCTTTTCCATTTCTTTGTTTTTCCTCCTTTTATATTTTTCATCTCTTTAACACTCTGTTACTTTCTGAGAAATTTATTCAGATCCATATTTTAGTTTATTGATTCTCTCTTGAGCAGTGTTTAACATGCTGTTAAAGTCCATTAAGATTTTAATTTCAACAAACATATATTTTAATTCTAGAAGTTCTATATGTCTTTTTAAAATCTGCCTAGATATATAGAGACTTAGTCTCTTCTTGTGTTTTCAATTATTTCTTTATGTCTTAGGTAACTTCTTTTATAATGTTTATCCAGTAATTCTATAATCTGAAATTCTTGGGGTTCTAATTTTGCTGCTTTTTGTGTCTGCTAACTCTTGCTCTTCATGGATTTCCATTAGTTTTTTAAATTTCAAATTATCAGCTCCTGTTCAGTGGGATTTTTATCTGTGAGATTACATGTTGCTTAGGTTGAAGATGTGGTCCTCCAGAGAGTTTTCATCAGGAACCCCAAGATATTATCAGCCTGGACCACATTTCTTGCCTATTTCTTGAGTTGGGGATTCACTTTTAATACAGGTAATGTAAATTCAAGATCCAAATTACAAGGAGGCATGCCCATAGTTGCAAGTTCTCAAGAGAATTTGTTTCCCCACAGAAGACAAAAACACGATAGACAAATTTCCTTATTGTCTCCCATGACAGTTGATAAGAGATTATTTTCTGATAAAACTTTCCTTGAGCTCTTCTAGAGTTCCAGATTTATGATAGTGTCTCAGTTCCATCTCCCTACCTTGAATCATTCCAAAGCCTCCTCTCCTGTCTGTACAAGGCCTCTAAAACTCAATTCTCATGGTTCTTGGGACTGGCAACCCCTCTCCGCAACCTTCCTGAGAGCATCCAAAGATTCAGTTTCCATTTTTCAGTCTTGGGATTGAGGAATGGGTTGGTTTCTCTTTATTTTTGCCCTCTCTCTCCCCCAGAGATTTTCTTTACTTTCCTGTGAACTCAGCTCTATATCCAAAATGAAGCTAGCTATAGATTATTCAGCACTTCCATTTGTTTTGTATTGGGAGGATTGTCTGATCCTCTTGCTCGCCACGGTGTCATGAGTAGGTCTTTACAATCATAGGTCATAACTGAGTTTTAACTATGATTATGTGTCTGAAGAAGAAAATAAAATTTACCCAGGTTGGTTTTGGTCCAAACAATATTTATCTGCCTTCAAAAGAGTTTTGCATCTAGAAGAATATCAAGAGATAGGTACTGGCTTGTGCATTTAGTCAATTATATGAGAGAGTAGCAACCTGGAAAAATTATTGACTCACCACATTAATCTGATATAACTAGAGCTTTGTTCCTCTGGTTATTTTAACTCAATATGTAATATGTCAAAAATATACATAGTTTTCTGACACCCAGATATTAGCATAACTACTTTTTAAAATAATACAAACTTTATTGCTGAGCAGTTTTTATATAGTACAACTACCAAACTTTTGTTTCTCCTAGACAATAATTTTGCAGTGACTTTGATTTGTTCTTCATCTACAATTAACAGACAAAACAGAATTTCAGAAATGGAGTTTCTTGTTGCAACCATTGCCTAGACATTTATGAAACTCCTGGCAATTTTTTCAGGTATGTAGTATAGGGATCAAAAAAGCTAAATAGCCTCTGGCCCCATTATTACCTCCAAATAGGTAATAATGACATAAGCAGAAACATTCATGACCAAAACAAACAAACAAAAACTCTCTTATACATTGAGCTACAAACCATTTGGCTGCAATGTCCTTATTCCCATCCAAATATATATATATATACACATATGTGTATATATGCTATATATGTACATATTTTGTATTTATATATATATGTATATATAGCATATATATATATATATATATATATATACATACACATATATATATATATTTGGGGATCATTTTGATACCCTCGCATAAGGTTTGATATTTTATGGTTTCCAAGCTCTACACTCAGATAACAGTGATAAATGCAAATGATTTTCAAACACTTGATATTCTTTTTCCTTCTCTAGAAATATCAATAGTACTTTTGAATTGCTACCATTTGTCGGGCAAATGTTATGTGATAGGTAAATGCTAAAGACTTGCTACCTCATTTAATCCTCACACAACCCTATGCTTAGATGTTGTTCCCATTACACAATGAGGAAAGAGATCAGAAAATTTAACTAACATATTCAATCACTACGCTGCCTCAGGTTTGTTCTATTCTTAACTATCCTGCTGTGCAGGCTTGTGCCTTGCCCCTATTCAGACACCTGATGCCAATACCAAAAGGAACAGATGCTCTGAACAAAAATTGAAATTGACCTTGATCTGTGTGCTGGAAAAAATACTCAGTCTTTTTTCTCAAAATGAGAGAAGTTTTATTTCCTTGCAAATAAAAGTTCTCATTCACTCAACAAATATTCATTGACTGCCTATTCTTGTATGCCAGACTTCTGATTATTAAGTTAAAACTAAAATAGATATTACTCACTGGATCACTTAACGCTACACTAAGGAGGGTGAAAGGAGGAAAAAATGTAATCTAGAATATTCTCCTTAGCATAGCAAGAAACTCAGCTGAAACCTAAATTTCGTTCACCACAGAAATCAGGAATATTTAGGGGCTTGAGAGGTAGATTGGGGGTCCTTGAGGACATACAGAAATGTGCCTTTAAGGAGCCTCATCCTAAGAAAAGAGACTCATAAAGAACAATTTGGGCACTAGGATAATGGACAAGATAAGAGAAGGAGGCAGGTCTTCAGATCATCTGGATTTATGATGCAGTTCCACAACCAAGGGGCTAAAGCAAAGGAGCTAGCAAAACACATGAGAGCTGAAATGCCAGGTGTCAATTGTGGCAGCTCCTTTCATGGGCAACAGGACCCACTGCCCATGGCTCTTGCAGCAAAGGGAGATTGTGCCTTCCTAGGACAGGCATCAGTGCCCTCAGCATGGGGCATGGGACTTGAGCAGCTTCAAGACAAACATCAGTTCTAGCCTCATTTTGTTTTGTTTTTTAATTTTTAATAATTGTATAATAGAGCCAGGATCTCACTATATTGCCCAGGCTGGAGTGCAGCAGCTATTCACAGGTGAGATACCACTACTCATCAGCACAGGAGTTTTGATCTGTTCCTTTTCCAACCTGGGCCAGTTCACTTCTCCTTAGGCAACTGGTGGTCCCTCTCTCCCGAGAGATCACCATATTGATGCTGAACTTTGTGCAGACACTACATTGGCATGGCACACTACAGCCCAGAACTCCTGAATTCAAGCCATCCATCCGTCTCAGCCTCCCAAGTAGCTGGGACTATAGGTGCACACCACCGTGCCAAACCTGGCCTCATTTTGAATGCCACCAACAGTGACCCAGCTGCCATCTTGGGCACTAGCAGTATGAAGAGACTTTCCCATAGAAGTCTGGAGAAGAGAGGAAACAAATAGGTGCCATGGGGTGGACAGCTTGTGGAGCCTTCATGAGATACCTCCTTGAGAATCCCAAGACCACCTAGAAGGAATTAGACCAGAGTTCCAACAGAGTGCAGGATGTGGAGGCTGAGCCTAGGTATTGGAGTGTCATTTTCTTCCAGTTTTATATTAAGTAAATTTGCCATTTTGCAGTATGAGAAGATAAAGGAAGTCTCACTTTATGTGCAAAATGTGAACTGTCATAATTTTTTAAATTTCAGAATCTCATAATTTCATAGTTGCATGGCCAAGTGAATTTCATACTGATTTATCCAATTGTCACATGGCACAACCTTGTTAGCTATTAAACAGAAATAATGCTCCTATTAGAATATTCACATGAATTGTGTGGGTTTTGAATTACACAAAGTTTATGAGCTTAGTTGCTATTGTTTTAACCTATTCAACCTCCAGAATGATGTGGCTGGGATGCCTGGGTTATATAGGCAGCAGAGACAAAAGAGATCAATGCATTACATATAGCCATTCTAATCAATGAGAAAAGTGTCTTTTCCTTTCATTCCAATAAATTAATGCCTCATTTGTTACAACATGGCATTTTCTCAGAAGACTCCTGGAAATAAGTTAAGTAGGAGTTGAATTTTTAAGCTAGCTCCTGTAGAGATTTATCACCTAAGTAACCATTATACTGATGTGGCTGTAATATTTTTATTTTTCAATTCATTGGTGATTACGCCAGTCTATTCTTCATCTCCCTATGGGCTTACTTCTGTCTGCCCACTCAGAAGCCTCCCCTGGCCATAAGCAGTTCATGAGCCTTTTGTAAAGAATCTTCTGAAATAAAGAGACTGGGTATGCCATAATGGATCTTTGTTTTTGTTTTTGTTTTTTTTATGGCAAAGGTAAAGTCATTGAGATGAGCAGGCTCTTACAGCAAGTTCTGTTTGTGAAGGAAAGAAAGAAAAAGAAAGAAGGAAAGGAAAGGAAAGGAGAGGAGAGGAGAGGAGAGGAGAGGAAAGGAAAAAGGAAAGGAAAAGAAAGGAAAGGTAAGGAAAAGAGAAAGAGGCCGGGCGCGGTGGCTCACGCCTGTAATCCCAGAACTTTGGGAGGCCGAGGCGGGTGGATCACGAGGTCAGGAGATCGAGACCATCCTGGCTAACACGGTGAAACCCCGTCTCTACTAAAAATACAAAAAAAAAAAAAATTAGCCAGGCGTGGTGGTGGGCGCCTGTAGTCCCAGCTACTCAGGAGGCTGAGGCAGGAGAATGGCGTGAACCCCGGAGGCGGAGCTTGCAGTGAGCCGAGACTGCGCCACTGCACTCCAGCCTGGGCGACAGAGTGAGACTCCGTCTCAAAAAAAAAAAAAAAAAAAGGAAAGAGAAAGAAAGAGGAAGAGAGAGAGAGAGAGAGAGAGAGAAAGAAAGGAAAGGAAAGAAAGAAAGAGAGAGAGGGAAAGGAGGAAGGGAGGAAGAAAGAGAGGAAGAAAGGCTTTGGAATTATTTTAGTAACCACAGAGTATAAAGAGTTGGGCCTGCACTGTCCAATATGGTAGCCACTGGCCACAGGAGGATATTAAAAAAGAATGAAATCATGTCCTTTTCAGCAACATGGATGGAGCTGGAGGCCATAATTTTAAGTGAATTAACATAGAAACAGAAAACCAAATACCACATGTTCTCACTTATAAGTGAGATCTAAACATTCAGCACACATGGACATAAATATGGTAACAATGGACACTGCAGACTACTAGACGAAGGAGGGAGAGGAGGGGTTTGAAAAACGACCCATTGGGTACAATGCTCACTACCTGGGTGCAATACACCCATGTAAGAAACCTACACGTATACTCCCTGTATCTAAAATAAAAGTTGAAATTTAAAATATTAATAAATAAATAAATAGAGCTAGCCTGAGTTGAAATGTGCTTTAGATGTCAAACATATACTGGATTTCAAGGATTTAATATTTTTTTAATTGTAAAATATCTCATTAATAATATTGTATATTGAGTAATAATAGTTTGGATATATTGGGTTAAATAAAATATATTACTGAAATAGAGTTCACCTATTTCTTTTTGCTTTTTTTTTTAAGAGATAGGGTCTCACCTTGTTACCCAGGATGGACTCGAACTCCTGGGCTCAAATGATCCTGCCTCAGCCTCTCAAGTAGCTGGAACTACAGGTACATACCACCATGCCTGGCTTCCTTTTACTTTCTTAATATGACTAATAGAAAATTTAAAAACACATATGTGTCTCACATTATATTTCTCTTCAACAGTACTGAGTTAGATATTGCCACTACTCTGCCTTCATCATTTATTTCTCCCCCTTTATATAGAGGCCATGATGGGGCTGGGTAATTTATCACTTTTCCATCAGGGGAGGTCCAGGTATCACCAGAATATTTCTGGAATATTCCCAGGGATTGTGTGTGTCCTGGCTGTCCCTCTGAACCCCATTCATGCTTCGACCACCTCAGAACACAGCACCTTCTCCCATCTCCCCCACCCACCCCAGTCCCAAGTTTCAACTCCCTAAGAACTCATGTTTCCAGGCTCACAAAAGAAATAATAAATTCTTTCACAAAATTATTTTTCATGGACGCATGCCTTTTCTTAGTGAGACAGATTTCAAAGAAGGAATTTTTTCCTCATTTTTTCAACCTCTCTCACCTGACTCAGCTCTGGGTCTCTCCTTTACAAAACCAAAGGCTCTGCCCAGCTTGGCCAGCATGGTGTAGTAGCTCAATCACAGCTCCACTATAGCCTCGTTCTCCTGGGTTCAAGCAATCCTGCCTCAGCCTCCCAAGTAGCTAGGACCACAGGCTGGTGAGACAGGGTTTTGCCATGTTGCCCATGCTGGTCTTGAACTCATGGGCTCAAGCAATCTGCCAGCCTTGGCCTCCCAGAGTATTGGGATTACAGGTGTGAGCCACTGGGCCTGACTCTTGAACCATTAGTTAGGATTCAATACTCATGCATTTAGCCCCTTCTGTGGGCCAAGCATTGTGCTGGGGCAGAGGGATGCCACAGACCTGGGGACAGGCTTTGGCTCTGCCTCCCACCCTGGGTATTTCTGCCCAAATGATAGGCCTGGGGTGGCAGTGCCTATGAAGGGAGTCAGTTACCTCCACCCTGCCCCAGAAACCCCCCCAACTGGTACCTTAGCAGAGGGAGAAGGGTGTCTCCGGGCAGGCCCACATTGCCCTGTGGCTATAAGGAGAAGAGCACTAGATAGTGATAGCCTTTGATGATGACTTTTTAAAATTCCCATAGCACATTTTAATGGAAACACTTTTTCATTAACTTAAATATATTCCTTGGAGAAATGGCTGTTTCCAGGTCTGGAGCAGGAAAGGCACAAGACATCATATGAGAAAGCAAAGGTTTCAAAGATTAATAGGAGGGGTCCACAGGACACAGAAGTTAGCACCTACCTTGCAAAGTCATAAAATTTGAAAATTAAGAATAATGGACTGCTGGCTCCACTCAAGATAGGGTAAGGACACTCCACTTCATCTCTTCTTCTGATTATAACACAAAACCCTAGACAAGATACACAAAGTAACTACCAGAAGACTCTAAAAGGTGGATGTATCCATTTTCTTTTGCCATTGTAACAAATTATCACAATTTTAGGGCTTTAAAACAACACAAATTGATTATTTTACAGTTCTAGAGGTCAGAAACCTAAAATGGACGGGTAGGCTGTGTTCCTCCTGGAGGCTGTAGAGCAGAATCCATTTTTGTTCCTTTCCAACTTCTAAAGGCTGCCTGCATTCTTTGTCTCATGGCACTTTCCTCACACCACTCTGATTTCTGCTTCCATCATCACGGGTCCTCTGGCTCTGACCCTTTTCCTCGGCCTCTCTCTTATAAGAGCCTTGTGATTACATTGGGCTCAACCAGGTAATCCAGGATAACATCTCCATTTAACTTAATCAGGCTTGCAAAGTCCCTTTTGCCATGTAAAGTCACATAGTCATGGGTTCCAGGGATCTGGACATGGATATCTCTGGGGAGGGGCATGATTCTGCCTACCACATTGGATAAAGAATAGGTAGGCTGGCTAAGAAATTCAGGTCTTGGCCGGGCGCAGTGGCTCACGCCTGTAATCCCAGCACTTTGGGAAGCCGCGGCGGGTGGATCACGAGGTCAAGAGATCAAGACCGTCCTGGCCAACATGGTGAAACCTGTCTCTACTAAAAATACAAAAATTAGCTGGGCATGGTGATGTGCGCCTATAGTCCCAGCTACTCGAGAGGCTGAGGCAGGAGAATCGCTTGAACCCGGGAGGCAGAGGTTGCAGTGAGCTGAGATCATGCCACTGCACTCCAGCCTGGCAACAGAGTGAGACTCCATCTCAAAAAAAAAAAAAAGAAACTCAGGTCTTAGGCAAGTCGTGGTGGCTCACACCTGTAATCCCAGCACTTTGGGAGGCCAAGGTGGGAGGATCACTTGAGCCTAGGAGTTTGAGACCAGCCTGGGCAACATGGCGAGACCCCGTCTCTACTAAAAATGAAAAAAAAAAAAAAAAAAGAATTAGCCAAGTGTGGCAGCACACACCTGTACTCCCAACTACTCAGGAGGGTGAGGTGGGAGAATCACTTGAGCCCAGGGCTTTGAGGTTGCAGTGAGCTATGATTGGGCCACTGTACTCCACTCCAGCCTGGGTAAAAGAGCAAAACACTGTCAAAAAAAAAAAAAAAGAAGAAGAAGAAGAAGAAGAAACCCAGGTCTTGAAGGATGAACTGAAAGTGAGTTCCCTAGGTTTCTTCTTTTCTTTTTCCTTCCATAGATAGATAGACAGAGAGAGAGATGGGAATCTTTATATCTATAGATAGATGGATATATTTTCTTCTATATATCTATATATAGCTCAAGCTCTGGGGTAACCTGCAACCCAGAATTGAGAGAGGGCACAGACAAAGGTAGCTCTAGGGAAAGCCTGCTGTCTTCAGCCATTGGGCCAGGTGGTGGGCTTCTGCAGGCTGTTGCCCTTGGAACTTTCCCTGTCCTATGCCAGGCAAGGACCAGCAATGAAGCAACAGCAGGAAATCTCCAAACTTATGAACAGAAATGTCTTCCTTGGGATTATAGAACCAAATCAAATAAAAACATTATCGACAGAAAATGCCATTAAGTCCTTGAGTTCTAAGAAGGCTCTTGGAAAATTAAAAACAAGAAAGAAAAGGAAAAATTCTTCAGGCGGAAGATAAGTATCAGTCATGGAAATGTAGAAGAGAAGAATATGACTCATGAATTTCAGATACAGGATGAAAATGGGTATTTAACAATTATACAAAAGATAGAATTAGGCAATTGCTGGATATGATGCTGAAAACAGAATCCCAAGTCAGCTAAAGCCCATTTCCGCCTATTTCTATTTCTTTAGAATGTTCCAAGAAAAAATTTCAAATACCCAACTATCGTACAATTTCAGATTCCTTTCACAGAGTCATAAATCAAGCCAGAAGAAATTCCAAAAACTATTTAAACCAATTATCTGTTCCAGGAACGAGCAACACTTAACTGACTCAAAAGAAAAATTCAAAGGCATTTTGGAGGCACTTCTACCACCTCCTTTGTTCCCCTTTCTGAAGCACAGCCCATCTCAGAGATGCCAGCTGTGGCTCCTTGGCACCTAGGAGGCCAGAGAGAAAGGGTCATGCGTCCCAACCAGTGTCAAAGCCTGAGCAAGTCCTGAATTCTCCCTGTGATCTCTGCTTATTCCCAGAGTTGCTCTCTTGAGGTCAGGCTGTGATGTTCACCTATTCCATCTCTGATCTGTCCCAAGTCACCCCGCTATGCAAAAATTAGTTCATTCACCAGTTCCCGTAAGGACCCACTCACTTCAGGCATTTTGTGGGTTTTAATATAATATTTTCAAGGTTTAAGAGCTTGCGGCAAGAGATCACACATGAACATGCAAGAACCTCTCCCATCTCTTATTCTCTTTCTGGAATCCTGTCTCAGTGTCTCCTCTTCATCCTGCATGGATGATCTCCCCACTCCCCAACTCCAGATTTTAATTTATTCATAAAAGTGTCTCTCTCTCTGCCTCTCTCTCATTCATGCGCAGTCATCAAGGACCTCCCAGTCACTGCTGCAAGCAGGCAAGACTTCCAAACAACTATAGAACTCTTATAAAGAACTTTGATGCATTAAATTATCTCTATCCCAGTCCACCTATCCAAGTAGGATCATTTCTGAATTTAGAGTCAATATCCCGTGGTACTGTTCTCACAATCCCTCACTAAAGTCCTTGTAAGGAGTAAGTTATGTAAAGCACTACCTGGTTTCTACATGCTGACGTCCAGTTTCTACCACTGATAGGTTTTATGTCTTCTTCAGTTTTCTATTGCTTTTATTGCCTAAGCCTCAAGTAGGGTTCCCCCAAGAAGCAGGCACTGAGATAGGTATTTGAATGCAAGTAGCTAATTTAGGAGGTGATCCCAGGAAGCTCTGGCAGGGGAGGTGGGAACATGAAACAGGAAACAGAAAGAAACCAATATAGAATGCATTTGTGAGCAGTTTATCACTATGGACAAATGGGAGCTTATCCTGCAGGGGATCTCTGGGAGATCGTGTCAAACAGGCCTTTCCAGGGGCAAGAAAGCTGAGATATTCATCCACCAACCCCTCCATCATTGGTTGAGGGTATCCCCTGGGGGCCTTCAGATCCTGCCACCTCTGACCCACCCTGCACAAGGCCCTCCCCTGTAGCCAGAGAAAGCCCTCAGGTAGAGTTGCAAGTGCCAGTAAGAAGCCACTGGCACTAATGGGTACTGGAAAGTTGAGTGCTTCAGAGTGTGGGTGGTACTCTACTTTCATCTGCTATGATGAATACCCTAGACCTGTTCAGCCTAGACTGTTCTCCTGCACTAGCCCCTGATGGAGCTTTTCCTATATAATATCAAACTGGCATAATACAACTAACTTGCACTCCAATCACCCAGCATGGTTGGCTCTTCTTCTTCTATTCTCTGGGAACAATTGCATAAGGATCCCTGTAACCTAGTGAACACAAGCAGAGAAGGCAAAGAACATGCAAGTCAATGAAATATATGTGATATGCATCACTGTTTGCTGACACGGTAGATGACATTTAATTCCAATGCTCTTCCCGCCATTTTGACAACTTGCTTATCCCAATGAACTTTATCACTGTCATTCTGGATTTACAAGAAAATTCCCATTCATCATCAAAAGTAAAAAAAAAATCCATTAGCAGGAAAGGAAATGTCTGTAGAAGTGATATTGGATTCAGATACCTTGACCTCAGGTAAAGTGAGATTTCCAGTAATGCATTATGATTTTTTTTGTCATAAACTTTTGATCTCAAAACATGATTTACTCTTATTTGAGTTTGCATGAATGTTAGATAATGAAATGATTTAAGTAAAATTAAGTAATTGTATAAGTGTCTTTCTCAGCTGGAGCCTGAAGTGGTGATATTTGTCTTTTTCACTCTGCCATCTCCCATTCTTTTGGCAAATTCCTTCAACATTCCCAACCAGGGTCCCGATATTTCAGTAGAAAGCAATGGTGTATACTGGAATGGAGGATGCTTAGGAGGTACAGGTGAAGCACTTTTGTGGCCCCACCCAGGTCTTTCCCAACATGTTCCTAATTTATATTTCCCACTCATCTCACCTCTCAAAGTCCCTACTCCAGCTATATCTCATGCATATAACAAACTAACTTATATTAAGGCATAAATAGCTAAAAAGAGCTTAATGCTTTACAATTCCTTCAACATACTTTGCATTTTAAAAAGCACTGTTATTACTAGTGAAATCTTAGGTGATGTGTGGAAAAGACTGCAGACTTTTTTTGTAGGAAGGCCTTTAGTGGCACCTGTCAAATGTCAAATCCCTCTCTTTCGGTAACTACCTTTTCTATCTTATATCAATCTTTGAGGGGGTCCTAATAAAAATGTTGTGAGACAACTGAGTGAATTGTCTATTTGAATAAGGGATAGGTTAGAATATAAATACACTTCTCTGCAGGATGTCCCTTTTAAGTTTAATTTCTATGGAGTTCTCTTTGTTTATCCCATCATGGTCCCAGAGAAAAAAAAACACAAAGAGAAGAAATCCTGAAAAGTAATTAAGTAGTAATGTGTGGTGAAGTCTCTGACAGAAAATAAGTTTGTAGAAAAGTAATTCCCCAGAGACTATCCAACCCATCTTATGCTGCCTAAGGCATAGACTGTTGGTTGTTCTCTAACATCCATTCTTCCTCTCTTACAACCCCTGATTTTCAGCTAGGCACATGGTCACCAGCCTAAGGCTACATTTCCCTGCCTCCTGTTCAGCAAAGTTGGCCATGTGACTAAGTTCTAGCCAATGAGCTAGAAATGTGATGTCATCTAGTGATTTTTTTCATCTAGTGATCTTATCTGACGAACTTTCTTAACAACAAGAGCACATGTTTTGCCCCTTCTCTCACCACCTTCACCTTCCTACATCCAGCTGATTAACATGTTGATGTGATGACTCTAGCTTTAATTGAACCATTAGGATGAGGCCATGCCCCAGGGATGGCAGAGGGGAGAGAGAGCTGGAAGTAGCCTGAGCTTCTAATGACTTCGTGGAGCAGAAGCATCACAGGAGCCCTAGAAGCCTCCCCTCAGACTTCAAAGACATCAAAGTGAGAAGCACAACAATTTCCATTGGAGGTTTAGTTTAAAAATTGCACTCAACTTCTCATAGGAGAGAATGTCCCATACATCATGCAGGCACATTCCCAGACCAGAAAACTAATTTTATTACATATGTCAATACCCTGATGTTATCCAGAAGGTGTTTTTTGTTTTTTTGGTTTTTTGTTTTTTTGTTTTGAGACGGAGTCTCGCTCTGTCGCCCAGGCTGGAGTGCAGTGGCGCAATCTCGGCTCACTGCAAGCGCCGCCTCCCTGGTTCACGCCATTCTCCTGCCTCAGCCTCTCCGAGTAGCTGGGACTACAGGAGCCCGCCACCACGCCCGGCTAATTTTTTGTATTTTTAGTAGAGACGGGGTTTCACCGTGGTCTCGATCTCCTGACCTCGTGATCCGCCCGCCTTGGCCTCCCAAAATGCTGAGATTACAAGCGTGAGCCACCACGCCCGGCCTATCCAGAAGGTTTTTGTAATATTCTTCTCTCTTATCATTTCATTATGAATTTTTATTTTTAATTGACACATAATAATTGTACACATGTATACATAGTGTAATGATCAAATAAGGGTAATTAGCATATCTACAACTCAAACATTTATTGTCTGTTTATTTATTTATTTTTTGAGGCAGAGTCTCGCTCTGTTGCCCAATCTGGAGTGCAGTGGCATGATCTCCACTCACTGCAAACTCCACCTCCTGGGCTCCAATGATCCTCCCACCTCAGCCTCCCAAGTAGCTAGGACTATAGACAAGCACCACCACAGCCAGCTAATTTTGTGTATTTTTTGTAGAAACAGGGTTTCACCATGTTTCTCAAGTGGTTGCTCATGCTCAACCACTTATCATTTCTTTGTGGTGGAAAGCTTCAACACCCTCTCTCCTAGCTATTTTGAATATACATTACCTTATTGTTAACTGTTTTCATCCTACTGTGCAATAGAATACCAGAAGTTTTTCCTCCTATCTAATTGTAACTTTATACTTGTTGACCAACCTCTCCTTGTCCCCCTCATTATGATTTTTGATGCCTGGATAATTAGAGCATCAGAGAAAAGTGACAAGAACATAGCCAGTGTAATAACTTGTTAATTTAAAAATAATAATAATGAATAATCAGAATCATGAGTTTAATATTGGCTTTATCTCCACATTAGCAAGAACTCTTTTGGAAGCTGGGGAAAATAAGACGCCTAAAGGCACTGGAAATATCTGTAATACACTGTACCTTATGAATAAACAAGTAAATGAGCAATTAGATGAATCCCAGAAGGTTTAATGACTTTTCTATTCCAATATATTAATAAATTCTAACATTCAGGTTGCAATAAGACCAAAAGGTTTTTTCATGAAGCAACTAATATGGTCATATACGTTTTAGGAAGAAAAGAAGACCCCCATCACCAGGCATAGTGGTGTGCACCTATAATCCCAGCTACTCAGGAGGCTGAGGTGGGAGGATCACTTGAGCCTAGGAGTTTGAGATCAGCCTGGGCAACATAGTGAGATCATATCTCAAAAAGAAAGAAAAAAGGCTTATATTGCTCACAGTTAGGCTAAAAAAAAGACCCCAAAATCCCTATTTTTGATATTGCCTTTGTTGAAATCAGCTTATTACAGTGGCAGGCACGCATTGCTTCACAAGATATGACTTCACATAATGACAAATGTGAGAGAATGACATTCTTCTTCATTGGATGGAAATATTGTATTATTTCAGTATGAAAAATCCAAATTGGAAAAAATAGGCCCACGAGCTTAACTAGCAGGACACTGGTTGTTCCCTAATGACTTAAAACAGGGGTCTCTCACTCTCCGTTTACATATCATTTTGCAATCCTCAGCCAAATCTTCTTGTGATTTTGTTTCACACATTGCTAAAAAACCAGATTCTCCTAGACACAGCAATTTCCCCAAAACGGTGTTCTTAACCTTGGCCCACATTAGAATCACCATTAAACTTTAAAAAAGACCCATGCCCAGGGCGAATCCCAGACCACCAACTGGTGTTATTCTAGAACCTCTTGAGGCATGGGTCGAGTCAGTAGCATTTTTCATATCACTCCAGGTGATTCTAAGGAGTAGCCTGGGGTGTGACCTCCTGCCGCAAAGAAGCCCCACTCCACCAGTGTGGCTGGAGCACACATCTTGCTTGAGTTAAAATATTAGACTAAAAGTAAATCATGCCATCCCTTCCCCACAAACAGATCATATTTAGAGTTCCCCCTCACATTCTCCTACCTGCTTCATTTTAAAATAAAGGTATTGTCACAGCCTGACGCCCCTCACCAAAAAAAAAAAAAACAATGTGAACAGCAGGTGTTGCAGCAAAGAAAAAGTTAAATAATCTCAGGGCTGGCCAAGTGAGAAGAACAGGGAGAAATTTCTCAAGCCTATCTCCCTGAGAATTCAGAGGCTAGGGTTGTTTAAGGGCACTTTGGTGGGCAGGGGATTAGGGAACTGGAACAATTGATTGGCTGGGGATGAAATCACGGGGTGGCCTAAAATTCTTTAAGCAGGTGAGTCAGTTCCCAGGAGTGAGGGGGTTCTCAGGACCAGGTGGTACCTCTTGGTCTACTGAAATGAAAAATCTGAAAAGTATCTCAAAGACCAGGTCTTTAGGTTTCACAATAATGATGTTATCTATAGGAATAGTTGGGGAAGTTACAAATCTTGTGACCCTGGTTACGTGACTCTGGGGCAGTAAGCAACTCACAGGAAAACACATTAAGCGATAGCAGGTCATTGTTTAACTGTGCCTATTCTTTATCAAACTCCAAGCCCCTACCATAATTTTAACCTTGCCTTATGAATGCAGCTTCAATCTCCGGACAAGGAGGGAGGTCAGTTTCCCTTGCTTCGAAATTCAACTGTCCACTAAATCCCTCTCGTAATTATCTTGGCTGCTGTGCTAGAATAAGCAAAACAAAAACAGAAACAAACAAACAAAAAAACAATTTAGCCTGTGAGGTTAGAAGCAAGATGGAGTCAGTCATGTTAGATTTACCTCATTATTTATAACTCTGCAAAGGCAGTTTTAGCATTGAGAAAAGAATGTTTTCCCAAAATAGTTCCCTTTCACAGTTTTGCAGTTTCTGGTTTAGCCCCAATCTTCTCTAGATAAAACTGGATTTGTCCTTAGGAGGACAGAGGAGAGGTTAAAACAGTCAAGGAGCACTGATTCTTGGCCCTGAGTGGAGATTGAGAGAACAAATCAACACTCTCCTTCCTTTCCACTAACCCTAACCTCCTCCATCTCCATGCATCCTCTGTCCCAGGTAAGGGTAAAAGCCTGCTGGTGCTCCTAGAACCATTTCTGTAAGAAAATCCAGGTAATAAATAGGGGCTGCATCCCCAAATCTCACTAAAACAAGAAAGGAAAATAGATGCTAATGTTGGTAAAGTCTTGAGGCTTCTCACTCACTGGGAGTCTTGCTATTTGAGAGTAATGTAATCTCTCTCTTCTCTAAGCACCAAGGTGGTGGTGGTTGTGCTACTGCACCCCAGACCCCAAGTTCTTTGGCACTTATGTAGGTAGAAATTTACACCAGGCCAAGATTTTCTCAGGCAAGGTTTGATAGGCTTGTGCCTCCAGCCCACAAGGGAGCAGCATACAGGAAAGGGATCCCGAGGGAATCAGCTCTTGTCATTTTAAAGAAGTTGAGGTGGGAAAAGGGACGTTTAGGTGGGGTCCAAGCATGTTTAGGTGGTGTATTAGTCTGTTCTCACGCTGCTAATAAAGACATAACCAAGACTGGGTAATTTATAAAGGAAAGTGGTTTAATGGACTCATGGTTCCACATGGCTGGGGAGGCCTCACAATCATGGTGGAAGGTGAAGGAAGAGCAAGGACACATCTTACACGGCAGCAGGCAAGAGAGCTTGTGCAGGGGAACTCCCATTTATAAAACCATCAGATCTCATGAGACTTATTTACTGCCGCAAGAACAGTATGGGGGAAACCACCCCTATGATTCAATTATCTCCACCTGGCCCTGCCATTGGCACATTGGGATTATTACAATTCAAGCTGAGATTTGGGTGGGGACACAGCCAAACCATATCAGGTGCGGTCTTTTCTATGCTTGCATAGTGGGACGTTGTGCTCTAACATGCATTGCATGACCAGAAAATGGCAGATAAGACCCACCTTGGGCAGAGAGTTAAGTATTACAGTGAAAGTATAATGAAGAAAAAGTTGATGAAAGGTTGGCACTGGAGTCCATCTTGTCTTCAGGCAGCTGAATTTGGTCAGGTCCTTATTGGGAATGCCAGAGTCTTGCTTAAGCAACCTCAGAAAGCATCACTCAAAGAGATAAATGGTTTGGTTCTTCCTTTTATGGTTAGGAACTCAGCCTGGTCAGCTAAATTAGGAGAGGTCTCCCTTCCTGCTACATGACTTGGATCGGTTTGTTAAGGGAGGCAAAAAGGCAGAGGAGGAATATGCTGGGACATGTGAGGCCACTGGGACCTGGGTTACCAAGCCACCTGTCTGCCAGGACTGAGTTTCTTCCCCATACCACCTCAGTTGGGGGAGAGAAGGATGTTAGAAGTTCCATTGTTGAGTAATTCTGGATGGACTCGTAATCCTGATTCACTCAGAAAATATGAAGATAATCTGATTCAAATTTCAAACCTGCTCTGCCATTGCTTTGCTGTATGACGAAATCAAAACCTGGAAAAGGGGATTGATATAAGAGACAATGGTGTATAACCAATTCAAAGGTTACACTGAGTATCTGTTAAATTATATAAAATTGTGCTGGATGCAGTGGCACACCCCATGTTCCAGCTACCTGGGAGGATTGCTTGAGCCCAGAAGTTCCTCCTGGGCAACATAGTAAGACACCATCTCTACAAAAAATTTTTTAATAAAAATTATATAAAATTGATTAACCTACTTTTAATACTTTTTCTTCTCTCCAACTAATCTTGAATCAGAGGCTTTCAGTAGTCACAGAGCAAGAAGAATTTCCATATTCAAAATGTTACACTTAAAATGTTGGAAATGTTTAGAATATTAAGTGATTAAACAAGCACTATTTCCTTGTTTAATTACATATAGCGTAAAGTGAATATTACCTTCAGATATTCAAATAAAAGACACAAAACACTGAACATAAGGGCAGTCAAGTTTTGATTACCTATATTCATGGGGAAAAAAAGGTGACCCAAATAATGGAAAATTAGAATATATTTCTGGAAGGAAAGACAAGTGTCAATTCTTCTAAAACTAATATATAAAATCCATTCAAATCAGCGGGAAGATGAGAATTTTTTAATGCCTGAAACAGTTTTCAAGTTCATATGGAAGAATAAATGTAAGAAAATAAAGCCAAAGAAAAATTAAAGAAAAATGGTAAGTGGATAGTATACCTTTCCAGATTTAAAACTTACTGTAAAACTCATTGTATAGTATCTGCATAGGAAGAGACAAATAGATGGCAGAACCAAGAATGGAGAATTCAGAAACAGATTCAAGTAAATATGGAACCTTACTATACAACAAGGATGGTATTGCAATTCATTTTTAAATAAATTGTGCTAGTATAAATGGTTTTTCATCTGAAAAGAAAAGTTATATCTCTACCTCACATTATATTTTTTTAAATTCCAAATGAGGATTACTGTTTTATGTGTAAAGAGTCTCAAAAATATTAGAATAAAAGAGAATCAATGGATAACCTTAGAATATGATCACCCTTCCTAAGCAAGACTCTAGTTCCAGTAAAAGCTACCATCTCATCTCACCTGGATTACAGCAATAAACTCTTAACAGGCCTGCCTGCATCTACTCGTGTTCCCTATAAAAGATTCCCCACACAAGTGATCTTTAGAAAACCCTGTGCAACTGGACACAGCAGGATCTCCTGTGGTTATGTTCTCCTTTCCATCCTTAAAGTTGTATATTTGTGCTTTTTCTCTTTGTTTGTTTTCTTGAACTTTTGGTCTTTATTTAGTTTTTTTAAATTGTATCTTTGTTTTCTATTTTATTTTTATTAATGCTTTCTTTATACTTTTATATCCAAGGGAATATAAATTGTTCTATCATAAAGACACATGCACAAGTATGCTCATTGCAGCACTATTCACAACAGCAAAGACATGGAATCAACCTAAATGCCCATCGATTCTAGACTGGATAAAGAAAATGTGGTACATATACACCATGGAATACTATGCAGCCATAAAAAAAAAAGAATGCGGTCATGTCCTTTGCAGGAACATGGATGGAGCTGGAGGCCATTATCCTTAGCAAACCAACGCAAGAACAGAAAACCAAATAACACATGTTCTCACTTTTAAGTGGGAGCTAAATGATGAGCACACATAGACACATAGAGGGGAACAACATACACTGGGGCCTACTGGAGGGTGGAGGGTGGAAGGAGGGAGAGGATCAAGAAAAATAACTATTGGTTACTGGGCTTAATACCTGAGTAATGAAACAATCTGAACAACAAACCCCTGTGACATGAGTTTACCCATGCAACAACCCTGCACGTGTGTCCCCAAATTTAAAATAAAAGTTAGTAAGTTTTACTGCTGTATTTGGATGCTTGATTCAAATTTTTAAGCTTTTCTTTCTTTCCAATGTAAGCATTTAAGACTGAAAATTTTCCTTACAGTACCGTTTAACCTGCTTCCTGCAGGTTTTGTCAGGAAGTATTGTCATCATTAAGTTGTATTTCCATCATAATTTCTTTTTTACTCATGATTATTTAGACATGCTTTAGTTAATTTCCAAACATATGGCTTTTCAAGACAGTTCTTACTGAAGTGCCACATAAATACTGAAAAATACAGAAATCAAAAGTACACACCTCAATGAATTTCCACAAAATGAATTTACCCCATGTACTCACTCTCAGAGCAAAATAAGGAATGTTATTAGTGCCAAATGCCCCCAGCATATCCACTCCAAATCATCACTTTCCCCAAAGGTAACCAATTATTCTTACTCCTATTGCCATCAGTAAGTTTTGTTTGTTTGGATTTTATATAAACAGAACCATACAGTATGCTCCATTTTGTATCTGATGTCTTTTACCTTTCACCAAATTTGTGAGATTCATCCATTTTGTTGCATGGATATACAACTCTTGATGGACATTTGGGCTGTTTTCAATGCTAGATTACTATGAATAGTGCTGTTATTAACATTTTGTAGGCATTTTTGCTGGGTATATACCTAGGAATGGAATTGTGTGTTTTAGCTATGCTTAGGTTCAGTTTTAGTAGATAGTACCAATTTTCCAGTATGGATGTACCAACTTACAATCATTTTACCGCCAGCAGAGAGTAAGAGGTTTTGGTGCTCTACACCATTGCAAACACTTAGCATGGTCAGTTTTTCCAGTGCTAGGATTTGGCAAGTATATAGTGACTTCTTAATGTGTCTTAGATTTGCATTTCCCTGATGAACTAATGAACCAAGCACCTTTTCTATGTTTTTTGGCAGCTCAGAGATTATCTTTTATGAAGTGTCTGTTCAAGTCTTTTATACTTTTTTTTTTGAGACAGGGTTTCACTCTGTCACCCAGGGTGGAGTGCAGTGGCATGATCACAGCTCACTGCAGCCTCAGCCTTCCAGACTCAAGCGATCCTCCCACCTCAGCCTCCTAAGTAGCTGGGACCTTAGGTTATGCCCCCACGCCCAGCTAATTTTTTTTTTCTTGTAGAGACAAAGTCTCCCTGTGTTGCCCAAGTTGGTTTTAAACTCCTGGGCTCAAGTGATCCTTCCACGGTGACCTCCCAAAGTGCTGAAATTACTGGAATGAGCCACCATGCCCAGTCATTGCCCATTGTTAAAAATTGAGATGTCGGTATTTTTCCTGTTGACTCGGGGTTTTTAAGAAACTCTGAATATCAGTCCTTTGTTCAACATATGTACTGAAAATATTTTCTCGTATTATGTGCCTTGCCTTTTTACTGTCTTAATGAAAACCAGCCCAATTGTTCCATAGAACTAATGTTTACAGTTTTTTAAATAAATTTAGAAATTGACCCTCCCTAGTTACAAAACTTGAAACTTACATTTATTGTACCCGCATTCCTTTCTCAGGAAACCGATCCTCAGGCAAGGAACTAAAACTCACCAGATAACTGCATCCAGACCATGAGATGCCAAACCCTCATCCACCATGATTGCTTCCTTACCCCTCCCTGATTCCTGTTTCCCTGCCTTCTCCGCTATATAAAACCCCAATTTTAGTTGGTCAAGGAGACACATTTGAAACTAATCTCCCATTCTCCTGGGCTGCAGCACCTGATTAAAGCCTTCTTCCCTGACAATACCATAGTCTCAGTGACTGGCTTTCCATGTGGTAAGCAACAAGACCTAGAATGAACCCCTTGCCTGTTGGTAACATTAAGCCTGTGTTTTCATGATCAAGGGTTTTTAGTTTTAACGCAGTCCAATCCATCAGTTTGGTAGTGGGAGTGAAAACTGCAACAAGTTTATAATACAATATAGCATTATCTCTGAAAAGTTGAAGATGAGCTCTGTCATCAGGCTTTTTTTTTTCTCCCAGAAAAACTATTTATCATAGAAAAACTAATGCACATATATGCTAGGAAATTATATAGCAGTACTATGAAAAGGTAGAAACAACAAATGTCCATTGACAGTAAAATAGAAAAATTAATTATAGCACATACATATAATGGAACAGGATACAGCAACAAAAATTATAACAACATATATCAACTTGGATGAATCTCAAAATTATACTGTTAACTATAAAAATTGATTCTCAGAAATCTACATGCAGCTCAAAACGACATAAATGTCAAAATCATATAAAACTTGACAATACTTTGAGAATAGATATTTATGCAGAAAAATTATAATAAGCCCGGAGCGGTGGCTCACACCTGTAATCCTAGCACTTTGGGAGGCCGAGGTGGGTGGATCACCTGAGGTCAGGTGTTCGAGACCAGCCTGGCCAACCTGGTGAAACCCTGTCTCTACTAAAAATACAAAAGTTAGCTGGGCATGGTGGTGGGCGCCTGTAGTCCCAGCTACTCGGGAGGCTGAGGCAGGAGAATGGTGTGAACCCAGGAGGTAGAGCTTGCAGTGAGCTGAGATTGTGCCACTGCACTCCAGCCTGGGCGACAGAGCAAGACTCTGTCTCTAAAAAAAAAAAAAAAAAAAAAAATAGGCCAGGCGTGGTCGCGGGCACCTGTAATCTCAGCTACTTGGGAGCCTGAGGCAGGAGAATTGCTTGAACCCAGGAGGGAGAGGTTGCAGTGAGCCAAGATCGCGCCATTGCACTCCAGCCTGGGCAACAAGAGTGAAACTGTGTCTCAAAATAAATAAATAAATAATTAGCTGGGCATGGTGGCAGGTGCCTGTAATCCCAGCTACTCGGGAGGCTGAGGCAGGGGAATCACTTGAACCCAGGAGGCGGAGGTTGCAGTGAGCTGAGATCGCACCATTGTACTCCAGCCTGGGTGACAGAGCGAGACTCCGTCTCAAAAAAAAAAAAAAATAATAATAATAATAATAATAATAATAATAATGAAATTATCTCAAAAGAGTGATTTAAAATTTCAAAATAACAGCTACCCTTGGTGGGAAAAAAATGCAATTGGGAAGGTGCTCACAGCAACCCTGAGAAGTTTTGGTAGTATTCTAACAGGATGAAGGGGTACACAGGTGTTTCTTTCCTTACTATTTTTGTATTATATAACTGTTACATCTATTCTATGTAAGACTATTTAATAATGAAAGGTTCTTTAATGTCATGCAGCCATAAAAGTGATATTGGAAGAGTGAAATATCATGAATACTACGAAGATCTCCATATATGCTTATGTATGCACAGCATATCTGGAAGAATGTAAAAAAGTAATAACAATAGTTGTTATAAAACCTAATTATCTGGTAAGGTTCCATTTGCACCCTCTAGATCCACTTTTTATCCTTCTCCATCCTAGTGCGTGTCCCAGATTCTTCAAAAGCTACATCAACTGGCTCCCTTGCCCTATAATCGCCAAGTGAGTTCAGCCAATTACAGGCACTAGGGAGAAGAATGAGATTTAAGCATTTATTCCCCTAGTTCCCTCCTCTACCTGGTGACCAGGATTGTCTAGATGTCCCCCTAAGAAAGGCCACAGCACCTGCTACCTTGACCTGTATATCAGTAAGGGTTCTCCAGAAAACAGAACCAATAGGATATATAGACAGAGAGATTTCTTGTAAGGAATTGGCTGACATGATTATGGAAACTGAGAAGTCCCAAGATCTGCAGGCAGCAAGCTGGAGATCCAGGAGAGCTGGTGTGTAGTCCCAGTCTGCGTCTGAAAGCCAGAGAACACGGAGAGCCAATGGTGTAAATTCCAACTTGAAAGGCCACAGTCTTGAGATCCAAGAAGAGCCTATGTTTCAATCCAAGTGCAAAGGCCAGAAAAGACTAGTGTCCCAACTCATGCAGTCAAGCAGGAGGATTTCCCTCTTACTCAGTGCTTTTGTTTTCTTCGGATCTTCGATTAATTAGATGAGGCCCACCCACATTAGGGAGGGATTCTGCTTCACTCAGTCTACCAATTCAAATGTTCATCTCATCCAGATGACACATTCTCACAAATGCACCGAGAATAATGTTTGGCCAAATGTCTGGGCACTCTGTGATCCAATCACCTTTTCCTGTAGCTATAGCTACTCTCTCCGGGTCCTGGTAACCACTCTTTCACCTTGCCCATACAAGTCTAGAATGTTACTTCACTTTACCTTGTTTTCCTGAGCCCATACCATTGTAAATAGTCCCTTAGGTAATCATTGTTCTATTATCCTATTTGAGTATGACACCTGTTTCCTGCTGACCCCGATTTATACTCTTATTTTTAAATATTACTAGCTATACTTAAAATGTCTAAAGTATAATAAGTTCTATGAGCTTATGGGTGAAAAGCTTTTTCAAATACAATGCAATCATAGGGCATTCACATGATCAGAAGATCTTCAATACACAGTCTCTCTCTCTCTCTCTTCCAATCCCTCCCTCCCTCTCTCTCCCTGGCTCTCCAGTCAGAGCTTCCAAGTGAAACCACAGCAGGGGACCAGAGGACACCTCAAATGCTAATAACCTCAAAAGCACTTAATGTCCATGGTATCTGGCCCAAGATGTTTGAACTGTGGTCTGGCCTCATCATCTCCTCCAGGACACAGCTGGCCACAGGCAGTCCAACACAATGTTTAAAATTCAAAATGTGAAACTCAGAATAATGAAGCCATCTGGTCCATATTATGTTGTCCAACAATTATAAGTAATGTGAGCTATAAATACAACAAGCGAAAGGAAGCAAACAAGAGACCATTAATCAATACAGACAATTTGCACAAGATATGATGACTCAAGTGTATTTACACAAACACAGAAATTCCTTTTTCAGGAGAATCTTTACAAACAGTGAACCAAAACAGGCTGAAACTGAAAAATAGGACCTGCCAATGCTCTTTGGTCAAAGAACTTCTCTGAAGTAATAAAAGCCTGCGTGCAATTTCACACAGAGAATCTTGATGTGGCATTTCATAACACAGAGTTACAGATGAAAGGAAACAGGACCAGTCTCGGTTCAGAACCCAGAGTAACTTCACGAGGGTAACAACATAAGGACACTCTAGTGAGAGGACCCTAAGAAACCAGTAACATTTGTCATTAGCCCCACTCATGAAACTTGTAGGAACTCAGGTAGGAAAATTAACAACCAAAATGGCTTCACTCTAGTTCTGTACAGCCAACAGTCTCCTCACCTCTCTGATTATCCCAGACTCACCTCATACTCCATAGATCTCACACTGGACAAATACTCCTCTCTTCCCAATCCATAACTTTTCTTGTATCTTAGGCTACTAACATGAGCAATTGAATGGATAACGATGCAGTCTATTGAGAAAGGAAACACATCTAAACCACATGGTTGATTTCTCAGAAGAAGGGGGAGTATAGTCGAATGGATTATATTTTTCTCAAGTCTTCCTTCCCTTCCTTTTCCAGGGTTTGCTGTGGGCCAAGAATAAATCCCAACCCTCATTTATTTGGGGCTTGGTCCTGTGGTTTGCTTTAGCCGCAAATTAAAGCTTTAGCTTTAATTGTGCTTGCGAGGTTTAGCTTGGTCTCTTTTCTGCCTTTCTGCCATTAGCCACAAGAACTTGCTGTGGGTAGCCACTGATGATATATGGAGCAGACCAGAAACCAACCTGCAGCCAGAAGCCACGTGCTGCAAAGCCGAAACCACCTGCAGACCCATAAGTAAGAAATAAATGTTTGCTTTTGTAAGCCATTGAGATTTGGGAGGTTAGTTGTTATGTACCATTAGCACAGCAGAAACCTGACTAATACAGGTTTCTTCCCTGCTCTGGAAAAACAAAACAATAAATATATCCCACAGTCTATCCTTGGTAGTTCAGCGCGCACACACACACACACACACACCTTTATTCCTGTGCACACATTTGAAAAATGCTACCACCTAATACAGTACAGCTATCTCACATACAGCCAAAAATGAACTGACCCCCTCTCCATTAGGAGACAACCCAAATTCACAGCCAGTCTCCCATTCAGCTCGCGAGTAAAGGATCTTTTGGTGATGTCCATGTCTCAGGCAAGATGAGATGTGTCTTCTCATGATCTTGCAATTTGTGGGCTGAATGTTACCCCAATGTACAGTGTGAGGAGTGGGGGCCAAAAATGTTCAGTAAAAGGAAAAGCAATGAACATGATCCTTTTGGACCATTTTCTGTAAATGTCCACTTGTTGACTTACTTCCCTAGCCATGGAGAAAGGTTCTTGGTCAACTCACGTTGTGCCCATTGGATTTTTATTACCCAGGGTCCTCCAAGGCCCCACCTGAGAGAGGCAGTGGGGAAGATTCCCTGCTGGGCACTATATCACCTTAGCAGCCCACTTTCTAAGAGAGTATGACTGACAGGCCCTTGACATGAACATCATTGGCCAGGGTGTATATTTTCTTAATAAAACCATAGCTAGGCATGGTGGTTCGCACCTGTGGCCCCAGCTACCTGGGAGGCTGAGGCTGGAGAATTGCTTGAGCTCAGGAGTTTGAGACCACCTCGACAACATAGCGAGACCCCCATCTCTAGAAGAAAAAAGTCTTAATGAAACCATACATCAGTCTCATTCTCTGCTGTCACATGGACCATCCTGAGCCAAAGCTTAGCTCTCCCTCTTGAAGCACCTCGAGAAAGGCAGAAAGACATAGCCTAGGCTGGGAAACATCCTTACATTTCTATAGGCAGGCACACAGTCCCAGGAGGAAACAAGCCATAGACTGATCAACAGTTTTGGTGCCCTTTATTATTATAGCAAAATGGGGGCTCTGCCATTCACCACAACTCATTTCACATTCTAGGGTCTGTTGCTTGCAAAATCCCTCTTCTAGTTACAAATTTCTGACTTAATAAACATTCTTTTGGTTGCTGGAAAACAAAAAACCAATGCTAGCAATAAGCACTAAAGAAAGGCAGGGGCTGCAGGGAGATTCACTGGAAGGACACTGAGGAAGCTCACACAATCCAAGGGAAGTGAACAATCAAGCTGTGGAAGACAGAAACCATGGCCTGAGCAACCAGAGTCCATGGACCTTTTGCCCAGGGCTGTATGATCAACAAGGTCACAGAGAGTGCTCAATCTAAAATGTCTCCTTGAGCTGTGAATTCACAATGTAGTTGGATTAGATGATCTGGCAGAGTCTGACCTGAACGATGTGTGCACTCATCCTCCGAAATTGAGGCAAGGAACACACCATGTTCATCCTTTATTTTTCAGACAGATTTTAATCTTTTTTTTTTTTTTTTTTTTTTTTTTGAGACAGAGTCTTGCTCTGTCGCCCAGGCTGGAGTGCAGTGGCTCGATCTCGGCTCACTGCAACCTCCGCCTTCTGGGTTCAAGCAATTCTCTGCCTCAGCCTCCTGAGTAGCTGGGATTACAAGCACCCACCACCACACCTGGCTAATTTTTTTTTGTATTTTTAGTAGAGACGGGGTTTCACCATCTTGGCCAGGCTGGTCTTGAACTCCTGACCTCGTGATCCACCCACCTTGGCCTCCCAAAGTGCTGGGATTACAGGCGTGAGCCACTGTGCCCGGCCAATCTTTTAAGCCAATTAAAAGAAATTTAAGAGACAGATCAACCAAATGTAAGACAAAACCTAGAATAGATCCT
The DNA here is from genome assembly GCF_000001405.40 of Homo sapiens. Taxonomy (NCBI): domain Eukaryota; kingdom Metazoa; phylum Chordata; class Mammalia; order Primates; family Hominidae; genus Homo; species Homo sapiens. Next base: position 16,562,386 of record NC_000023.11, read on the forward strand.
GGTTCAAAAAGCCAACTGTAAAAAAATATATATATATATACATATTTATATATATATATATATATATATATATATATATGAGACAGGGAAGCGTGAACACTGATTGGCTCTTTGATTATTTTAAGGAATCACTAGGCGTTTTAAAATGTATATATATACTTTTTTTTTCTTTTTTTTTTTTTTGAGACGGTGTTTTGCTCTGTTGCCCAGGCTGGAGTGCAGTGGCACAATCTCGGCTCACTGCAAGCTCCGCCCCCCGGGGTTCATGCCATTCTCCTGCGTCAGCCTCCCTAGTAGCTGGGACTACAGGCTCCCACCACCATGCCCAGCTAATTGTTTGTATTTTTAGTAGAGACGGGGTTTCACTGTGTTAGCCAGGATGGTCTCGATCTCCTGACCTCGTGATCTGCCCACCTCGGCCTCCCAAAGTGCTGGGATTACAGGCGTGGGCCACCGCGCCCGGCCTAGGCATTTTAACATATATAATAACAGTATGGCGGTTATATTTATTCTCTAGAGATACATATTGAAATATTTACAGATGAAATGATGTCTAGGATTTCCTACACATAATCCAGGTAGCAGTCGAAGTAGGTGAGGGTATAGAACAGTCAGTGGTTCTCAAAGTGTATTCCCCAGAGAGCAGTATAAGCATCTCCTGGGGACTTGTGAGAAATGCAAATTCTTAAGCCCCAACCCAGATCCATAAAATCAGAAAATCTGAGGGTGGGACCTTGCAATCTGTATTTTAACAGAACCTCCAGATAATTCTGATGCACACTCAACTTTGAATTACACTTGCATATATAAAACAAGAGTGCTGTGAGTTAAGGGTTTATTGTACATTCATTTTATTTTTGTGTAATGTTGTAAAGTTTCCATAGTAAAAAGATTTGTTACTTAAAAAAAAAATTAGTACTATAGCTGAGAAAGATTTATTACTTTTAAAGATGGGTCTTAAGTTTACATTTCTATCATTTTATTATCACTTTAGATTCTTTGTTTGTTGAAAAAATACAGGTTCACTATACAAATTTGGAAGAAAAATAAATTATCCTTAATCTTACCATGCAACTATAAACACTAATAACATTTTCTTTTACATCAGTCCTGTCTTTGTTTTATGCAAGTATACACGGGCTAATATTATACACTACTGTGAGTTAACCTTTTTGTTTAGCTTAATATTATAGATATTTTCTACAACTTATGTGTTTTGTTTCTTTTCTCTTTTTTGTCATTTTTACCAATTAGATGGTCTAGAAAACCAGTATCTGTTATACATATTTCTTTTTTTTTTTTTTTTTTTTTTTTGAGACAGAGTCTCGCTCTGTCGCCCAGGCTGGAGTGTGGAGTGCAGTGGCGCGATCTAGGCTCACTGCAAGCTCCGCCTCCCGGGTTCACGCCATTCTCCTGCCTCAGCCTCCTGAGTAGCTGGGACTACAGGCGCCCGCTACGACGCCCGGCTAATTTTTTGTATTTTTAGTAGAGACGGGGTTTCACCGTGTTAGCCAGGATGGTCTCGATCTCCTGACCTCGTGATCCGCCCGCCTCGGCCTCCCAAAGTGCTGGGATTACAGGCGTGAGCCACCACACCCGGCCTGTTATACATATTTCTATTTGTAGTCTCAGGATCCAGCAATTGTAAATACTTTATAAATGTTAAAATTCCTAGTTCAGTTCTTCTCTCTCAAAACAACTTTATGCTAAGAAGCCAGTTACAAAGACCACATATTGTGTATTTTCATTTATTGAAATGTCCAGAACAGAAAAATATATTATAGAGACAGAAAACAGTTGCCTAGAACTAGGAGGATTGGGGGAAATGGGAAGTGACTGCTAATGGGTATAGCATTTCTTTGGGGGCTGATGAAAATGTTTTTCTTTTCGTTTGTGTTTTCATAGATAGGATCTATGTTGCCCAGGTTGGTCTTGAACTCCTGGGATCAAGCAATCCTCCCACCTTGGCCTCCCAAAGTGTTGGGATTACAGGTGTGAGCCACCGCGCCTGGCCAAAAATGTTCTTAAATCGATTGTGGTGATTGTTGCACAACATTCTGAACATACTAAAACCAATTAATGCTTTTTAAGTGGGTGAATTGTATGGTATGTGAATTATATCTCAATAAAGCTATTAAATACATACATACATATATATATACATACACACACACACACACACACACACACACACACATTTTAAAGTCTGGAAGTCAAAAAGGAAAAAACAAAGGTTAAGAAGAAGCAGTGCACAAAGGTAGAAATCAGAATGGCTAACATCACCAGCAATCAGAAATGTCAATTAAAACAATAATTTGACACCACTTTGCACCCATTAGACGGGCAAAAAGTAGAAAGGTGGATAATGCTTGGCAAATACATGGGGACCTGGGACCCTGCTGACATAGACAGGCTGGTGCAGCCACTTTCCTTTTCTGGAACTGACTGGTCTTGGCTAAGTTAAGTGTGCCTATTCCCATGGCCCAGCAATTCCACTGCTGGATATGTGTATTCCAAAGAAACTCACACATAGCTCCATTAGGGCATGTGTTCAAGGATAGTCTTTGTTTGTGGTAGCAGGAAGGTGGAGGCAACTCGCAGAATACATAAGTAAAAGGTGATGGGTCTAGACTAAGGAATGCAGCACCCCAAAGCAATGAGCTAAATGTACATATAGCAATGGGGTAGACTTAAAACGTGGTGTTGAGTGATAATAATAAAGCATATAATAAGAATCATAGCACAGTGCCATTTTGGTAAATAGAACACAAATATGTGCACAAAACAACACTATCAATATTTCAGGGACATTATCTTTTCAAGAACATGGTGGGCGCTGGGCACAGTGGCTCACACCTGTAATCCCAACACTTTGGGAAGCCAAGACAGGAGGACTGCTTGAAGCCAGGAGTCCAGGACCAGCCTGGGCAACAGAGTGAGAACTTGTCTCTATAAAAAATTTAAAAATTGGCCAGGCATGGTGGTACACACCTGGAGTCCCAACTACCTGGAAAGCTGAGGCGGGAAGATCACTTGAGCCTAGGAGTTCAAGGCTGCAGTGATCTGTTATACCATTGTACTCAAGCCTTGGTGACAAAAGTGAGACTCTGTCTCAAAAGAAAAGAGCATGGAGTGGGCGTGGTGGCTCTCACCTGTAATCCCAGCACTTTGGGAGGCCGAGGCTGGTGGATCACCTGAGGTCAGGAGTTAGAGACCAGCCTGGCCAACATGGTGAAACCCTGTCTCTACTAAAACTACAAAAAATTAGCCAGGCATGGTGGTGTGCCCCTGTATTCCCAGCTACTCAGGAGGCTGAGGCAGAAGAATCGCTTGAACCTAGGAGGCAGAGGCTGCAGTGAGCCGAGATCGCACCACTGCACTCCAGTCTGGGTGACAGAGCGAGACTCTGTCTCAGAAAAAAAAAAAAAAAAAAAAAAAAAAAAGAGCATGGTGGGGTGGGGAGAATACAGAAACAAAAACAGGAGGCTTAGACTGACCACAAAGGATAGTAAGCCGTAAATACAGATCAGAGATTTTTTTTTTTTTTTTGAGACGGAGTCTCGCTCTGTCGCCCAGGCTGGAGCGCAGTGGCGCGATCTCGGCTCACTGCAAGCTCCGCCTCCCGGGTTTATGCCATTTTCCTGCCTCAGCCTCCTGAGTAGCTGGGACTACAGCCACCCGCCACCATGCCCAGCTAATTTGTTGTATTTTTAGTAGAGACAGGGTTTCACCATGTTAGCCAGGATGGTCTTGAACTCCTGACCTCATGATCCGCCCACCTTGGCCTCCCAACGTGCTGGGATTACAGGCGTGAGCCACCACGACGGGCCCGATTTTTTTTTTAATTAAATAAATAACACAGTCAAATATTTTACTGATTCACTCTGGGTGATTCTTAAAAAAAAAAAAAGAAATGTAGAGAAAGAAAAAAAAGTTCACCCATGTTCCCCACCACTCAAAGATAACCATTGTTAATATTTTCTAATGTTTTCTCAATGGAATGCTTTTTAAAGTTATTTTACATAGCTATTTTACATACAGGTGATTTATACTTCTACTACTTTTTATATAGCTATGTTACATATAAGTTATTTATAGTTTTCCCACTTTGTTTTTGTTTACTGTCATAAAATAGGATTTCTTAAGGTTAAATAAGCTATGGCAAAGGGGCTTAAAAAGTGTTCAGCAGCCGGATTTGCTGACTTGCATAAGGTCACTTGCAGGTATGTTTTAGGGGGAAATAAAGATGCCTTATGAAAAAAAAAGACATTTCAGTTATTTAACGAGTGTACACCATGATGTTTACCTTCTTCACTATTTTCTTTTCACATCAGAAGAGTTATTGCTAAAAAAATACCCTCAGGTGTGGACAATAAATAAATTATCTTGATTGGCTTGCCAATTTATAAGCATTCAGCATTTTCCCACAGCTGTGGAATCCTACCAACAGCAGTTTTGCCTTCACAATAAACCTATTCCTAGGGCTTAAACTCTAAGTAGTTTAACCCCTAAAGTGCTGTCATGGCTGCCTTCCTGAGGGGCATAAGAGTAAAGCTGCAATTGAGGAAGCCACGAAAACAGGGTAAAACAAACCAAAACATCTTAAGTGTTTACCCGACTTGTGCTGTATTTCTAAGTGGTATTCTAGGTTACATATTATTTTTCCTATGATGCACCTTCTGAATTCTTATTTCTGCCTGGAGCCAGAATTCAGTTTAAGCTAGGCTGTTTCTATAAGACCAGAAAGATACCAAGAGCAAATAATTGCCATTTCAAAACCAGCCAATTCATATTGTATGGCTTCAGATTAAATGAAGAGAAAATAGAAACATACTACCACACTCAGATCAAGAAGATGCTGTGATATAGGAGGCTGACTTTTATCCAAATCATTTCAGTAGTTTTCCAGGGCAGCCACCTTGGCCAGGCAATTTGCTCTTCTCTGGGCCAGTGGTATCATGTTTGAGGACTAAGCCCATCTCTCTTAAATAAAAAGGTATCACTTCTCCATGAAGTGGGCTTTGGCTACCAGATCCTTGGTGAATCCCGGGTTTGCAAGATGTAACCCAGAAGTTAGGTTATTCTTGCCTTCATATTCCCCTAATCAATAAAGAGAAATAACATTATATATGTACTTCATAGTGTTACTAATGATGTATTCTGGATACTGTGTTAGTTTGGGCTGCTGTAATGAAAATATCATAGGCTGGATGGCTTAAACAACAGAAATTTATTTCTCTCATTCCTGGAGGCTGGGAAGTTCAAGATCAAGGTGCCAGCAGATCTGGTGTCTGGTGAAGCCTCTCTTTCTGGTTTGCAGATAGCCACCTTGCCCCTGTGTCCTCACATGGCAGAAAATGATCATCTCTCCTGCGTCTCTTCTTATAGAGGCATTAATGCCATCATAAGGGCTCCATCCTCGTGACCTAATTACCTCTCAAAAGCCCCACCTCCAAATGCCGTCACATTGGGGATTAGGATTCAACACTTGAATCTGGGAGGGGACACACACATTCAGTCCATAGCAGACACCAGGCTTCCTACTTCCGTGGGACCAGCCACATGGTCTGGCATACCAGAGAGAATGTCCTCTTTCTTGAGGTCAACAGACCCAGACTGTATACCAAATGTAAAACAAACTTCCAATAAATGTCAAATATCACTTCTAAATAAAGAAAGACATCATTTACATAGACACTTGAATGACTTTCTACTCTACAATTATGGTTTGCCTTGTTAACTTGACATATTAAAACAACTTTGATTGGATTATTAACATTAGGAACTCCCCACTTGCTGCAGGCTTGCTAGGTTACTATTATTCTCTTTTAGCTTAGAAAAAAATTACACTAATATACAATTATTTATTATCAAGCCAGAAGTAGCCAGGAATCAGGAGAGCCATGGAAAGGGGTTCTTGTGCAATTTACAAATTTAATAAATGCTGAAAGTGCCAAAATTGTTATTATAGAATCCTTTCATAAACAATGTCACAATTCCACAAATCTACCAATCTATACCTAGGTTGGAGTAAATCATTCTTGTGCATGTCCACGTGTATGTGAGAAGCTACACAGCTTTTCTCAGTAATACTGAAAGCCTGACACCCACATGATCACTTACTTCCCCAGTAAGATTCCAAGCCATTATTCTATCCCTCTATTGAAGTACCTTTTTTTTTTTAGGACAGGGTCTTGCTCTGTTGCCCAGGCTGGAGTGCAGTGGTGCAATCACAGCTCACTGCAGCCTCGCCCTCCCAGGTACAAGCCATCCTCCCACTTCAGCCTCTCAAGTAGCTGGGACTACAGGCATGCACCACCATGGCCAACTAATTTTTTATTTTTTTTGTAGAGATAGAGTCTCCATATGTTGTCCAGGCTGGTCTCAAACTCCTGGGCTGAAGAGATCTTCCTGCCTCATCCTCCCAAAGTGCTGGGATTATAGGCATGAGCCACCACACCCGACCGTATTGAAGCACTCTTGAAAGATTCAGATGTTACTCATATGTGAATCTCTCCCTATCTGCCCTGAAAATAAGACAGAATTCTCTGAACACAGGGGTCTAAGTCACCTTTGTATCTCACTGTCTAGCACCCTACTGGCAAAGTTGACTCAAAAAAAACATTTGTTGATGAACTGAATGATCCACGTGTCTCAATATTTCTTTGTTAAAAACCTCCATTTTCTTTAGTCCTACTGATGAGAAGGGCCAAATTTGCTTATCAATGGTAGCTTCCATCTGAAGCTTGCCAAAAAGACTGGCTTTTTCTAAACTACGCCCAAATCAACGATGAAATACAGAAGTAAAACTTTGGCAATCAGTAGATTTTGCTGTCAAATGCTTATTCTCCTTTGAATGCAGAAAGTACTCATTACTTGCAAACCTTCCTAAGGGGACTCTGAAAGAACCTGCCAAGTAAATTTCCCCTACAATGGTCTTGGGTAGAGAGTGGCAGATGCTAGAACAGCAAACTGAATTAACCCATGTCCTTTTTCTCTTCAAGAATGCTATTCAGACTAGCATGGGCAATACGGTGAGACCCCGTCTCTACAAAACCTTAAAAAATTAGCTGAGCATGGTGGCATGCACCTGTAGTCCCAGCTACTCGGAAGACTGAGATCACTTGACCCCAAGAGGTGGAGGTTGTAGTAAGCCTAGATCACACCACTGCACTCCAGCCTGGGGGACAGAGCAAGACCCTGTCTCAAAAAAAAAAAAAAAAAAAATGCTATTCAGCATCTAGAGAGTTCTAAGAGAAGCAAGCACTTTCTCAAAACCCAGAGGCAGTGTGGTAGGGCTAGGGGGCCTGGGGAGCTGCTGGAAGAAACAAGCAAGATGACAGATTACTACACCCAATACCAGGTCTCATACATGTCCATTTCATACTGGTTTCATCCCAAACATGAAAATATACATAACCAAAGGTTAGATGCTTTAAGATTTTAATATATATTCTTGTGCTCTGTGAATTATACCCAGGGATTCTGCCATGAGCAAGTGGTAGATCTGCTGGCAAAGACTCTCTCCTTGACTTAACTACAGTCAAGCTCCTCTGAGCCCTCTGCTCGACTAGGCCTGACCTTGGGCTTCCCTCTCTGTCCTTGTGGAATTCAGTTTGCACAAGAATCCTCCTAAGTCAGTTTAGTGAAAACCCTCCACCCTTGGTATCTTGCCACCCTTGATATCTTACAACCCTGGCCTGCCTTCAGCAAGAATTCTTTTGGGTCTAGAAGAATCCCCTTTACCCCTGTGTTTCCTCTTAGTAATATTCCATCTACTGACCCTACTCTGACCCTTGGTTACAAATCACCCCTTGTCCTTGTTGGAACTGAGCCCAGTCTCTCTCCCCCACAGCAAGACCCCATAGCAGTGATCCCTACACCAATCATGATAGTCCCCCTCCCCTTGAATAAAGTCTGCCTTGTTTTTGTTGTTGTCATTGTTGTTGTTGTTGTTGTTGTTGTTGTTGTTTTGAAACGGTGTCACTCTATCGCCCAGGCTGGAGTGCAGTGGGGCAGTCATGGCTTACTGTGCCTCAACCTTCCTGGGCTCAGGTGACTCTCCCACCTCAGTCTCCCGAGTAGCTGGGACTACAGGCATCCACCACCATGCCTGACTAATTTTTGTGCTTTTTGTAGAGACAGAGTTTTGCCATGTTGCCCAGGCTGGTCTCGAACTCTTGGGCTCAGGCAATCCTCCTGCCTTGGCCTCCCAAAGTGCTAGGATTACAGGCATGAGCCATGGTGCCAGGCGCTGCCTTATTGTTGTTTAACAAGTGACATTGAAAAATGTTTCTTTAACACTGCACATCCCTTTTTACAGAGTCTAAAGCTGTGCTTTTCAATCTGTTGTCACTTACTGATATGGTAGGAGGACAGGGAAGTGCTGGGAGGAGAAGGATGGGGTCCCTGGTGAGGGCTCCACCCCCAGGCCTGTGCCCACGGACCTAGGTGAGGACAGGAATTTCTGTTTTCATGCCCAAATGTTGCATTTCCCAAGACCACCCCGGGCCACCATGCCCCCATCCTGTGCCTATAAAAACCCTGGGACCCTAGTGGGCAGAGACACAAGCAGCTAGGAACACACCAGCAGAAGAGCACACAAGCGGCAGGACATCTAGAGAAGCAGAGGGGCAGAAAAACACACCAGCAGAAGAACACACTGACAGACTCTGGCAAGCCATGGACTGCAGAATGGTGGGATGACACGGAGTTCAGTGGAGGGTGGTCAAAGCAGCCTGACTCCAGGGGAAAACCACCTTCCCACTCCATCCCCCTTCTGGCTCCCCATCCATCTGCTGAGAGCTACTTCCGCCATTCAATAAGGCCCACGTGTGATCCGATTTTTCCAGTACACTAAGGCAAGAACCCGGGATACAGAAAGCCTTCTGTCCTTGCAATAAGACAGAGGGTCTAATTGAGCTGATTAACACAAGCTGCCTGTGGACGGCAAAACTGAAAAAGCGCATTGTAACACACGCCCACTGGGGCTTCGGGAGTTGTAAACACTCAACCCTAGATGCTGCTGTGGGGTCAGAGCCCACGCTCTCCACAACCTGCCCATCTGCATGCTTCCCCTAGGGGTACCACAAGCGGGGCACCGAAGAAGCAAGCCACAACCCCATGGCACACCCTGCAAGGGGGACAAGGGAACTTTTCCCGTTTCATTACCACATGTGGCTATTGAGCATTGAAATGTGGCTAGTCTGAAATTAGATATGCTACAGGTGTCATATTTACACCAAGGTTTGAAGACTTGATATGGGAAAAGGAATGTAACATATTCCATTAGTAAAATTTATATTGATTACATCTTGGAATCTATGTTTTAGATATATTGGGTTAAAATTACTCAATTACTAAAAGTAATTTCACCTCTTTTTTTTTTTTTTTTTTTGAGACAGAGTCTCACTCCGTCTCCCAGACTGGAGTGCAGTAGTGTGATCTCAGCTCACTGCAACCTCCACCAGTTGAAGTGATTTTCTTGCCTCAGCCTTCCGAGTAGCTGGGACTACAGGTGCATGCCACCACACCTGGCTAGTTTTTGTATTTTAGTAGAGACAAAGTTTCATCCTGTTGGCCAGGCTGATCTTGAACTCCTGACCTTAAGTGATCTGCCCGCCTCATCCTCCCAAAGTGCTGGGATTACAGGCACGAGCCACTGTGCCCAACCCACCTGTTTCTTTTTACTTTTTAACACAGCTGCTAGAAAATTTCGAGTAATGCATGTGGGTGACTCACATTATATTTTTTGGATAGCATAGGTCTACAGAGCAGCTAGCGTAAAGAAGGAAAGAGAAAGGGGATCTTGGAGCTCTTCTAAAACCTGGGATGTCTCTGCCTGTTAATAAGAAGAGTGACAGCTTTCACAGTGACTCACAACTTTCAGGATGCTCTGATTCTGGGCAACGTTTTTTGAGAAGCTGGACACACTGGGCCTGAGGAGCATCTTTGGTAAGTGTCTGGGATGCTAGCTAATAATTGGTCTTGCCTGCATTTACAATACAATGATGCATCTACTCAATTCCTACTCCTCTCTCAGGACTTGGTTCAAGCATTGTATTAAGGCCTTCCCCAGCTGGATCATATCTTACAGGTCTTCTGTATTCTCTGCTGCATCATTCAGAGTCAAGCCCATCAATGTGTGTACAATACCTGTGACAGTCTGAACTAATTATTAGCCTTTTCCCTGTACATTTTTCCTTAGTATCTCTCATAGTTATCTTTTTCACTAAATAGAGAAGTAGAATCTCACCTGAAATAAGAATGCCGCTTGAACAATATAGAAAAAAAAATCATTTTTGTGTGATATGTCTTTAGAAGAACCCAGAACAGTCTGGTAACATGACGTCCAGGGAAGGGAACAAAGTAGTTGAGGACAGAGGTTAAAGAGAGACTTTTCTGTGACCTTTTATTTTGGAACCTCATGTCATACATTCTTTTAAAACCTTTTTAAGAGACTATCTTCACTATATAGAAAAAAGGGTTTTAAAACTTGGATTCTACTGAAGCCTTGAAAAAGATTTTCTTGCATCACAGCCTTTAGATCAGCAGTTGACCAACTTTCCCTGTAAAGGGTCAGATAGTAAAAGTTTTAGGCTTTGTGAATCTGTGTCAACTACTCTCCTTTTGTAGCATGAAAGCAGCCATAGACATAAAGGAATGGGTGCGGCTGTGTTCCAATAAAACTTTATTTACAAAAATAGGCAGGCCTGAGCCTGTTAGGGGTAGGAGGTGGGGGAAGTCACATCTTTAAATAACGCCTCCTTTGTATGATACAGAATTTGTAATCATGCTCTTTACTTTTTCATTCTTAAACAGGTTAAAATAAATCTTTTAATTCAAGTAAAGAATTATGCTTAGGGCTGGGCACAGTGCCTCATGCTGGTAATCCCAGCACTTTGGGAGCCTGAGGTGGGTGGATAACTTGAGGCCAGGAGTTCGAGACCATCCTGGCCAACACAGTGAAACCCCATCACAACTAAAAATAGAAAAAATTAACCAGGCATGAAAATGCATGCTTGTAATCCCAGCTACTTGGAAAGCTGAGGCAGGAGAAATTCTTGAACCCGGGAGGCAGAGGTTGCAGTGAGCCAAGATCACACCACTGCACTCCAGCCTGGGCGACAGAGCAAGACTCCATCGCAAAAAAAAAAAAAAAAAAAAAAAAAAAAAAAAAAACAGAAAAAAGAAAAAAAAAGAATTATAAAAGAATTATGCTTAGGAAGTTTGGAAAAAAGGAAAGATAATGGGGGGAACAGGAGAAAAACATCTAGTTTATGAGATAAAACCATAGGGTCTGTGATAGTCCCTCAGAAAAGCAAAGATGTTTCAAAAGCCACAAAAGAAAAATCTCATCCTATCAGAAATCTTGGTATGAATCAATGCTGGCAACAAAGAAGTCACATTCTGGGTTGAAAATTACTTTTGCATCTTCTTACCTCTGAAGACACTGAAACAATTGTGCAAATCAACTCAGAAATTGCTATTCCAGAAATGTAGATCATATAAATTATCCAAATATCAATCTCTTACCATTAAATTCTCTACAGAAGTGATTATCATGACAAGTAGTCTCATCATCCTGGTCTGTGGCATGTGATGAGGTTTCTCTAGTTCAGAGAATCCCCTTGAGAGGATGATTCAGCCTGGAAAACTTTAGTTTCCTGGGATGCTGGCTCCATCCTCCAGGTTCTAGGCTTTTATCTTACTCTATAGAATTCTCCCAGCATATTGACTAAAAGCATAGTCTCCCTCAGAGAAAACAAATCGAAACAATACATCTATCTTCAAAACAATTTCGTGTCGAAGAAAAAGATGAAAGTTTAAGACAACACTCAAGCTTAAAAATGAGCTCTATGATCAAATGGTATCAACTGGATTCCCCAGCTTTTCACTGTTATTTGTCTCAGAGGAAGCAGGTAATACAGACAAAGCCACAGGGATGGAAAGTGGGCCTCACTCAGGAGCAATGAAACTGAATGACGTCCATGGAATTTGCCATCATCTTTTAGTGATATTCAGGGACATCAGTCTCAAAGAACAGAAGCTATTTGTATTGAGTACACATGAAAATAGATGGGAACAATAGACACTGGGGACCATTAGACTGGGGAGAGAGTGTGGGAGAAAGCACAGAAAAACTACCAATTGGGTACTATGCTCACTGCCTGGGTGATGGGATCATTTGTACCCCAAACCTCAGCATCATGGAATATACCCAAGTAACAAACCTGCACATATACCCCCAAATCTAAAATAAAAGTTGAAATTATTTTTTTAAAAAAGAAGCTGCTTGTGATGGGGCTCAGGACATACTACTCCAAAATATGTCACTTCAGCGTATCAAGTATTTGAAGCTGAAGAAATCTGAGGAAACCACAATAGCAGGAAGGTCTCTCTGACCTTTCCCTGCCCTTCTCCTCTGACGGAGGTCATAAGACCCTAGGTGAGAGGTGCCGTCCCTACAGCTGGAGCAAAGGAGCATTCTTATCTCTGAAGACACAGGGACACAGAGAAGAATGTGAATGAACAAGCCTTGCTAAGTTCCCCCAGTTCACTACCCCAGATCATACTCTTTGCCCTATCATATTTCTCCATTAATCTTGTGACAGGAAAATAAATCTTGGTGCCCCAAAATCACTAAGCTAACGGGAAAAGTCAAGCTGGGAACTGCTTAGAGCCAACCTGCCTCCCGTTATATTCAAAGTCATCCCTCTGCTCATTGAGATAAATGCATATCTGATTGCCTCCTTTGGAAAGGTTAATCAGAAACTTAAAAGAATGCAACCATTTGTTTCTCACCTACCTGTGACCTGGAAGCCTCCTCTCCATCTCCAGTTGTCCTGCCTTTCCAGATGGAACCAATGTTCATTTTACATATGTTTGAGAGGTGACAGCGAGCTGGCAGTCCTCAGAGCCCTCGCTCCCTCTCCGCGCCTCCTCTGCCTGGGCTCCCACTTTGGCGGCACTTGAGGAGCCCTTCAGCCCACCGCTGCACTGTGGGAGCCCCTTTCTGGGCTGGCCAAGGCTGGAGCCGGCTCCCTTAGCTTACAGGGAGGTGTGGAGGGAGAGGCGCGAGCGGGAACCGGGGCTGCGTGCGGCGTTTGCGGGCCAGCTGGAGTTCCGGGTGGGCGTGGGCTTGGCGGCCCGGCAGTCGGAGCAGCTGGCCGGCCCTGCGGGCCCCGGGCAATGAGGGGCTTAGCACCCGGGCCAGCGGCTGCGGAGGGTGCGCTGGGTCCCCCAGCAGTGCCGGCCCACCAGCGCTGTGCTGGATTTCTCGCCGGGCCTTAGCTGCCTTCCCGTGGGGCAGGGCTCGGGACCTGCAGCCCGCCATGCCTGAGCCTCCCCCCGCTCCGTGGGCTCCTGTGCGGCCCGAGCCTCCCTGACGAGCGCCGCCCCCTGCTCCACGGCACCCAGTCCCATCGACAACCCAAGGGCTGAGGAGTGCGGGCACACGGTGCGGGACTGGCAGGCAGCTCCACCTGCAGCCCCAGTGCGGGATCCACTGGGTGAAGCCAGCTGGGCTCCTGAATCTGGTGGGGACGTGCAGAACCTTTATGTCTAGCTAAGGGATTGTAAATGCACCAATCAGCACCCTGTGTCTAGCTCAGGGTTTGTGAATGCACCAATCCACACTCTGTATCTAGCTACTCTGGTGGGGCCTTGGAGAACCTTTATGTCTAGCTCAGGGATTGTAAATACACCAATCACACTCTGTATCTAGCTCAAGGTTTGTAAACACACCAATCAGCACCCTGTGTCTAGCTCAGGGTTTGTGAATGCACCAATCCACACTCTGTATCTAGCTACTCTGGTGGGGCCTTGGAGAACCTTTGTGTCCACACTCTGTATCTAGCTAATCTGGTGGGGACGTGGAGAACCTTTGTGTCTAGCTCAGGGATTGTAAACGCACCAATCAGCGCCCTGTCAAAACAGACCACTCTGCTCTACCAATCAGCAGGATGTGGGTGGGGGCCAGATAAGCGAATAAAAGCAGGCTGCCCGAGCCAGCAGTGGCAACCCGTTGGGGTCCCCTTCCCCAATGTGGAAGCTTTGTTCTTTCGCTCTTTGCAATAAATCCTTCTGCTGCTCACTCTTTGGGCCCACACTGCCTTTATGAGCTGTAACACTCACCGCGAAGTTCTGCAGCTTCACTCCTGAGCCAGCAAGACCACGAACCCACCAGAAGGAAGAAACTCCGAACACATCCGAACTTCAGAAGGAACAAACTCCAGACGCGCCACCTTAAGAGCTGTAACACTCAACGCGAGGGTCCGTGGCTTCATTCTTGAAGTCAGTGAGACCAAGAGCCCACCAATTCCAGACACATGTTGACTGATGTCTCATGTCTCCCTAAAATGTATAAAACCAAGCTGTGCCCCTACCACCTTAGGCACATGTTGTCAGGACCTCCTGAGGCTGTCATGGGCACATGTCCTCAACCTTGGCAAGATAAACTTTCTAAATTAACTGAGACTTGTCTCAGACTTTGGGGGTTCATATTTTGGCAACCACGAAGGGATTATATGTGGAGATGCCCCTGACCTTAGGCAAATCTCCTATCAGTGCTTGGTACCAGCCTGAGCTAACTTTATGGCTCAAACCAATAGGACAATTTGTTGAGGTCTGGAAGCACTCCCTCCAGAGAATCCCCAAAATTTGCTTGAGATCAAAAGTTTATTTTGCTATACAACTCCTTTTTTTTTTTTTTTTTTTTTTTTTGGAGTTTTCCTTGCTTCCAACAAGGAAGGTAGGATTTCCTGTTTCCATGACAATGGAAGGCAGGTAACTGCCTTATAGAGTTTGAGCTCACTCCCAGCAAGGAAGATGAGTTTGAGGGTTTTTTTCCTGCTTCTAGGATGGTAGAAAGCAGTCTTCAGCCTGAGACCCATTCCTAGGTAAGTAGCTGAATTGGGGTTTTGTCTTGGTTAAAGTTTAACTACCAGCTGGTCTTAATTTCTCTTTACCGTTAGAGCGCTCGGTGATCATGTTGGGGGTTTTTTGTTATTGTTGTTTATTCCGGTCTTTCTCCCATCAGATTTGACCAACTCTACCTGACTTGGTCCGATCTGAGTGAGAATTCCAAATTATGGGTAACAAAGCCTCTCTAATTTGGCCCAAATTCCTTGCAGCTGCAAAAGAGGGAAAAAAGAAAACAACAACAACAAAAACAAAAAACAATGCCCTTGGTTTCTGTGTTTGCTTCCTGTCTTAAAAAAAAAAAGTTCTTTCATTTACTTTTCTTTCACCCTACACCTCCTTCCCTTCTAGAGGAGGCTTCTAATGACTTGAACTCCTTTAAAGAATTCAGAACAAAGGTGCCACTTACCTCTTTGTAGGGGGTGTTCTGTTTTCTTTGTGGAGTTTCAAGAGTCATGGACAGATTCTTCTTAGGATGAAAGCTCTGTTTTCCTGTATTGCCTGACCTGACCTCTTTGGCTTTGGAGGTACCAGAGATTACCATGTACTGTGAGAAGATTTGACCTTGGTGTGTGTAATGGCGGACAAGAGCTACAAAGTAGGGGTGGCTGAGCACAGTTTACAGGAAATGGTCTTGGCGGCTGCTGTTGTTTTTTCTCTCCTAGGAACTTGTTAAGGATCTTAATTCTAGTTCAGGCATGCATTCTAAGGGGTCTTCTCTATTGCTTTTTCTCCCAAAATTAATCTCAATTCAGCTTGTCTGTGCTCATTTGCGTGAGGAACTGAGCTATTGTTTTCATAGATAAATGAGAGACTGAGTTTTCTCAGCTCCAAAAAGAAAGGGCATTTGCTCCTCCCAGCCAAAAGGTGCCCCAGGTGACCAGGGGCTTCATGGGAGTGTCTGGGGGGTTAACCCCAGTGGCAGTAGCCCCACAGGGAAATCCCCAATAAAAATTAATTTTTTAAAAAGGCTCATCCAGGAAACACACATAAGAGTTGATCACCAGGCATTTTGAGCCCTCTCCAAGGTCACAGACCTCTGGAGAGAGAAGCTGAGACATGTAAGAGGGTGGAAGCAACTCAGTGGTGACACACTGTGGAGTCCTGCCCACAAGCAGCACGCATTGATCCACCACACAAAACCCCTAGGCCACAGCTCAGTTCTTCCTTTTAAGGAAAAAAAATGTGGGAGACAATCTAAAACTGAGGAGAAAACAAAGAGAATGACCCCCTTTCGAGCACTCCTTAGGTTTTATGGCACCTCTACTTGGCAGAGTTTATGTAAAATAGAAGTAATATGGTTTTTGTGCTCATTTACATTAAGGAAAAAGAGCCCTAAGGTTGACCTGCAAACTATAGAGTTCCTAAGTTCTCTTTTTCTCTATTTTTCTTTTCTGCCTACTTTAAATCTGCTGTTATTTTTCTATTAAGTGAAAACCACTGTTTGGATCAAACAGGTTTTTTTTGCAAGCCTGTGAATTTGTATTTATCTCATGGCTAAAGTTCTCATGGTTAAAGTTCTGAAGTAAAAGCTAGAGGATCTTTGTGTGTGTGTGTGTTTGTGTATATTTGAAAGGCCTTTATAATTTCTATAATTTTATGTTTAATTGGCAATTAAATCCATTTTAATTTCCCTCTAGCACACCAGACTTTTTCTCTCCGTACCTTAGGATGTAAATTTTGCTTTTTGATTTTCACCTGAGTTGTTTCCTTTCATATGCAAATTTAAAGCTATTTAGCTGACAACTGCCTAGGGTAATAAAACAGGTTATCAAGAATTTGAAAGTCCTAAGATGGGGGAAAAAAAGGTTTTTATGAATCTGTAACATCTATCAGCATACCTAATACGTCCACGTATCGTGTTGCATACACAGTGTTTACTGAAGATATATAAAAGAGCTCTAATTAATTGGCTTAAAAAATAAAGCGCTTGAATCAAATGCTTTATAAGGAAAAAAGAAAACACTAGTCAAATGCTTTTTCAAGTTTATGTAACTTAAGTAAAATCTTTAATAAATAAGCTAGCTTTAAAATTATTGCTAAAGTAATATTAGAAGTGTCTTAAGAATTGCCAGCATACATTTTCGTTTGCATTTATTAATCAAGCAATTTCATACTTATCCCTGCCAAATACTATAAGTTATCAAAATTTGGCATAAGGGCTACAAAACTATAAAGCCAGCCCAAAACAGAATAATTTTTGCTTGTGTAAACTTTAATAAATAAGACATTGATATTGGTTTAAATAAAAATAGCTACATCTTAGATCTAGTAAGATTACCATGACTTCTAATTGTGTGGCTTTAGGCAGTCTAGTCCACAGGCAAGTAAGGTTTGTTTTGGGAAGGGACTGTTATTGTCTTTGTTTCAAAGCTAAACTATAAACTGAGTTCCTCCCTAAGTTAGTTCGGCCTATGCCCAGGAATAAACAAGGACAGCTTGGAGGTTAGAAGCAATAAAGTTCAACTTTTATTGCATCTCACCATTTTCTGTTTTCTCTCCCCTTTTAAAAGGTGCGAAACAGTAAAGCTCTCCTTCGACTCATTTTCAGCTCATAAAAGTTTTTTTTTCCTTAAGTTCTGTTTGTTGTGGACTAATGCTAACAATGTTTTCTTAAAGGTCTAAAGGAAATGTTTTCTTCCAACATAATATTCTGTGCAGTGCAGACCTTTTCTTTTGCCTTTTGGTAACTGGCCTAACAGACTTTACATTTTATTGAAACAATTCCTATGCCATTATTATTGTCATACGCGTCCGTGTGAAGAGACCACCAAACAGGCTTTGTGTGAACAATAAAGCTTTTTAATCACCTGGGTGCAGACGGGCTGAGTCCGAAAGGAGTCAGCGAAGGGAGATAGGGGTGGGGCCGTTTTATAGGATTTGGGTAGGTAGTGGAAAATTACAGTCAAAGGGGGTTGCTCTCTGGCGGGCAGGGGCAGGGGTCACAAGGTGCTCAGTGGGGGAGCTTCTGAGCCAGGAGAAGGAATTTCACAAGGTAATGTCATCAGTTAAGGCAGGAATCGGCCATTTTCACTTCTTTTGTGATTTCTTCAGTTACTTCAGGCCATCTGGATGTATACGTGCAGGCTTGGGCTCAGAGACCTGACAATTAAGTTTCGGTTTGCTTAGGGAAAAAACTGAGATTAAACTTTTTTTAAATTAAGGTTATTACATCTGTATATCTAGAAAGATGTATGTGCTTCTTAAAGTATTTGTGACATTGAGTTACAGGGCTTTGACTCCTGGGTCTAAAAAGGATACCAAGTCCTGCTAAATCTTAAACACTGACAGCAATTATAGCTTCATCCTCAGGCGTGGTAGAAGATGTCAATCAAAATAAACTGCATTCCTGAGACACAGGGCCAGAAATTAAAGCTATTCAACTCCTCAAGGCCCAGGGACTATCGTGGAAGACGTGGACATGTGAGATTGTAAGGGCTGATTTTGAGAGATAAAATAAGTTCAGTTTCTCTATAAATTAATCATTAATGTCAAAGACACACTGATGCAAGACCAGCATATGTGCCCCTATGTCAAATTAACAAGGTTTTCTTGAAGCATTAACCGACTGCTTAATAATAATAAAGGTTATAAAGGTTATAAAAGGCTTATGGAAGTCATATCTTACGGTCAAGATTAAAAATCTTATACATTGTTTATAAAATTTTGAAAAACAAATTTAATTGGCTTTATGATGTTTCTATTAGGGCTTATTGTTTGCAAAATTAAGTCTCCTCTCAAAGAATGAAGGTTTTCTCCTTTTTTTGAAGTCCTTGAGTTATCACTTTGGTCAAAGGAATGACTTATTTTACAATGACCTGTGACATCACGTGTTTTAAATCTTTGATATTTGACAAACTTTCCAAAATCAAATTGTAAATTATGTCTTTCTCTGACCTAATTAATCCTTTAAGATATTAGGCTCCCTAAAGTCCAAAATAACATAATTTGGCTTATTTGGTATAAAAATTATACAGGAAACATTGTCAAATATGAACTGGTGTTTGGGTTTTTTTGGGCTGTATTTGTATAAATATGGATATATGGGACTATAATTCTAATATGCTTAGTGTACATTATCAGTAATAATTATAACTGTTATGTTAAGTTATTGTGTGCCACAGAGGTAATGAATTTCCTTGTCAGTTGTGTCCTTGACTATGGCTGCCCCTAAACTTTTTGTCATCCATAGACAATTGTTGTCTTGTTTTGGTCCTCTTTAGAAGGTGGTTTTATAATCATCTATAAAACTCTTAACAGGTGCTCTTGAGTACAAGTTTCTGATAACTTTGGAGATTGTGACATCAGAATAGAGGAAAAACTTTTAGGACTCATGGAGAAGTGAAATGTTCATGAACATCAGGCAGAACAGGAATTAACTGCATGGACAGAACTAATACAAAACTGAGGTAATCTTTTTGACTTTTTGCTTAAAATGCTGCTGATCCTTTGTTTCGTTTTTCCAGAGTCAGGAAACTTCTTTTGCACTATTGACAGCTTTTAACAATTTAGTATACTCCTATGAACAAAATTTAAAATATATTTGTTTCTCTCTACCTGATTTCTCCAGAATTTGGAAACTATTTGTGAATATTCTTAACTTATGGCAACACAGTTATTTGCATAAGTGCAATAAGAATCTGTTTTCAGACACAATTGGAGAAACTGGTTATTTTGCCAAGGCTTTGACTGGAATGGTGTGCTTTCCTTTAAAAAACCAAACTTGACTTATGGAGCCAATAAAAGCCCCTTGGAAATACTGGCCTCATACCTAGTCTACACAGTTCCTGTACAGGGTTCCTGACCTGTGGTAAGTGAAGCATGTCACTTTCTGACAGGCCCAGGAACCCCAAGTTTATATTGGAACCTCAAGAGGAGAGGAATTCACCCAACTCATAGGTATTTGATGGTACAAATCCATGGCTGAGCTTGGCTTTTAAAAAGTCTTATCCGAGATTCCTTCTATGGAACAAATTTCCATCAAAGCCAATTTAAAAGCCTATGTAAAAAAATAATTATTCTTGCTGCACTTTATAGAAATAATCATGCCAAGTATAACAAAGCAAATCGGTCCTACCATGATTTCTCTTTAGTAGAAATGGGAAACTGCAGAGAGAAAAATTACGTTTCAGAAACTATAGTACACCTGTTGTTAGACTCTAGCCTTGCCTAATGTTTTTCAATTGTTATTATTTTTTACAGTTTGGACTGAATTCTAATTTTTCTTGGCTACAAGTCTTCAAAATAATGTTTTCAAGTTTTTTCCTTCTTTTTTTCCCCCATTTTTCCTAATTTGGAGTCACTGAAAACTAAGCTGTGCTTTTGTAAACCCTGCAAACTGAAGCCAGACAACTTAAACTTTAGAAGAAAATAACAGCAACCTGCTTACATACATAAGGCACTTTCATCCCTGCCTACTGATATATAAACTTCAGAGTAATGTGGCCTATATCGATTTTCCAGGATTGTTCTTTTGTTTGTTGTTGTTTTTATCCCTTCCTCCCCCATTTTCTCTTCATAGGACATGAGACTTCACAACCTGCTAAAAATGAACTTTCCTAATAACTGGGGACCTACCCGTCTAGGAATAAACCATCCTAGCCATGACAGATCAGATGAAACCTGAGACCAGAGACTCATTTTCTCCTAAAATGCTTTCTCCAAAAGATTTTTAAAAAGAAAAGGGGGAAAATATGAATGGAAAATAAATCTTGGGGCCCCAACATCACTAAGCTAAAGGGAAAAGTCAAGCTGGGAACTGCTTAGGGCCAACCTGCCTCCCATTCTATTCAAAGTCACCTCTCTGCTCACTGAGATAAGTGTATATCTGACTGCCTCATTTGGAGAGGCTAATCAGAAACTCAAAAGAATGCAACCATTTGTCTCTTATCTACCTATGACCTGGAAACCCCCTCCGCACTTTGAGTTGTCCCACCTGTGAAAGGAAAATAAATCTTGGGGCCCCCAAATCACTAAGCTAAAGGGAAAAGTCAAGCTGAGAACTGCTTAGGGCCAACCATCCTCTCATTCTATTCACAGTCACCCCTCTGCTCACTGAGATAGATGCTATCTGATTGCCTCCTTTGGAAAGGCTAAGCAGAAACTCAAAAGAATGCAACTTTCCATCTCTCACCTATCTGTGACCTGGAAGCCCAGTCCCTGCTTTGAGTCTTCCTGCCTTTGCTTCAAGCTGTCCCGCCTTTCCAGACCAAACCAATGTACTTCTTACATATATTGATGTCTCATGTCTCATGTCTCCCTAAAATGTATAAAACTAAACTGTGCCCCTACCACCTTGGGCACATGTCGTCAGGACTTCCTGAGGCTGTGTCATGGGCACATCCTCTACCCTGGCAAAATAAACTTTCTAAATTAACTGGGACCTACCTCAAATTATCTGGGTTCACACGCCTTTGCCTCGAGTTGTCCCACCTTTCCGGACTGAACCAATGTACATCTTAACACATACTGATTGATGTCTAATGTCTCTCTAAAATGTATAAAACCAAGCTGTGCTCTGACCACCTTAGGCACTTGTCATCAGGATCTCCTGAGGCCATATTATGGGTGCACGTCCTCAACCTTGGCAAAATAAGCTTTCTAAATTAACTGAGACGTGTCTCAGATTTTCGGGATTCACAATCTCCACTCTTCACCAAACCTACAATAAAAAACCCTCAGCTTCTCAGCTTTAACTGTTTCTTCGGGTCTTCATTTTCTTATGAAGGTTCATGTGTCACATAAAACTTTAAAAAATTTGTACACTTTTCTCTCATTAATCTGTCTTCTGTTATAGGGCCTCAGCCATGAACTTGGAATGGGTAGATTAAAAAAAATATTTTTCCTCCCCTACACATTTTTTTTTTTTTTTTTGAGACGGAGTCTCAGTCTGTTGACCAGGCTCAAGTGCAATGGCGTGGTCTTGGCTCACTGCAACCTCTGCCTCCCAGTTTAAGCAATTATCCTGCCTCAGCCTCCTGACTAGCTGGGACTACAGGCGCGTGCCACCACACCTGGCTAATTTTTTTGTATTTTTAGTAGAGATCGGGTTTCATCATGTTGGCCAGGCTGGTCTTGAACTCCTGACCTCATGATCCGCCCGCCTCGGCCTCGCAAAGTGCTGAGATTACAGGCGTGAGCCACCACACCTGGCCCTCCCCTACACATTTCTAAGTATCTTACCTGATTTTCTATGGCACCTTTGGGTTGCAGAACCTTAGCTGTAGGAGAAATGGTGGTGACGGCCAATGTCTGGCACTGACTTTAACAGAGTACAGATGTGTATGTAAATAGTACTTATTTTAACAAAATAGAAAGTTCAAGAAAGAAATACAGCAACAAAAGTGACAATTAGATTGGAAGAGACCCATTCTTGTTTGCTTGTTTTCTCCATAAGCCATCTAGCTTTTTTTTTTTTTTTTGTGAGACGGTCTCACTGTCTCCCAGGCTGGAGTGCAGTGGTGCCATCACAGCTCACCTCAGCCTTGACCTCCCAGGCTCAAGTGATCCTCCCACCTTAGCCTCTCAAGTAGCTGGAAGTATAGGCATGTACCACCATGCCCAGCTAATTTTTTTTTATTTTTCATGGAGACAGGGTCTCACTATATTGCCCAAGCCAGTCTTGAATTCCTGGGCTGAAGCGATCCTCCTGCCTCAGCCTCCCAAAATGTTGGGATTATAGTCATGAGCTACCATGCCCAGCCCTAACTCCATTCTTAATTGTCACTTAGCCTACACTTTCACTTCATTGACATTTATAGGCTGACAACAAGCAGATGAAGATACCATTGAAACAGTGCCACCACTCACCCAACTGTCCTGTCAGTCAGGAAAAGCACATCCCCACTGGGTCTCAGAGCTCTCGGCCCGTTGTCTTTGCACTGTGTGACCACACACAAAACCAGGTAAAGTATTTACCTGCTTTGTTCAGGAGGCTGTCCTTGGCTCTCTAGTTTCTGATAGGACCCCATTTTAAACTCTCAAGCCCCCTTGTCCTTGTTCTTTGATAGTGTCATAGCCTCTAAACATATCACAATTATTAATATAATTAAATACTTATTTCCCTATAGATTTGTTTAAAGCCTGCCTTCCCCCAAGAGATGGTCAGGTCTGAAGGCAGGTTTGTTACAGATGACAGGCTCTTGGGCTCATCATGTAATAAAAGTTAACATGGGGACAAGCAGATTTCCAGAAAAGGCTTTTATCTTGGGGCTTGTGCTCGAGTGCAGGGGAGACACCAGAGGTACAAGGACCCTCAAGCTGACTCCCTGAAAAGGTGGTAGGGATTTTTTTTATTAGGCAAACACAGGAATTGGTATCATGGGTAGGGTATGCAGGCTGGCCTGGGCAAAGCACGTGACGGGTAGGGGATGCTGGTTAGCGTATCTAGTTGTGATGGTTATCTTGAGTAATGGGCCACCTGGGGGTCTGGCCAGCTGTAACAAGGCTGCAAATCAATTGTTCAGGGTTCCTTCCCTTCCCATGATGGGACATTCTGAAACCTCGGTTTGATGTTTAGATTTCCTAAGGCCAGTTCCTGGAATTCTTTTAAGTAAAAGGCATGATTAAACATTATGAGAGCACAGAAGAATGGCTATTTTCTTTGTAAGCCTGAAGCCTTATCTAAAACCAATTGTCAGCAAGGCAGGGGTGTGGGTCTTGTGATCAGTGAGACAAGAAGAAAAAAAAAAACGTGAAAAAGGAACTGAGTTCCTTTTCTATTCTATCTGAGGTTACTCCCCACTGCACCCCCGGCACCTGACATTGTGAGAGGCATTTGAACCAGAGTGACTCCATCTTGAATAGGGGCTGGGTAAAATGAATCTGAGACCTACTGGGCTGCATTCCCAGGAGGTTAGGCATTCTTAGTCACAGGATGAGATAGGAGGTTGGCAGGACTGGTATCACAAGATACAGGTCATAAAAACTCTGACCATAAAACAAGATGTGGTATAGAAGCCAGCCAAAACCAAGATGGTGAGAAAAGTGACCTCTAGTCATCCTCACTGCTCATTATACTCAAATTATAATGCATTAGCATGCTTAAAGAAATTTCCACTAGCACCATGACAGCTTACAAATGCCATGGCAGTGTTCAGAAGTTACCCTATATAGTCTAAAAAGGGGAGGAACCCTCAGTTCCAGGAATTCCCCACCCCTTTCCCAGAAAACTCATGAATGATCTACCCTTTATTTAGCATATGATCAAGAAATAACCATAAGTATACCCAGTCAGCAGCGCGTGCCGCTGCTGTGTCTATGGAGTAGCCATTCTTTTGTCTCTTTTACTTCTCTAATAAACTTTATTCTATGAATTTGCCCCCAAATTCTTTCTTGCGCAAGATCCAAGAACCCTCTTTTGGGGTCTGGACTGGGACCCCTATCACCATGCCTGGCTCAAGAAACATTTGTTGAGTAATGATTTATAGTGACTTTCTATGTGCTCATGTCTCACTCTTGTTCCAGTACCTGTATGCTAAGCAGCCATGCTACTGTCCTTCTGTGCTTCCCTACATTCCAAGTTCAAGGGGACAGGATGGTTTATTGTTTCTTAAGTGCTTGTCTTTCTGGTCCTGTTTACATGCATCATTAGCCCACAGGAAAGCACTCTGTTACAAATGACTTTAGAAATCACAATCATTAAAATTGAAAACTTCCATTTAAGCCAGACTACCCCTTTGTGATGTTAAAAGTGTTGCCTCTGAGCTTCCAACCCCCTCTCTATGAGGCCTATTCCAGCTTTTAACCTACCGTGGGTGCGGGCTTTTCATTTGGAGCCTCTTGTGATCTTCAAGCTGTAATTTTCGCAAGCAGGGCCCTAAAGCTCTTTAATTTTTTTGTTTACCAGAATTACTCATTTCATTTTTGTATGTGCTTGGTAGATGAATTTTCTGTGGCATCTTACAAAATAAGGCCATAATACCTTATGGCATTAAAAAAAAGTTGGGGGGGGAGCAAAACCACCACAAAAAAATTAACTGAACAATTAAAATATTTAAATTAGTATTAGAAAGCTTAAATGTAGGCAACAACTAAGTCATCTCAAGCACATTCAACAGGAAAAAGTAGAAAACATACTAGATAAGAACGTCAGAGAATGGGGCAAGGACTGGGGGAGGTGAAGGAGGTGCAGAGCTGGATCCTGTCTTTATTTGAAAATTTGATTTTGTGTTCAAATGTGAATTATTTCATTTTGATTTTTTTTTTTTTTTTTTTTGAGACGGAGTCTTGCTCTTGTCGCTCAGGCTGGAGTGCAATGGTGCAATCTCAGCTCACTGCAACCTCCGCCTCCCGGGCTCAAGCAATTCTCCTGCTTCATCCTCCCAAGTAGCTGGGATTACAGGCACGGGCCACCATGCCCAGCTAATTTTTGTATTTTAGGTAGAGACGGGGTTTCACCATGTTGGCCAGGCTGGTCTCGAATTCCTGACTTCATGATCCGCCCGCCTTGGCCTCCCAAAGTGCTGGGATTACAGGTGTGAGCCACCGCACCTGGCCTAATTTTGATTTTTTAAAATAATACTACATTAAAATATTACTGATCCTTCTTCAGAAGTTAAAGAGAATTACATATGACACAGCAATTCCACTCCTAGGCATACACCCCAAAAGAATTAAAAACAGGCATTCCAACAAACATTTGCATGTGATTGTTCATAGTATTAGTCACAATAACCAAAAGGTGAAACAAATTGTGGTATATTCATACAATGGAATTTTATTCAGCCATAGAAAGGAATGAAATTCTGACACATGCTACAACATGGGTAAACCTTGCAAACGCCATGCTAAATGGAAGCCTGACTGACCAGGGGCTCTTGGGCTCTCAATGCAATAGAAACTGACATGGGGCCAAAAGACTTCCCAGACAAAGCACGCGAAGGGTAGAGGATATAGGTTAGCATCATCTGGTTGTGATGATCATCTCGAGTAATGGGCCACCTGGTGGTCTGGCCAGCGGCAACAAGGCTGTAAATCAATTAATTATTCAGCATTCCCTCCCAAGATGGGACACTCTGCAATCTTGGTTCCCTATTTGGATCTCCTAAGGCCAGTTCCTGGAATTGTTTAAGTAAAAGACATGGTTAAGCATTATGAGAGCACAGAAGAACAATACAGAAAGGCCATTTTCTTTGTATGACTAAAGCCTCGAGGTTAGCAGGTATGGTGTCAATGAGGTAGTAGTATGGGTTTTGTGATCAGTGGGAATGCATGAAAAAATGCTCTAGTGGGGGTGAGCCAAAGCCAAGCCCCCCTTCCTACTGTCTCAGAAGAAGCCAGACACAAAAGACCACATATATTGTGTAATTCCACTTATATGAAATATCCAGAATAGAAAAAGCCACAGAAATAAAAAGGAGATCAGTGGTTGCCAGCGGACAGGTGGAGGGGAAGATAGGGAGTGACTGCTAGTGTGTACAGGCATTTATTTTGGAGTGATGAAAATGTTTTGGAAATAGTTAAAGGTGGTGGTTGCTCAACATCAGTGAATGCAACCAAATTGTTCACTTCAAAATGGTTAATTCTATGTTACGTGAATTTCACGTCGATTAAAAAATATATATACAGGTTGAGCATCCCTAATCTGAAAATCCAAAATGCTCCAAAATTTCAAAATTTCTGAATGCCAACATGACGCTAGAAGTGGAAAATTCCATAACTGATCTCATGCCAGAAATCACAGTCAAAATGCAGTCGAAACTTTGTTTCATGCACAAAATTATTTAAAATATTGTATCAAATTACCTTTAGGCTATGTATATAAGGTGTATATGAAGCATAAATGAATTTCATGTTTAGTCTTGAGTCTCATCCCCAAGATATCGCATGTATATGCAAATATTCCAAAATCTGAAATTCAAAACACTTCTAGCCCCAAGCATTTCACATAAGGGATACTCAGACTGTATTGCTGATCTTGATTCCTGAGTTTTTTGGAGCCCCCTTAAATTTTGTGCCTGAGGCAAAGCCTTACTTGCCACCCCCAAGTCTTGGACCTATTCAATTTTACTTTTACCAGGAAATAAACAGGGTGAGAAACTGCAATGATCTTGGACCACACACAAATCTGTGGCTGAGTTCCAGGTAACACAGTGACTCATTTTCTTACTCAAAATTACTTACAGCATGTTCCCTGCCATCCTTTCCATACAACACAGCAAAGGCACAGTGACCTGGACTCTTGCTCGTCATCCTAACATCCTGATCCGCTGGACAAAACATGAACACACTTTCTCCCCAGTGAGGTTGTTGGGAAAAATTTAATCAGCTACAGATATTTTAAGTACCAAAGGCTGCCTCTGGAGGGAAAAGAAAACTACCCCTCTGGTTCTGGTTGACAGAAGTATGTATTATCAGATTCCCTGTGAGGCTTTACATCCCATGTTTGCTGGAGAACAGAGGGATTCTCTAAGAGTGTAGTGATTTCTTCAGATAGTTCCTTCATCTTGCCTTCAATTATTTCAGAGGCTTAAAAGAAAAGAATATAAATATTAGCAACACCAGGAACTGAATAATACAAGTCTTTCAATATCTCCAGCTAACCTTTGCACCATTTTGGCTTGCTCCAAAGGGTCTCCATGTTTGAGGCAAAACTAAATAGACACAGCTTTGCATCTTCCCTGATAAACATGAAGAGACCTCACAGGAAAGCAATGAACACTTTACAAGTCTTCCAAAAGCTGCTGTCTCTGCTAAAGAACAGCTTATACAAGTCAAGGCCTGCCATAATGCCTAGGGCAATCCAGGCACTATCTGCCACTGAGCATAAATTTACTGAAGCTATCCAGGCTGGTATTCTCTCTAATAGTGCATAATAGAGCAATGGAAAAATAAGCTGCCCTTGGACACTAAGCCTGTCTCTTGCATCTCCCTACAAAGAAATCAAATACTATTTTATTTTATTTTATTTTATGTTTTATTTTATTTTAATTTTATTTTATACAAATCCAAGGAAATCTGCTCTTCTATGAGTGGCCTAGACCAGGGATCAGCAAACTGTTTTTGTAAATAAAATTTTATTGGAACACAGCCATGCTTGTTCACTTACATATTGTCTATGGTTGCTTTCCTGCTACAACAGCAGAATTGAGTAGTTGCCGCAGGAACTGCATGGCTCATAAGCCTAAGATATTTACTCTCTGACCTTACAGAAAGTCTGTCAACCCCTGGCCTAGACTATGATGACTCTAACCACAACAGCCCCCACATATACATTTATAGGTGTACTTATATTTTTTTTTTCCTGGCCCAAGGTGCATTCCATTTTCCCCAAACACTAACTCTGTCATGGGCTGTCATGCGTGTCCTGCTAACTGTGCCAGTCAAATGGGAGTATCTCAAAGGGGCAAGATCCTGTGAGGCGAGTCCTATAATACCCGCCTCTATACCAAGATGACAGCTTGTCCATGAGAGAAATGAACAATCCTCGAAGATTCCATCTTACCCTCACAGGCAGTCCCCATTATTCCCAGTCATGTATTCATTTCAGCTTATTTCCAACTCAGCTATCCTTGGCTCTGAAAAGCTGTCATCACTGGCATCACTGTATCTATCACTAGATTAAAAGAGGAACTAATTTAGCAAGGTATAAAAAAAAAACCTGGACAATTATTCAATTTGCAATTTCAAACACATTCCATATTAACCCCTTAGTATGAGAGAAAATACTAAAGAATATTCTTTTAGCACTTTCTAGTCACCACAGGAAGAGGTCAGTCCAATCACATGCAATGGCCTCTTTCTTTGGTCAGAGAAACTGATCACTTATTTTCATCGTAAACTGGAAGTTACTTATTCAGAAAATTAAAAACGCATTTCAGTTTAGACTGAAATTTATAATCTTCTGAAGACCACTGATCATTTCTAAACTTTAATAAAAGCCTTGAAAGTAGATTGCCTTCCTGCCACCTTAACTATTGCTTGCTTTCTACTAGAGGTGTTATATTAACAAACTGATTTAAAATGAAAGCCTGAGTTGATGGACCCATTTATTTTCTGTGAATCTACTCTTGTCATACTAGGGACTAAACCTCAGTCCATCTGAGGTTGAGCATCACTTAGTCCTACTCCTACTGATGTCAATTTGTTCTTCAATGTAATAACATAGCATACGATATTACCTGGATCTTCAGTTTGTTTTTTTCATTCTTCATTCTTCTGATGACAACTGTTTCCTTTGGCAATGAGGGAGTTCAGGACACACTACCCCAAAATATGGCATCTTGGCATATTGCGTATGGCTCATAAGCCTAACATATTTACTCTCTAACCTTACAGAAAAAGTCTGTCAACCCCTGACCTAGACTATTATGACTCTAACCATAACAGCCCCCACATATACATTGCATGAAGCGGAAGGAATTTGAGACAGCATGTGCAAGAAGTTCTCTCTGACCTTCCTCTGACCTTCCCCCACTGAAGCAGGTCATAACACCCCGGAAGGATTTTCTGACCTTCTCCAAGCAGGTCAAAAGGCCCTCAGGTGAGAGGTACCCCCAACCCCCATACCCAGAGGAAACGAGTATCCTTATCTCTGAAGACACAGGATCCCAGGGAAGAATCTGAATAAACAGGCCTTGCTAAGTTCCCCTACTATATTACCATGAGATCACACTCTTTTTGCTCTATTATAACTCTCCATGACTCTCTACTCTTCATCAGGTCTGTTTTAGAAAGACCAGAGTTTACCTGTTTCTTTGAATCTTCATTTCCTTATGAAGGTTCCCATAATACTTACATTAAATAAATTTGTATGCTTTTCTCTGTCTCTTTTTTTTTTTTAAGAAATGGGGCTGGAGTGTGTGTGTGTGTGAGTGTGGGGAGGTGGTGCCTCACTGTTGCCCAGGCTAGTCTCCAACTACTGGCCTCAAGGGATCCTCCCACCTCAGCCTTCCAAGTAACTGGAATTATAGGCACCTGCTATAACAGGGATTATAGGCACCTGCTGCTGTGCCCAACTGTATGCTTTTTGCTTGTTAATCTGTTTTTTTGTTATCAGGGCCTTGGCCATGAACCTATGATGGGTAGAGGAAAAACTATCTTTTCTCCCCTCTAGCAACATGAAAGGACTAGAGAACAGTGAACACAGCTGTGTATCCCTGATTACATTAGCGAAATGCTGTAATTCTTTTCAGCTGCAGTTTGGCTTTTGGCTCTGTGTTTTAAGGACCACAGCACCTCCCTAGATCCAGATCTGTGCTGGCCTCCGTGCTTGAGAATCACAGCACCTCCTCATTACGGAGGAACTAGTCATCTACGATCAGCAAATTGCACAGGAGCTTGAACTTGGTGGTCATGAGGACTAAGACGTGCATATTGGCTCAAGACCCAGAAAACACCCTGCAGTGACATAAAAAATGTTAACGCACTCTCTACACTTGCCTTGAAATGTTATCTCCTTCAGATCATGTTTTCATTATGATTTTAGGTCAGCAGCGTGAAAGTTTTCCCTTCCAACATTCTCATAGGTCCAAGAGTTGGAGAAATAATTTTCACAATTATGCAAATTTCAAAATTAGAAATATATGGAATGCCCTGATTACCTTGAGTCACAGAAAGTATTCAAAATAGGACCAATTATTGACAAATATCGCCAGGTTGGGTTGCCTTAGAAATACCCCTTCCCCATGAGATAGCTCTGCAACTCAACTTTCACTCTGAGCTGTGGGGTCTGTTTGTGGTTCCTTTTACTCAGTTCCAAATAAATCAGCACACTGATCTACTCCACTAGAGTTCTACTGATCTATGGAGATGATATTACAAGGAAATGTTTCATGCCTGACCCATCCCCAGTCTTGGCCAAACTTTTGCTGATTTATAGCAATAAAAGTCTGAATTCCCAGCCAGGTGCGGTGGCTCACGCCTGTAATCCCAGCACGTTGGGAGGCCAAGGTGGGCGGATCACGAGGTCAGGAGATCGAGATCATCCTGGCTAACACGGTGAAACCCCAACTCTACTAAAAATACAAAAAATTAGCCGGGTGTGGTGGCGGGCGCCTGTAGTCCCAGCTACTCGGGAGGCTGAGGCAGGAGAATGGCGTGAACCCGGGAGGCGGAGCTTGCAACGAGCCAAGATCGCGCCACTGCACTCCAGCCTGGGCGACAGAGCAAGACTCTGTCTCAAAAAAAAAAAAAAAAAAAGTCTGAATTCCCTAACAGGTGAAATTTTACTTTTTTTTTTTTTTTTGAGGAAAGGGAACAATTGGAGAAACCCTATGCTGATAGACTAGAAAAGGAAGATTTTACTCTAAACATGCTAAGTGAATATTAATAAATAAACAAAATCACAGACAAATCTGCATAGGCAAAAAGACAATCTGTTTCCTGATTTGCATGCTCACTTCCTTCTCTGGCTTTTGAACAAAAACAGCGTAGGTGGTGGCGGGGGTGGGGGGAGCACTAGAATAAGGAGAGGAGATAGAAGATTCAGAACTGGCAGAAAAGACAACATATGTTAGATAAACATATAAAACAACATATCCTTAAAACCAATCAAGTAGAAAGATACCTCCTACTTAGACTTTAGTTCAGAGAAATCCCTTCTACTGGTACATAGGAATAACTGAAGAATATTTGGAGGAAAAAAAAAACAACAGCCAAAAAAGCTGATACATCCTATTCATGCACTCTCCCTGCTCAAATGGAGACTCCTTCCTCGTTCTATGCAACATTTTGTGTCATAGAATTAGCCAAGAAAGGGGATTTGGAAGTTGCACTCAACTTCCTATCTGAGATGACATGAAGGTCAAGGACGTTCAAGTGACTTACTTGGCACATAGATCCTTCAAGGTGAAGCCAGAATCCCCATTATACTAGCTCGGGGCACAGGGTAGGGTTTAAGCTGTGCCACAGGTAGGGCAGCAGGACCCACTAGGGCATGTCCCCTAACGCAAGTGACAAGGGCCAAAGGACTGAGGGAACTTCATTTCCTTGCGTGCCAGATTTTACACCCACTTCCTTCCCCATCTCTAAGCCTGGGGAAGAATACAGTGGGCTCATATCTTCCCCCCACACTCCTGGTTATACTATTTATGAGCCACGTACCTTTGGACAAGTCATTGACTTCTGAGTCTAGAAAAAATGGCAATAATACCTCCAAACTCACCAAAATGTTTTGAGAGTCAAAAGAAACTGTATAAACTTGCTCTGAAAACTATATAAAAACATAAGATGTTGCTATTGATAGGGGTTATATATTCATAACTTGGTATCTCCTCAAACAGTCATGGAAACATAAAGAACCAATAAAAACTGCTAAGTGTATGATTTTCAGGATTGTTTCCTATGCCAAGTATAATTTCCTACCCACATTAGCAAGTGGACTTGGGCGGGCCTGTTTCTAATCTAACAGCTCTCATTTCCTATCTGATGGCTGTCTGCCCCAAGCTCTGCCAACACATCCAAATGGCACAGGCTGAGTTTAACAAAATGAAGTTCAGCTTGAATTTATTCATCTCCAAGCTTAATGACTGGGTTCACTAATTGTCTTTCATATGTTCAGAGACTGGCGGTAGGACAATAAAACAAACCATGACACTCAAGAACACAATTATCAAAATATACGTTACTGCTGAACTTGCTGATTTTAGGACGTTCATCTGCCAATAAAAAACAACTGCTAGAAATAAAATGTGGGTCATCTGAATGCAGACCAACAGTGGCTCTTGCACATGCAATAAAATGTGAGTGCACTCTGTGCTGCATATGCGCCGTGAGCGCTACTCTATGCCGGGTTCATTTCTGTTTCACACAGAACAAACTTAAGTCATAAGCTAGATGTGTCTGGGTATATTTTCATTTAATTCAAGATATCCAGCTCTATCTTAGGACTAACCTATCTTTTTCAGCAATCTTTTACACACACACACACACACACACACACACACGTTTCTCACAGGGAAGAATTATCATATATTAGAGTCTTGCATGTTAAATTTTATGAAGTGGTATAAAATACAGACATGTCCCTATGTGTCTTGTTACATTTGAAGAGAGGAAATTTTTAATTAATTTATTTATTTAAGATAGTGTGTCTCGCTCTGTCACCCAGGCTGGAGTGCAGTGATTTGGGCTCACTGCAACCTCCACCTCCCAGGTTAAAGCAATTCTCCTGTCTCAGCCTCCTGAGTAACTAGGATTACAGACACCCATCACCACGCCCAGCTAATTTTTTATATTTTTAGTAGAGACAGGGTCTCCATGTTGGCCAGGCTGGTCTCAAACTCCTGACCTCAAGTGATCTGCCCGCTTCGGCCTCCCAAGAAGAGGGGAAAATTTTTAAACTGCACTGTCCAATATGGTAGCCACAAGCCACAGTGGCTATCTAAATTTAAATCAGTTAAAATGAAATAAAATTTAAAATTCCATTCCTCATTTGCACCTGTCACACTTCAAGTGCTCAGTAGCCATGTGCGCCTAGTGCCTACCATATATGGTAGTGCAGATTATAGAACATTTCTACCAGCGTAGAAAGTTATATTGGATAGTACTGATCTAAAAACAAATGAATAATGATTTTTAAAAAGCAAACTACAGTCACCATGCAATGGTCCTTGTCATTTCCTTAAAAAAAATTTTTTTTGAGACAGGGTCTTGCTCTGTCACCCAGGCTGGAGTGCAGTGGCACGATCACAGCTTACTGCAGCCTCCACCTCTGGGCTCAAGAGATCCTCCCACCTCAGCCTCCCGAGTAGCTGGGACTACAGGCACATGCCACCGTGCCCATCTAACCTTTTATTTTTATTTTTTGTAGGAATGGGGTCTCACTATGTTGCCCAGGCTGGCCTAGAACTCCTGGACTGAAGCAATACTCCCGCCTCAGCCTCTCAAAGTACTGGGATTACAGGTGTGAGCCACCATGCCTCGCCAAAAGTTTTTTTTTGTTTTTTTTTTTATTATTATACTTTTAAGTTTTAGGGTACATGTGCACAATGTGCAGGTTAGTTACATATGTATACATGTGCCATGCTGGTGCGCTGCACCCACTAACTCGTCGTCTAGCATTAGGTATATCTCCCAATGCTATCCCTCCCCCCTCCCCCTAACCCACAACAGTCCCCAGAGTGTGATGTTCCCCTTCCTGTGTCCATGTGTTCTCATTGTTCAATTTCCCACCTATGAGTGAGAATATGTGGTGTTTGGTTTTTTGTTCTTGTGATAGTTTACTGAGAATGATGATTTCCAATTTCATCCATGTCCCTACAAAGGACATGAACTCATCATTTTTTATGGCTGCATAGTATTCCATGGTGTATATGTGCCACATTTTCTTAATCCAGTCTATCATTGTTGGACATCTTGGGTTGGTTCCAAGTCTTTGCTACTGTGAATAGTGCCGCAATAAACATACGTGTGCATGTGTCTTTATAGCAGCATGATTTATAGTCCTTTGGGTATATACCCAGTAATGGGATGGCTGGGTCAAATGGTATTTCTAGTTCTAGATCCCTGAGGAATCGCCACACTGACTTCCACAATGGTTGAACTAGTTGACAGTCCCACCAACGGTGTAAAAGTGTTCCTATTTCTCCACATCCTCTCCAGCACCTGTTGTTTCCTGACTTTTTAATGATTGCCATTCTAACTGGTGTGAGATGATATCTCATTGTGGTTTTGATTTGCATTTCTCTGATGGCCAGTGATGGTGAGCATTTTTTCATGTGTTTTTTGGCTGCATAAATGTCTTCTTTTGAGAAGTGTCTGTTCATGTCCTTCGCCCACTTTTTGATGGGGTTGTTTGTTTTTTCTTGTAAATTTGTTTGAGTTCATTGTAGATTCTGGATATTAGCCCTTTGTCAGATGAGTAGGTTGCGAAAATTTTCTCCCATTTTGTGGGTTGCCTGTTCACTCTAATGGTAGTTTCTTTTGCTGTGCAGAAGCTCTTTAGTTTAATTAGATCCCATTTGTCAATTTTGGCTTTTGTTGCCATTGCTTTCGGTGTTTTACACATGAAGTCCTTGCCCATGCCTATGTCCTGAATGGTAATGCCTAGGTTTTCTTCTAGGGTTTTTATGGTTTTAGGTCTAACGTTTAAGTCTTTAATCCATCTTGAATTGATTTTGGTATAAGGTGTAAGGAAGGGATCCAGTTTCAGCCTTTTACATATGGCTAGCCAGTTTTCCCAGCACCATTTATTAAATAGGGAATCCTTTCCCCATTCCTTGTTTTTCTCAGGTTTGTCAAAGATCAGATAGTTGCAGATATGCGGTGTTATTTCTGAGGGCTCTGTTCTGTTCCATTGATCTATATCTCTGTTTTGGTACCAGTACCATGTTGTTTTGGTTACTGTAGCCTTGCAGTATAGTTTGAAGTCAGGTAGTGTGATGCCTCCAGCTTTGTTCTTTTGGCTTAGGATTGACTTGGCAATGAGGGCTCTTTTTTGGTTCCATATGAACTTTAAAGTAGTTTTTTCCAATTCTGTGAAGAAAGTCATTGGTAGCTTGATTGGGATGGCATTGAATCTATAAATTACCTTGGGCAGTATGGCCATTTTCACGATATTGATTCTTCCTACCCATGAGCATGGAATGTTCTTCCATTTGTTTGTATCCTCTTTTATTTCATTGAGCAGTGGTTTGTAGTTCTCCTTGAAGAGGTCCTTCACGTCCCTTGTAAGGTGGATTCCTAGGTATTTTATTCTCTTTGAAGCAATTGTGAATGGGAGTTCACTCATGATTTGGCTCTCTGTTTGTCTGTTATTGGTGTATAAGAATGCTTGTGATTTTTGTACATTGATTTTGTATCCTGAGACTTTGCTGAAGTTGCTTATCAGCTTAAGGAGATTTTGGGCTGAGAAAGCAGGAAAATCCAAAACTGACACCCTAACATCACAATTAAAAGAACTAGAAAAGCAAGAGCAAACACATTCAAAAGCTAGCAGAAGACAAGAAATAACTAAAATCAGAGCAGAACTGAAGGAAATAGAGACACAAAAAATCCTTCAAAAAATTAATGAATCCAGGAGCTGGTTTTTTGAAAGGATCAACAAAATTGATAGACCACTAGCAAGATTAATAAAGAAAAAAAGAGAGAAGAATCAAATGGACGCAATAAAAAATGATAAAGGGGATATCACCACCGATCCCACAGAAATACAAACTACCATCAGAGATTACTACAAACACCTCTACCCAAATAAACTAGAAAATCTAGAAGAAATGGATAAATTCCTCGACACATACACCCTCCCAAGACTAAACCAGGAAGAAGTTGAATCTCTGAATAGACCAATAACAGGAGCTGAAATTGTGGCAATAATCAATAGCTTACCAACCAAAAAGAGTACAAGACCAGATGGATTCACAGCCGAATTCTACCAGAGGTACAAGGAGGAATTGGTACCATTCCTTCTGAAACTATTCCAATCAATAGAAAAAGAGGGAATCCTCCCTAACTCATTTTATGAGGCCAGCATCATCCTGATACCAAAGCCGGGCAGAGACACAACCAAAAAAGAGAATTTTAGACCAATATCCTTGATGAACATTGATGCAAAAATCCTCAGTAAAATACTAGCAAACCGAATCCAGCAGCACATCAAAAAGCTTATCCACCATGATCAAGTGGGCTTCATCCCTGGGATGCAAGGCTGATTCAATATACGCAAATCAATAAATGTAATCCAGCATATAAACAGAACCAAAGACAAAAACCACATGATTATCTCAATAGATGCAGAAAAGGCCTTTGACAGAATTCAACAACCCTTCATGCTAAAAACTCTCAATAAATTAGGTATTGATGGGACGTATCTCAAAATAATAAGAGCTATCTATGACAAACCGACAGCCAATATCATACTGAATGGGCAAAAACTGGAAGCATTCCCTTTGAAAACTGGCATAAGATAGGGATGCCCTCTCTCATCACTCCTATTCAACATAGTGTTGGAAGTTCTTGCCAGGGCAATTAGACAGGAGAAGGAAATAAAGGGCCAAAAGTTTTTTTTAAAGGTCTATCTACCATTAATGAAAATCACAGCAAATATCTCTTATGCATGCGTGTGCCTCCCAAATCATGAAAACTCTCTTTTTAAAAAGTATTTTATGGTACCATTTCTTGCAAGACAAAACCAAAATCACCAGCAGCAACACAGAGGAATCACTATACTGACAAGACTTTACCACAATGGTCAACATGTAGTTCTTTTCTTTTTCTTTTTCTTTTTTTTCTTTTTTTTTTTTTTTTTGAGACAGTGTTTTGCTCTTGTTGCCCAGGCTGGAGTGCAATGGCGCAATCTCAGCTCACCACAATCTTCACCTCCTGGGTTCAAGCGATTCTCCTGCCTCAGCCTCCCGAGTAGCTGGGATTACAGGCATGTGCCACCACGTCTGGCTAATTTTGTATTTTTAGTAGAGACAGGGTTTCTCCATGTTGGTCAGGCTGGTCTCAAACTCCCAAACTCAGGTGATCCGCCCACCTCGGCCTCCCAAAGCGCTGGAATAACAGGCGTGAGCCACCGCACCCGGCACCCCCCCCCTTTTTTTTTCTTTTGACACACAGTCTCACTCTGGCACCCAGGCTAGAGCACAGTGGTGTGACCTTGGCTCACTGCAACCTCTGCCTCCCAGGTTCAAGATTCTTGTGCCTCAGCCACCCAAGTAGCTGGGATTACAGGAATGCACCACCATGCCCAGCTAATTTTTGTATTTTTAGTAGAGACAGGGTTTCGCCATGTTGGCCAGGCTGGTCTTGAACTCCTGACCTCAAGTGATCCGCCCGCCTCGGCTTCCCAAAGTGCTGGGATTACAGACCCACTGTGCCCAGCCAACATGTGGCTCTTGACAAACGAAAGGTTTGTCATAGTGAAGTTTGCTTGTCAAGGACTTCTGGCTCCCAATAAATTCCCAACATAAGAAAACAGATATTCCAAGGTGCTAGGGAAAGGGTATAGCAATGCCTCATATAGCCCACCTTTACGCTACCCCAAGGCAGCTGTTAAACCATTTCTTCTCCATTAACAGAAAGAGGTGGTTGGAATTTAAAGATTTTAATGGCATAGTTAGGATTCCCAGCATGCATGAGTTCCTTACAATACTTTATATTAAAATCCGTTTCCTGTGAAACAGCATGTTTTAAAAACAGATTGTCATGAACACAGTTTTCCCCAAAGCAGTATTACTACTATACTTATTTCCTTCATAAAGGGCCCCTGGAAGCCATAAAATATAAGAACAATGGAACAAAAACTTAGTCTGCTTTGAATGAGTTTTATATTTCATAGTAAACAGTAGAATACCACCCAGGCAGGGTGGTAAAAGCACACGGTAGTCTGTAGTACTATTAATTCCATTCGTGTCTGGCACCACACCATCCACACTGCAGTGCACCGTGATCTGGTTAAAAGCACCTTTTAACCAACGTTTATCCCACCCCAAGGGAAGGTGTACTCAAATGTGGTTCATTAACAATAATTTACCCTAAAAAATATCTCAAGGTATGGAGTTGAAGTCAAACAATCACAGGGGTGAATGGTTTTCTAAAATGTTTAAAAGAACAGTTCAAAAGAAAGCAAAATAGAATCTTTTGTTAATTTCAGTTCACTTTTGCTTGAAGTGTAACAAAGCGGGGAAAGTGGCATTTTGATAGCAGTTGAGTTTATAAAGCACCACCTCAACTGTCCCTCACAGCGGCCCTAAGGAGGAGAATCAGCAAGTTTAGGAGTAGTGACTTGGACAAAATTACTCAATAAGCAGCAGACGCAGAAGTAAAATCCATAGCATCTACCCTACTTGTCAATAGTGTCCCCACAGAAGTAAAATATTTTTGCACCACATGGTGCAAGAATGGCCCCTGGCAACATCAACCATGCAACTCAAAGTCAAAAAGCAAAGTGATTCCAAGTTTGAAACAAAGCGATTCCAAGTTTCAAGCAGTGCTGGAAACAGAATGTCGGATTTGTGCAAGGGAAAAGAGTACCTTGCTCTCCAAGTCCAAGAGAGAGCAGAGCCACGCAACGTAAGAGAAGCATGCCTGGGAGAGTGAAATGCACCCTCTGTGAACAATGGAGGGAGCCACTCTCACCTGCAATTCACCTAATAATTCACCTCCGATTCGCCACCTTGTCACCTCCGATTCACCTTGTTCACCTAACGAGTCCGTGAACAACCATTCTAATAGGATATAGATCCCTATTCCCCTCTCACTAAGCAGGTCAGGAATGTGTATCAAGACACAACAGGCAAAACCCTCTGGGGAGTTCAGGGAACTGCAAGCTGTTCCATATGGATTTGTGTGCATTTTATCCTATAAACCAAGGGAAGCCATCGGGGGGGGGGGGGTTTAAGTTCCAAAATAATGTGGGGAGATCATTCCAACCGCAGAAGACGGATTGGGAGGAAGCAAGCTGGAGGCAGAGAAACCAAGTAGGAGGCTTTGCAGTAGGCAAGAGATAGATACTGGAACTAAAGGAAAAGTAATAATAATAGCATCATCATAATAATTCCCATTTAAGTTCCTACCATAGACCAGGCACTACGCTCAGTGCTTTACATTTAGTGTGAAACTTAATCTTCATTTCTGCCATGTCAAGTGGGGACTATTACCATCCCCTTTTTATAAAGAAAGCAATGCACAGAAGAGCAAGGTCACAGCCAGCTGGGAAGTAAAAGAGCCAGTTTGAACTCGGTTGACAGCTAGAGTCCTGACTCCGGGCCATACTCCCTTGCAGCATGGCAGAAAATAGACAAAAGATGGAGTGAATTCCAACAACAGGAATTGCCAGCACCTGCTGACTATGAGCAATGGGGATGAGGGAGGAGGAATCTGAGCTTCCCCAGGGGAGTCCAGCCAGGTCACACTGTGTGGGTGATGGTACCACTTGCAGGAAGATATTAATCTTAATGTTAGTTAATCCTGGCAACCTGGGAGCATTCCCTGGGTACAACCACGAAAGAGAGAACAAGCTCTAATGCCAGCATTTCCCACACTGCTGGGACTGTGCGCTTGCAGGTCTGTGCCCTTTCCTGGATGGGAAGGTCTGTAGCTGAAGACCCCTAGAAGAAAGTCTATGGATGCAGGGGACGGGGGTAGCATTGGGGGTATGAATGTAAGGAAACTACAAAGTGGTATGTTTGGGCAGTTTTCCAGGAAGTGGGCCCACAGCTTTGATCACAATCTTGGAAGTCTGTCACCTCCCAAAATTTAGAGAACAGTTATACTACCTGATGAGTCCCCAGGTCAGGGAACATGTTCTTATTTAAGCACTTATTCAAGCACCCAGCACAGTGGCTGGGATAGAATAAGCTTTAACATAGGGGGTGTGTTGAGTGAATGGTGAAGTGTGCAGCCATTAAAAATGAACTTCATGCAACTTGGAAAAATGCATATGAAGTGTTAAGTTCAAAATACAAACTTCTGTAATTAATAAAGAATTTATGGTGCTATTCTGAAAACATATGAATATTCTGTTTCTTACAAATTTCACCCAGTGGCTTTAGCATCCACTGATGATCCTTATTTGAATCCATTATTACATCAGAGATGACATCTACATTTTTAATTGGCTTTTCTTTTTTCTTTGCTTTTGTATTTTCTTAGTATTATTATGGACTCATGGAATTTCAGAAAATGAAATGTGTTATAATCTAATACTGTCATTGTTCTTTTTGATGTTCAAATTGTCCAAAATAAGGCCAGTGGGTGCCCTTTCAAGCTGGCTTCTTTGACCTTGGAAAACTCATACCCCTTTCATTTTCAGCTGTTCCTTGCTTTAAATACAGCAATATGTTCCAGGCTCATCTTGTACTTTTCCTGCCCCAGTCCTGGAATCAACCATTACTTCCAGGAGCCCTAGTTCATTTCAAATTTTTGGTATTTAAAAACCAAAATGGCCTGGCGCGGTGGCTCACACCTGTAATCCCAGCACTTCGGGAGGCCGAGGCGGGTGGATCACGAGGTCAGGAGTTCAAGACCAGCCTGGCCAAGATGGTGAAACCCCATCTCTACTAAAAATACAAAAAAATTAGCCGGGCATGGTGGCGGGCACCTGTAATCCCAGCCACTCGGGAGGCTGAGGCAGAGAATTGCTTGAACCCGGGAGGCAGAGATTGCAGTGAGCCGAGATCATGACACTGCACTCCAGCCTGGGCAACAGAGTGAGACTTGTCTCAAAAATAAATAAATAAATAAATAAATAAATAAATAAATAAATAAAACCAAAATGGAGAAAAATGTTCCTTTGCAAAGGAGATCTCCAGACCGTCACTGTATCACTCTTTCATCTTTTCTGTAGGTTTGCAAGTTTTCAAAATAAAAGAGTGTGGGTGTGTGTGTATATATATCTATATAGATAGATAGATACACTCACTATTATTACAGCCACAGAAAGAATCATATACAGGTATAGGCTCATAGGAAATATTTGAAAATGAGCACAGTAATTATGTTAGGCTGGTGGGTTTGTGGGTGCTTTTTTTTTCTCTCTCTCTCTTTTCTAAATTTTCTGTAATGCTACATGTAGAAGTTAACAGAAAACAAAACCATCCCAGGCTAGAAGTCAGCATGTTACTTAGCAGGAAAAAACCCCGATATATTGTCACAGAAGAGAGACCAGAGACAATGGTGAATGAAATGGGTTCCTTCTCACCCTGACTGTTGCCAGGACTCAACAAATATAGAGGGAAGGGCTAAGCACAGAGGAGAGAATGGACTTAGATCCTAGGGGCACACAAAGGAAAGAGGAAACGGAAGGAACTGGCTTCAGGTGTGTACTTCCTTTAAAGACTCTCTTATTACAAAGTAGTTTCGGCTTTTGGGTTTGGTCTGAAACAGTCAAGCAAATACAGTGAATCACTGAGTACCTTTCCCTCCTGTTGTTTTTGTACCACGCTGCTTCCTGTTTTGCCACAAAAAGATGATTTATCTGCACAAGAGACAGTAATTGCTGGATGGAGACATGGAATCCAAAGTTCCAAAACTAGAATAAAATGCTACTCAAATGACTCAAGATTCTGGTTTTATACTTAAAAATATGTTTCCCAAAAAGCTGCATTTCTGTGAACTGCAAACTGAACCCCATCTAAGTTTTTGCTTTCTGATATACATCAAGCACTGTCCAAGGAAGAGAGTTTTACTCTGATCTGACAAATAAAAACTGGAAGTTGTGCCTAAACTTGGTGTGTAGTGATTGCTCCCAAGAGCCTTGCAGGCAGCCACAGAGACACACATGCTAGAAAACAATCTATGAACTTTAGACTCTGATCCTTCTCTCCTTACTTAAAAATGGAATTCTAGGCCTCAGGCCAGGCACATTGGCCCATGCCTGTAATCTCAGCACTTTGGGAGGCCAAGGTGGGCGGATTGCTTGCGCCCAGGAGCTTGAGACCAGCCTGAGAAACAAAAAAAAAAAAAAAGGAATTCCAGAAAGAGATTAGATGCTCTGTTTCTAGATTTAAACAAGCAAACAAACAAAGAAAACTTGCAATTACAAGCA
Organism: Homo sapiens; assembly: GCF_000001405.40. Taxonomy (NCBI): domain Eukaryota; kingdom Metazoa; phylum Chordata; class Mammalia; order Primates; family Hominidae; genus Homo; species Homo sapiens. The sequence continues at coordinate 16,604,738 of NC_000023.11, forward strand.
CCTTCATATTCTCCTGAAATGTATTTCTTATAATTACATGAAGCAGTCTCATTCTTTTACATTATGTGTCAGCAAGACCATGCAAATTTGTGGTTGCCTTTTATACGTGAGACAAATTGTTTAGACACCAGAGGAGAGAGATCAGCAAAGAATTGCAATGATTTATTTAATGGACCATTATTTCCCATTTGATTTTTTTATTTTCAAAATGGTTTGTTAGTTAGACTCGTGTAAAAAAAGAGTTAACAGCAGGCTTGAGGCTGCTATCTTTCAAAGGGCCTGCTTGCAGGGTTAGTTCTTGGCTGGTGTCCGGGAACATGGCTTTCGGAATGTGTGCTCCATTACTAACTGATAAGGTCATTTTGCTGGGCTTAGGCTGTTTATACAATGTGATCTATGGTGAACACCTGCTTTCCCTCTGGCATCTGGAATTTTGGTGGTTGCTAGGTAGAAAATGCCTATGTGACCAGCCCTCGAAATATCCCTAAACTCTGAGCCTCAAACTGGCTCATCTGGGCAGAAACATCACATAGGCATAGTTGCATTTTCACTGCTGGAAGGAAGGCGAACTCGACGTGACTTATCACAGGAGAGAGATCATAGGAAACGTGCAAATGAATTTCTCCAGACTCCACTTATCTTTCCCATTACTGATCTTGCTGTGCATGTTTACTTTGCCACCATAATAAATATTAGCTATAAGGCCGGTCGCGGTGGCTCACACCTGTAATCCCAGCACTTTGGGAGCCCGAGGCACACGGATCACCAGAGGTCAGGAGTTCAAGCCCAGCTTGGCCAACATGGTGAAACCCCATCTCTACTAAAAATACAAAAATTAGCTGGGCATGGTGGCGGGTGCCTGTAATCCCAGCTACTCGGGAGGCTGAGGCATAAGAATTGCTTGAACCCGGGAGGTGGAGGTTGCAGTGAGCCAAGACCACATGATTGCACTCCAGCCTGGGCAACAAGAGTGAAACTCCATCTCTAAATAAATAAATAAATAAATATTAGCTATGAGTACAGCTATATTCTGATTACTTTCAGCAAATCACCAAAGTGTGGGCAGTCTTGGGGGGACCCCCTAAACAAGACTCTTATTTTGATTTTGCATGTATTTTTAAATAGCTCATAAAAACCTAAAAAATACTGTCCTGAAGCTATTGTGCCCTTGAACTGCCCACTACAAGCCTAAAACCAGGTGAAATTGGTCTTCCTAACTGCTGCCATTCTGTAGATAATGAAGTAGCTGAGAATTTAGCTCACTAGCTGTAAATCCCAAAATAATAGTCTTACTGCAACTTCCCAGGCCCTAAAAGATAAATATTCTCCGCTAGGCAGAATGCGGAGGTTACACCTCAGGTACGCTTAACTCAAAGGCAAGGATTTTTACACTCCATGCTTTAAAGACATTGGCCGTACACGTGCCATACAATTGAATATCATCAGCGCCAACTTCTGGGAAAGGAAGTCATTATTCTAGTGTTCATATTCCTTGTCACATTGTTTAGGGTTGATTACAAGCAGTAATCTTGTTTGTCAGAAATACAGCCCCAACTCAGCTCACATTAGAGCCTGGCATCAGAGTAGTCATTTGCTTTTCAAAGCTCACTAATCTCATGGAGCTGGGCAGAGAGGAGTTGAAGTGCAAGGTTCCTCTGGAATCCTGGTGTCTGTCACTGGATTAATTCATAGTCACCACCCTCTGTCAGAAAACTCTCTGAAATGTGTCAAGATTTGACTCCCCTGCTACCTGCATTCATTACTTTAATGGGTAATAAACAACCCCTGTGTGTAAGGGAGCCAGGGAGATAAAGATAAATAAGATGCTGGCTGTCCTTAAGGAATGTACCAATTTGTGGTTGATACACGTAGGAATTCCCTCAGTGTCATGGAAGCCTACTAGTCAGCTATAATTCCAATGCCAGCATCAGAGCTTGGTTAAGAGGTCTTTCCTTCTCTCTGAGACATACTATATCTCACTCAGGAGTCACTAGCAATCAGTCAGTTTTTTCAGAAACTACTAGGAAGCCTTTTTTTTTTTTGAGACAGGGTCTCCCTCTGTCGCCCAAGCTGGAGTGCAGTGGTGCAATCTCAGCTCACTGCAACCTCTGCCTCCCGGGTTCAAACGCTCCTCCTGCCTCAGCCTCCCTAGCAGCAGCGTGTGCCACCACGTCTGGCTAATTTTTGTACATTTAGTAGATACGGGGTTTCACCATGTTCGCCAGGCTGGTCTCGAACTCCTGACCTCAGGTGATCTGCCCACCTCGGCCTCCCAAAATGCTGGGATTACAGGCGTGAGCCACCACACCCCGCTGGAAGCTCTACCCAGAGACCACCACCCGCCATGCGGGAATTGGCAGGCCATACAACACACAGGTGGGCAGTCCACACGAGCCAGACAGGATTTGTATATTAGTTGGTATTTGCAAACAGCCAGATAGTTATAAGTGAGTTATTTCTCCCAGCCATCTAACTTGTCCCACTATCACCTTCCTTTCAGTGTGAGAATCTAAAATAACGGGAATTGTAAAACGGCTGCAAAGGGTCACAGCCCACATCTGACATGGGACCACATTAGGATGTCCAATCAGTGGCATAAGCTGTGCAGTCTCAGAACACAGGAAGCTCTTCTTCAGATGAAATCTCTCTTGCAGAACCATGGCACATGAGCCAGATAAAGTGGAGCTGCTCAGCTGAAGCAGGAAGGAGCCCAGAGCCCCCATGGCCTGCTCCCGCAGCAGCCCAGACTCCAGCTCCGAGAGCACAGTTTGAAAGTCAGTGCACTGAAAGGGGTGAACATCAATACAGTAAGATGCCCAAAGTGCAAATTATGTGAAGCTGTTCCCATATGAACACATGGTGAAAGGAAATGCTAGAGAGCTGTGAGCTTCTCCTAGCAGGTAATGACACAAATAAGTAGGGTTGTGTAACAAGCACACACGTGCACACCACACACAGATCCTGCCAGCCCTCAACAGCAACACTGCGAGGGTTGTTTGCCAGAATGAGGGTTGGCAGTGGTAATCTTCTGAACAACATATATCTGGTTATTGTGGTAATAACCCCTACCAAAGTCTATGATATTCTGGATGGTTGCTTCTGCTTTTCAAGTTATTAGGTACGATATCCTTGGATGAGAAGAAAGAAAAATAAACTCTCCCCAAACTAGTATTGAAATGTAATGAAATTTTGGCGGGACACGGAGGCTCACGCCTACAATCCCAGCACTTTGGGAGGCCAAAGCAAGCAAATCACTTTAAGGTCAGGAGTTCGAGACCAGCCTGGCCAACATGGTGAAACCCTGTCTCTACTAAAAAATACAAAAATTAGCCAGGCATGGTGGCACACACCTGTAGTCCCGGCTACTTGGGAGGCTGAGGCAGGAGAATCTCTTGAACCTGGGAGGTGGAGGTTGCAGTGAGCTGAGATTGCTCCACTGCACTCCAGCCTGAGCAACAGAGCAAGACCCTGTCCCTAAATAAATAAATAAATTAATTTAATTTAATTTAATTTTAAAATCCCTAAGGAATTTTTTATTCAAACTTGATTTTTAAAAAGCATTGTACAGGCTGGGCACAGTGGCTCATACCTATAATGCCAGCACTTTGGGAGGTCAAGGCAGGAGGATTGCTTGAGGTCAAGAATTCAAGACCAGCCTGGACAATATAGTGAGACCTTGTCTCTACAAAAATAATAAATTAAAAAAATTAGCCAGGCATGGTGGTGTGTGCCTGTAGTCCCAGCTAATTGGGAGACTGAGGCAGGAGGATTTCTTGAGCCTAGGAGTTCAAGGCTGCAGTGAGCTATGATTGTGCTACTGCACTCCAGCCTGGGTGACAGAGCCAGACCTTATCTCTAAGAAAATAATAAATAAATAACAGTTTGCCTGGAGGAATAGCAAAACACACTAAACATGTTAATAATGGTGGGAGTAGGATCGATAAGGTCCTGATTTATAATAATGCTATGAAAATGAAAAGGATGGCAAAGGTTCAGGTGTAAGAGATAAAATCATCAATGGAACAAAATAGAAATCCCTGAAACAAAGTCAAATTACTCAACTCGTTGACAATTTGGCAGGGAAGTAGGGAGCCAAATCCCAACCTCACAGGTTTCACTGAAAATAAAATCCATATAGATTATAGATTTAAACTATGAAATTGAAACCAGAAAAATGCTAGAGGAAAACACAGGGGTTATTATTTATATAATCTTTCCATAAGGAAAGATGTTAGGCATGAGAGTAAAGGCAGAAGCCACAAAAGTAAAATATTTGACTACATACATTTTTAAAAAACATAAAAAAGGACTAAACTCTTTAGGGAGAACAAAACTACCATTAACAATTTAGAAGGAAAGCAAAATCACTTTGAAAAATATTTGCAGCCTAACAAAGGATTAATGACCTTTATACATAAAGAGCTTACCAATCAGTAAGGAAAATAATACAATACCAAAATGAAGAAAAGATATGAACAAACTATTCATAAAACAAACAGCCAATAAACATATAAAAATTCATATATATTAATCAAAGAATCAACAAAAGACAATCTTTTCACTTATCAAAATGAAAAAAATTTCTAAAATAATACCCAGTGTCATCACGATTTGGAAAGCTGACACATTACTACCGTAGGTGTGATTAAATCATTTTCACAAAGAGAAGAAAATTATGTTTAAGAGAAAAAAACTGATTCTTCACATTTAAAAATTCTATAGTGGTATTAATTTTTGTAAGAAACCCTAAGATATTAATAACTATGCATCTTGGTTTATTGCTAAGAGCAGTAAGCTGGTTACCTGGAAGACAGTTTGCAACCCTGTTGCAAGTAGGCATTCAGGTTCCCAGTTGCTGCAAGTAACAGCCCCAGATACGGAGGGGAAGGCTTCATCGGCCTAGAAGAAAACTCAGGATGGAACTGGACACCAACAAAATAAGGATGATCTGAAATGAGAACAATCACGATGCGATTAAAGCAGACAAACAGGAGAACTGCTTTAAAGATCTTCTTATCTTTGAATATGAAAACTCATTAAATGGTAAGATGATTCTTTAACCTGTTATCATTACAGCCAGTTACTTTCACTATCCATCCATTCCTTCGTGGAATTTCAAATTGTAAAACACATCTTGGAAATTTTATGTGCGGAAGGTGTCAGAGTGAGCAAAGTCAAGCAAAAATTTTTGAATGGCAAGAAGAATTCCACTTTCCCCAAATCTGCCTGCTTTTTGAAGGCACTTTGTAGATTTATGTTGGTTCAATTTCCCTTGGACTTTAGGCTAACCCTGGGTCTTTCTTTCTTTAGGTGGCTTCAGGCCATTTCCTGCAAGGTCTTCTCCTTTCCCAGGGTAAGTGTCCCCTGGGATAAACCAGCACAATATCAACCCATTGGGCTACCCTTGGGAACCCAACGAGGACAATTGCTTTTCTAGTCACAGCTTTAAGTTGGGTATTACTCATAGCACCACAAAACTGAGCATTTTTTGAACAAAGTGATTCAGAGCAATGATCCATTCATTCAAATATCCTGTCCCTGGCTATGACTCAAACTAAAGATAATAAAATATAATAAGTTTAAGAGGGGGAAGTAAATATAACTTTAAAGCTTTCAATGAGGTGCTTTATCAAATGATCTAAAATCTAGTATGGAATTCAAAATCACAAATTCCCATCACTTACCAGCAAAGATCCAAAGCTACTACTACAGTAATAAGGAAATGATGATTGAATGCAAATGTCTACTTTCTTAAGGTAATCATTTAAAGCCCTGCTAGAACAGCTATTATTAAAAAAGTCAAAAAACAGCAGATGCTGGCAAGGCTGTGGAGAAAAGAAAACATACTGTTGGTGGGAATGTAAGTTATTTCAGCCACTGTGGAAAGCAGTTTGGAGATTTCTCAAAGAACTTAAACCAGAATTACCATTCAACTCAGTAATCCCATTACTGGGTATATACCCAAAGGAAAATAAATCATTCTACAAAAAAGACACATGCACTTACATGTTCATGGCAGCAGTATTCACAATAGCAAAGCCATGGAATCAACTAGATGCCTATCAATGGTGGAATGGATAAAGAAAATGTGGCACATATATACCATGGAATAGTATGCAGCCATAAAAACGAAACCATGTCCTTTGCAGCAACATGGATGCAGCTGGGGGCCATTATTCTAAACGAATTAACACGGAAACAGAAAACCAAATACTGCATGTTCTCACTTATAAATGGGAGCTAAACATTGGGTACTTATGGACATAAAGATGGGAACAATAGACACTGGGAACTACCAGAGGGAGGAAGGAAAGGGGAGTGCAAGAGTTGAAAAACTATCTGTTGGGTACTCTAGTCAGTACTTGGGTGATGGGATCCATACCCTAAACCTTAGCATCACACAATATAACCATGTAACAAATCTGCACGTGGGCCAAGCACAGTAACTCATGCCTGTAATCCCAGCACTCTGGGAGGCCAAGGTGGGCAGATTTCTTGAGCCTAGGAGCTCGAGACCAGCCGGGGCAATATGGTGAAACCCTGTCTGTACAAAAAATACAAAAATTAGCTGGGCGTGGTGGCGTGCACCTGTGGTTCCAGCTACTTGGGAGGCTGAGATGGGAGGATCGCTTCAGCCCAGGAGGTGGAGGTTGCCATGAGCCATGATAATACCACTGCACTCCAGCCTGGGTGACAGGGTGAGACCCTATCTCAAAAACAAAAACAAACAAACAAAAAAAACTGCGCATGTACTCCCTGCATCCAAAATGAAAGTTGAAATTATTAAAAAAAAAAAAAAAAAGCTCTGCTATAGAAAATGGTAGCCACTAGCCATATGTAGCTACTTAAATTCATTAACATTAATTCAGCATTTGAAACATGTTCAAAGTTACATGTGGCTAGTGGCTACCATATTGGATAGGGTGGACTAGTTCTATCATTGCAGTGAGTTCTATAGGACAGCTCTGATCCCAGAAAAATCCAGTGAGTTCTATAGGACAGCTCTGATCCCAGAAAAATCCAGTGTAGAAATCCTCTACATCTAAGAAGAAACCTCCTTGAATTAGAGGAATATGCAGGTAAGAAAGCCTGATAAGGGGAATGCCACCTTCTCCCAGGAATGTATTCCCTCAAGAAACGCAGAGAAATCATCCGCACTTAGAGAAGAAATTAAGCAATGTAGCTTAAAATTTAAGAGACAATAAATCTTACTGCATAACATCTAGGGACATCTTTGAAAAAAAAGCAGACAGTAACTGTGCTTTTGTATCACTACAGACAGATGCTGAGCAATGTAATCATGTAATAGCCAGGGACAGACTATGTGAATGAATGGATCATTGCTCTGAATCACTTTATCCAAAAAATCCTCTATGCCAATATGAGGAGAAAGTAAAAAGTTTTTATTTTGATGATGTTCTATCAGTTAGATAAAATTATCTTTAAAATAATGCTGTTGATTGCTTTAAACCAAATTCTGACATTATATAATATTAATCTCAAGCTTTGTTGTTCCTCTCAGAACCCTTCAGGAACAGTGGAGATTCGTGGATATGTTTCCAAGGGGTATCTAAGATCAAAATCTTCTGGGGAATTTTCCTTAATAACTGCTTGCAGTCCGCTTTTAAAAACTGCAAGGTTTTATAGCAGCTCTCATTTCCTTTTCAATCCACATGAAATTTGAAAGCCCCAGTGGGAATCTAAATCCTTATGATGAAAGAACCTTCTAAGTATTTGATGACAATAATGACAACCAGAAGAATTAAAAGTGAATAAGTACTTAAACAAAGTAAACAAATAGTAATTTGCTTAAGAAATTTTCTGCCTTCTCACATGCTAGGAAGATTTAAGAGGCTTCAATACCAACAGCGATCCACACTTTAATTCTAAATGATGGGCATTTCCATCAGAAAGACTCCTGGAAATGCGTACTTACTATTCTAATTCAAAACTCTAGGCATGAATTGATCATCTTAGGTAGAACGTGAAAACAAGAGAAACAATGAAATCCCACAGCAGTGGTGGCAGAAGGAGGTAACCAACTGGGTTTGCTCTTGCTGCAAAGGACTAGCTGGATGGCCCTGGGCATGTCATTTAACCTCTTTGCACTCCGGTGTCCTCTGTAAAGTGGGAATAGCATCATCTGCTTTGTTAGTTACATAAGGTATGCAAAGTCCCTAGCAAGAGGTCTAGTGACAAGCATCCAGTAAGTGCACACTGAATGTCCATTGCTTTCCTTCTTTCAGGTCTAGGTAAAATGCTACAACGTTCAAAGGAGCCTTCTTGGACTTCAATTCTCCCCTCTGCTCGGGACTCTGGAAGTACTTGAACAGATTAGAGACAAAAAGGAAAAGAGACAGAGAAAAGGCATTTGAAATGGAGAATAGTGATATGAGCTAAGACGGAGAAAGAAGAGGGAGGTTAGAAGACGCACAGGCAATCCAATTTATCTGGAGCCTAAAGCATATAGGCTGGAAATGCAGGTTCTGGAACATCACGGTACCATTTTTACAGTATCCTGCACACCCTTAGTACTCAATATATGAGAGTGGTTTATCCAACAAATTAGTGTCACACACTGCAGAGTTCTGTTCTTGTTAGGAGGTATTGGAGAAGGGATGGCTTGGAAGCAGGAAGGAGATTGAGGACAAGTGTGAGCTGGAGTTGGCATGCACTGGGACTAGTGTTCTAGGGATGGCAGTGCAATTCTAAACACCAGCTTTCTTTCCAGAGGCAGAATCTGCAGGACTTGACAACACACTGCTAGTTGGGATCTGAAGGGGAAGAAGAGCTAATATGTGAAATTTCTAGCCTGATAGTCTAGGAGAATGGTTCTCCACCAAATGTGCCCCCCAGGGACTTGCCTTTTTTTTTTTAAGATAGGGTCTTGTTCTGTCACCCAGGCTGAAGTGCAGTGGCATGATCATGGCTCACTGCAGCCTCAACTTCCCAGGCTCAACCTCCTACCTCAGCCTCCTAAGTAGCTGGGACCACAGGCACGAACCACCATGCCCAGCTAATTATTTAGTTTTTTGTAGAGACAGGATCTCACTATGTTGCCCACGCTGGTCTCGAACTTCTGGCTTCAAGTGATCTTCCGACCTTCGCCTCCCAAAGCGTTGGGATTACAGGCGTGAGCCACTGCACCTGGCTCTCCAGGGGCATTTGATGATGTCTGGAGATATTTTGGGTTGTCACAACGTGGGAGGTAGGGATGATAGTGGCAGTGAGTAGAGGCTAGGAATGCTGCCAAACACTCTACAACAGGGGTGTCCAATCTTTTGGCTTCCCTGGGCCACACTGGAAGAAGATGAATTGTCTTGGACCATACATAAAATACACTAACACTAATGATAGCTGATGAGCTTAAAAAAAAATTGCAAAAAAATCTCATAATGTTTTAAGAAAGTTTACGAAATTGTGTTGGGCCACATTCAAATCCACCCTGGGCTGCATGCAGCCCACGGACTGTGGGTTGGACAAGCTTGCTATACAGTGCACAGGACAGCCTCCACGACAAAGAATTATTCCACTCCAAATGTCAATCAATAGTGGCAAGGCTGAGAAACCCTGGACAAGGATATTGATGATATCTTAACAGAAACAGGAGAATGAACTAATTGGGAGACCATGTAAATTTAGTTTTAAATAAGTTGAGATGGAAGTGGCAACACAACATCCAAATACACAAACAGGTCAAGGAGGCACGTGAAAATGTTAAATTCAAGTTAGTTAAATGAAGTGTATATGTGTGAGTCTAGCCCAGGAGTTAGCAAATGTTTCTGTAAAGGGCCAATATTCTATAAAAGGTAAATATTTCAGGCTTTGTGAGCCATAAGGTCTCTTTCTTAACTACTCATCTCTGCCATGGTAGCATAAAAAACAGCCATGGGCCAGGTGCAGTTGCTCATGCCTGTAATCTCAGCACTTTGGGAGGCTAAGGAGGGAAGAGGCCTTGAGCCCAGGTGAGACCAGCCTGAGCAACATGGCAAAACCCTGCCGCTACAAAAAAAATTTAAAAATTGGCTGCGCATGGTGGCTCATGCCTGTAATCCCAGCACTTTGGGAGGCTGAGGAAGGAAGAGGCCTTGAGCCCAGGTGAGACCAGCCTGAGCAACATGGCAAAAACCTGCCGCTACAAAAAAAATTTTAAAATTGGCTGCGCGTCGTGGCTCATGCCTGTAATCCCAGCACTTTGGGAGGCCAAGGCAGGCGGATCACGAGGTCAGGAGTTCAAGACCAGCCTGGCCAACATAGTGAAACCCCATCTCTACTAAAAAATACAAAAATTAGCCGGGCATGGTGGAACATGCCTGTAGTCCCAGCTACTCGGGAGGGTGAGGCAGGAGAATTGCTTGAACCTGAGAGGTGGTGGTTACAGTGAGCCAAGATCGCGCCACTGCACTCCAGCTTGGGCAACAGAGTAAGACTTCATCTCAAGAAAAAAAAAAAGTAGCCAGGCAGGGTGATGCACACCTGCAGTCCCAGCTCCTTGGGAGGCTGAGGTGGGAGGATTACTTGTGCCCAAGAGGTCAAGGCTGCAGTAAGCCATGATCATGGCACTGCACTCCAGCCTGGGTGACAGAGCTAGACCCTGTCTCAAAAAAAATAAAAATTAAAAGCAGCCATAGACAAGACATAAATGAATGAGTGTTGCTGTTGTCGGAGCTCAGAAAATACTACCCTAAAGTAGTTTGAACTGAAGGTGACTGGGAAGACCTCCAAAGCAAGAAGGTCACTGTGATGTTTCCCCCGCCTTTCCATGTGAAAGCTGGCTATAAATAAATTATCTGACCTACCTTTCCTGAAAGTAGGTCATAAGACCCTCATTCCAGATGAGTCCTGCTCTAGACCTGGGGGAATGGGATGCTACACAGAAAGGCCAAGAAGAATCTGAGCAGACAGGCCTTTCTGGGTTTCCCTGTCAGTCTATTACCATTAGAGTATGCCCTTTTGCCCAATCACATTGCTACATGGCTGTCCACTGTTCATCAAACCTAAGCATACAAATGAAGTTTTCCCCAAGTCTTTGGGTCTTCATTCCTGAAGACTAAAGTGTCACATAAAACTTTGATTAAATAAATTTGTTATGCTTTTCTCTTGTCAACCTGTCTTGTTATAGGGTTGTTGGTCATGACCCTTATGATGGGTAAGAAGGTCACAGATAACACCTTTCTACCCCTAAACTGTGTTCCAATAAAACTTTATTTATGGATGCAAATTTGAATGGCATACACTTTTCACATGTCACAGACAGTATTCTTTTTTAAATTTTTTTAACCATTAAAAAATGTAAAAATCATTCTCAGCTCATAAGCTGGCTGTAAACAGCAGGCTGGACGTGGTGCACAGGCAGTAGTTTGCCAACCCCTGGGCTAGAACATCAAGACAAAGAGCTGAGACCAGCTGTGACCATGAGCTTACCATGTCCTTGCAAAGCTGACTGAGAAGAACACTGCCTTCTGTCTCATCAATAGTAAATGTGTAGTTTGTGCCTATGTGCTCACGGGTGTTCCAGCCTGGTTACTAACAACAACTTCGGTGTTCTTCCTCAATTCTGATGCCTTTATTTCTGTTCTGTTTGCTCTTAAAAACAACTCTGGGGGCAGTGATTAGTGTTCAGAAGTTAAATGACTGACCCGTGCTTGACCACCCAGCACAGTGGAGAAAGGCAGGAGAGGAGCCAGGTCCCTCAAGCAACAGAAATCAACATCAGTCACCAAAAATGAGGTGGCACTTGGCTATTCTTTCTCAAAAGAGGAGAGCAGGCAGGGTGCCACTCAACAGTGCCACTCTGCCTTTCCCAGAGCACCTAACCTAGAGGCTGGCACAAAGAAGTAGCCTCAGAAAGAGAGGAGTTGGTAAGGAAGCATACTACTTGTAGAACTGGTAGACTTGGAATAATACATCATTTTATGGTGGAGTCAGACTAATAGGCTCCAAAATGATCAGGATTATAAGCAGTCTGTTTTTCTGAGACAAAGTCTCACTCTGTCACCCAGGCTGGAGTGCAGTGACGCGATCTCGGCTCACTGCAACCTCCACATCCTGGGTTCAAGCGACTCTCCTGCCTCAGTCTCCTGAGTAGCTGGGACTACAGGTGCACGCCACCACACCTGGCTAATTTTTGTATTTTTAGTAGAGATGGGGTTTCACCATGTTGGCCAACCTGGTCTCGAACTCCTGACCTCAGGTGATTCGCCAACCTCAGCCTCCCAAAGTGCTGGGATTACAGGCGTGAGCCACCATGCCCAGCCAGCAGTCTGTTTTTTTCATGTACTTTGTAGTTACATATTTGTTTCAAAGGAGAGAAGAAAAGAAAGAATGCAAAAAAAACTGGGTCTCAAATTAGTCTGTGGTCCACAAAAAGGCAAGTTATTGGAAGGTTTTCAAAAATGAAGAGCCCACTTACTTGCCAGTTCAATGATTTCCATCCTGTCTCCATCAACATCCTGACCTACAAAACTTAAGTCATTCTGCTCAAATTGTTTGATCAGGTTAGGGTTTACCTGCAAAACAAGAAATTAAGTGTTTATGGGCCACAGTGCAATACCAGCTGCCATACCAGGTCCTTCATCAGTTGGGTGGGTTTTCCATTTCAGTGATCCTCTAACTAGTAGTTAATGTCTATATTCAATGCTCAAAGCCAATTTTAAACTAATGATGAACCTCAGATATAAAATGTAACCACAGCACCTAAATCTAGGAGGTGCCTTCTATTACCCAAAGGTGAGATTCAAAAAGTAGGCCCTGTAACCCAGACATTCTGACCTGGAACCTTGAGACTAGTTATTTATAGCCATTTCCATGTTTGCTTCTTCCCTTGAGTTATGTGTACTTCCCTATCTCTCCCCGAATCACAAATTTGCTTGAAGATTAAAACTATCCTATTTCCCTTGTGACTAACCCCAATGCTTTCTTTACATGCAGTTACATAAAAGCTCTAAAGAGAAGCTTGGAGCAAGTTTTCTACTAAAATATCCTAATAGATGGCAACTTGATGACCTGGCTTGTGGCCCTTTCTGGCCCCCATCTCACCTTAGCCCTTTCCCAAACCTAAGGACTCCTTTTCAGCCTCTCCTTCAGTGAAAGTGCTTCCCTGTCAAAAGTTAAGGTGGAGTCTCACCTATTCTTTGCAATCTTAACCTCAGAGCTTTTATTCTACATTTTAAAATTATACCAGTTCTCGTATTGTCATTATTTTTCCTTCCTTAACAGCTTTAAGACATAATTCACATACCATACAATTCACCCATTTGAAATACACAAATGATTTTTCGTATATTCAGAGGTGTACAACCATTACCACAACCAACTGAAAAACAAACCCTGTACCCTTTAACCTCATCCCCCAACCCCCCATCACCCTGACCCGATCCCCTGGCAATCACTAATCTATATCCCACATCTATAGCTTTGCCTATTCTGGTCATTTTATATTAATAGAATCATGCAATATGTGGGCTTCTGTATCTGGCTTCTTTCACTCAGCATGATGTTTTCAAGGTTTATCTATGTTGTAGCATAAATCAGTACTTCATTTCCTTCTATGACTGAATAATACTCCATTGAATGAATACACCACATTTTGCTTATCTATTCGCCAGTTGGTAGACATTTGAGTTGTTTCTGCCTTTTTGGCTGTTATGAATATTACTGCTATGATCATTCAGATAAAAGTTTTTGTGTGGACATACATTTTCATTTCTCTTGGGTATATATCTAGGAGTGGAACTGCTGGGTCATATGGTAATTCTTATGTCTAACTTTTTGAAAAACTTCCAGATGGTTTTCCAAAGGGGCTGCAATATATTCCATTCCAACCAGCAATGCATGAAGGTTCCAGTTACCCCACATCCTCTCCACTACTTGTTATTATTGTCTGTGCTTGATTATAGCCAGCTTAGTGGGTGTGAAGTGGTATCTTTTTGTGGTTTCAATACGCATTTCCCTGATCACTAATGATTGTTGGGCATCTTTTCATGTGCTTATTAGTCATTTGTACATCTTCTTTGAAGAAATATCTATTCATATCATTTGCAATTATTCATTATTGAGTTGTAAGAGCTCTTCATATATTTTAGATACAAGTCCCTTATCCAATACAGGATTTAATCTGTAATTATTATGTTATCTTATTTTTTGTCCTCTCCATTAGAATGTAAGCTCCCTAACAAGAGGGAGACCATGTCTGTCTTTCCCCTTTCCATCTCCAATGCATACCAGATGCAAAATAGGTGTGAATGAATGAATGGCTACGCTATTGCGTACGTACCAGTTCTTGCACCTTCTCATTGCCACTTAGCCAAAGCAGCTCAATAATTTTTATCCCACCAGTTGGGCCCGTTCCCAATGGAAATAAGACCAAAAATGTCCTACATGTACCAAATTATGTTCCTTGGTCATAGTGACACTGTTCATTGCCTACTTGGCATTGATTCCCACGAGTCCTCCTTCAAAACAGAGCCCTAGGCTTGTCCTGGTATCCACTCCACCCCTATATGAACCAGGAAACTCCATCTGTCCCATTCCAGAAACTGGTTCTAACTGGTCTAAGCCAAACATAATAAACCCAGCCCTCTTGGAAGATGAATATTGCAAGAACCCAGGTTTAAGCCCACTGATGTTCAGCATTGCCCTGAAAAATGGCTACTAGTTCACAGGTGGGCAGGTAATCTAAGTTGATTTCCCTGTCTGGAGAGATGCCTCTTGTCCCAGATGCTGCTGGCAGCCACCTGGGAACTATATGGGAGACCAGCTAAAGGACGAAGCAGACACACAGACAAGGGTAGGGCTGAGATAACCACAGAGACAACAGGAGCCCTGGTTGTGCCATGCCTGGAGCCTGTCCAGCCTCTGGACAACCTGGTGCCTGAGATAACAAATTTCCTTAATGTTTAGGGTGATTTGAGTGACAACAAGCAGGGATTTCTGTTCTTCACAGTCAAATGCATCGTAATTGACACACTCATTAATCCTGGCATAGACGATCTACATTTCGAGAAATCTATGTTTCTCATGTGGCAACCTCAACAATTAACTCCTTTTAGTCATGTGACGCTAAGCCTCAAGCTTAATGTAAATTTCCAAAGAGGTTCTCAAACTAATCACCCCCTGATACCCAGGGATGCACCCCCATCCCAAAAGGCACTTGGTTCCTTCTCAGAAGATTCAAGTCCTCTTTTCCACAAAATTGGCAAAATAAAGGGTGGGGGCTAAGGATAAGAAATGATGGCCTTATCATGATCTAGAAGATGGCAGTTAGAGTAACAAAGGGCATTGATAGGCCCCATGTGCAGGTACATAAAGATTTTGCCTTTGGAAAGCCAAAAACATGAGAGCCTCCGCCCCCCACTCCCCACCCCTGTCCCCTCGCCGCCCATCTCCTCTGGAAGTGGGAGACTGTGGGAAATTTGGTCCTCTCTGAGCCCTGTGAATACCACCAGGCTAGACACCTTTTCCAGAGGCTCAGCTTGTAATCACTGGGTTCCTCACACTAAGCATCCATATTCCCCAGTAATTCAGCATGAAAGCCGTACCTCGAACCGATGTCTGTGTCTTTCTTCTATAAAAGGAACATCACCATAAAGTTTCCCTGTAAAGATACAAGAGCGAGATTAATATTAGAGTAAGCAGCTTCACAAGCACATCCATGATGCTTTGTGGAGGCAAGTGCCTGGATCACTATCTATCTATCAGAGGACTAAAAATGAACTAATAGACTCCATATAGTCATCTAGATTTTCTTCTTTTCTAATAGAAGATGGCGATAGCTTCTTTGAAAACCTGAAGCACTTCTCAAGTAAGCCATCACCATTGCATAAAAGGAAGCCAGATGCTACACAAGTCCACCACAGAATCCAGCAGATCTGCCCTCCTTATATACACCTGCCTGCAGGACTAAGAGACGGCCATGTCTGCACTATCGCTTCAGTGCAGATTTGTAATGAGCCTCATTTACAAAGGAAGAAAACAAAACTGGGGGCAGGGAAGAGACTTGCCCAAAGCCCTGCCTTGCTGGGCAGCGGAGCCTGTTCTTGATCCCAGGCTTCCTCACACCTGGCCCAATGCTTTCTCCACTCCACCAGCTGCCTCCAGATTTTCACACCGTACTGGCCACATTCAAAATGTACTCCACCTTAAAAATGTACCTATCCTATGATCCTACAGTTGGACTTCTCAGAATTTATCCCAGAAAATAGAAATGAGGACAAAGACTTAACCACAAAGATGTGCACTGCTGAATTATTTAATAGCAAATAATTGGAAGCAAGCTGAGCATCAAGAATAGACAAACTGGTGGATTAAATGATAGCACATCTATGCCAACAGCTCTTAACCAGGGGTGTGTGGCTGAGAATCATCTGGGGAGCTGCCTAAACATGCCTACGTAGCTGAGGCACTGCAGCTAAGCACAGCACCCTGGGCATGACCAGTGTGGCGATGGGCACGGCGATCAACGAGCTGCCTAGTGACTTCATTGTCAGGTGAATAGGAGTCGGATCCATCACCAAACACCTCTCAAGAATGCTCCCATTGGGAACATCACACACCGGGGCTTGTCGGGGGGTAGGGGGTTGGGGGAGGGATAGCATTAGGAGAATACCTAATGTAAATGATGAGTTGATGGGTGCAGCACACCAACATGGCACATGTATACCTATGTAACAAACCTGCACATTGTGCACATGTACCCTAGAACTTAAAGTATAATAATAATAATAATAATAATAATAATAAAAAGAATGCCCCTACTGGAGCATGTGGAGAAGCAGGATGGTCCAGGGACCAAGTGGGCTCCAGCACTGGAGCAGTCTGAGAGGACCAGAGACTCTTCCTACAGCACTAGCCCTCAAAACGCAGATCCCAGGTACACAGCCAAGGGTTAAGAAGATAACAGTGCTGGAAGTCATGCTGAAACTCCAACAGAATCAGAAGCCATGCTCAGTTCAACAGGCAGGGAATTATCAGACTCTCAAAGACATCATGAGGCTGGAACAGGATGTTTCAACCAAGAAAAACCAAATAAATGCTTTCTTTGCATCTTGTTTGAGCTTTTGACTTGGATCAAGCAAACACAAATGGGTTGTATTCTCATATAACTTTGTACGATCAATGATCACAGCTGAACTTCTATTTGCAATTCTGTCCATATAGACTGAGCTCCCTGGTGACGATATGAATGATAGTGAATATTTAAGGTATGTATTTTAGAAAAAAGGGGAATAGTGGGGGCAGGGAGTTCCTTTGAGAGAATGCGAACATACCACTGGCAGGGGTCATTCAGGACAGCCTAAACTAAAACAACTGCTTCATAAAAATTAAAATAAAAATGGGAAATAAAGCACAATAACATACAGTTAGAAAACACAGACGCATCAGGAAGGCCGGGCGCGGTGGCTCACACCTGTAATCCCAGCACTTTGGGAAGCTGAGAGGGGGAGGATCACTTAAGGTCAGGAGTTCAAGACCAGCCTGGCCAACATGGTGAAACCCCATCTCTACTAAACAAAAATTAGCCCAGCGTGGTGGTGCGCACCTGTAATCCCAGCTACTCAGGAGGCTGGGGCACGAGAATCACTTGAACCTGGAAGGCGGAGGTTGCAGTAAGCCAGGATGTCACCACTGCACTCCAACCTGCCAACCTTGGTGACAGAGCGAGATGCTGTCTCAAAAAAAAAAAAAGAAAGAAAAAGAAAAAGAAAGAAAACATAGAAGCATCAGGAAGTTGCCTCAGAGGATCCTAAGTGTCCTATGACCTCTGACTTTGACATTGATCTTTTCCTCCTATAGTCCAAAATTTCTTTTCTGTTCCCTTCATTACAATAGGTGATTTGTAAATCCAATACTAGAGTCTGCCAACATTTCTCGAGATGATGGGGAAAATGGCACAAATCTCCAAATTAGGATATAAGGAATCGTATCTTCGAGTCAAGGGGACTAGCAGGATATCATGAGAATGTTTGAAACTGCATGGTTTCTGACTGCTGCCTGGCTTAAGGCAGACTCTGTATTTGCTAAGATATCTCAGAGGTGACAGAAAGGGGTAGGGGAGTGTAGTGACTCTGAAGTCAGACTTCCTGGCTTTAAATTCCACTGTACTATTTAACGGATGTGTGGCTTGGGCATATTATTTAACCTCTCTACCTCAGTTTCCTCATCTATAAAATAGGGATTATGATAGTTCCTACTTCATAGAGTTGTAAGGATTAAATAAATCAAAATATGGGAAGCACTGAGAACAGAAAGCGAACCATTTCAGTGATTGATATTGTTATCTCCAGACAATAAAATCCAAATGAATGGAACTAGAACATAAGCTATACGAGGTAACAGACAAAATAGGGACCTGACCCTTCAATTATTTTTTTAAATCTTTTATTTTAAATTTTTGTGGGTATACAGTAGGTATATATATTTAGGGGGTACATGAGATGTTTTGATACAGGCATACAATGTGTAATAATCACATGATGGTGAATGGGGTATCCATCTCCTCAAGCATTTATCCTTTCAGTTACAAACAATCCAATTACTCTCTCTTAGAGTTATTTTTAAATGTACAATTAAATTATTACTGACTATAGTCACCCTGTTGTGCTATCAAATAGTAGGTCTTATTCATTCTTTCTACTTTTTGAACCCATTAACAATCCCCACCTCCCTACCAGCCCCCCACTACCCTTCCCAGCCCCTGGCAACCATCCTTCTGCTATCTCCATGGGTTCAATTGTTTTGGTTTTTAGATCCCACAAATAAGTGAGAACATGCGATGTTTGTCTTTCTGTGCCTGGCTTGTTTCACTTAACATAATGATCTCCAGTTCCATCTGTGCTGTGCAAATGACAGGATCTCATTCTTTGCTATGGCTGAATAGTACTCCATTGTGTATAAGTACATTTTCTTTATCCATTCATCTGTTGATGGACACTTAGGTCGCTTCTAAATCTTGGCTACTGTGACTGGTGCTGCAATAAACATGGGACTGCGATATCTCTTTGATATACTGACTTCCTTCCTTTCGGGTATATACCCAGCAGTCATCCCCTCAATTCTTTTTTTTTTTTTTTTTTTTTTTTTTTTTTTTCTGAGACGGAGTCTCACTCCGTCGCCAGGCTGGAGTGCAATGG
Source organism: Homo sapiens (assembly GCF_000001405.40). Lineage (NCBI taxonomy): Eukaryota > Metazoa > Chordata > Mammalia > Primates > Hominidae > Homo > Homo sapiens. The sequence goes on from NC_000023.11 coordinate 16,623,868, forward strand.
TGCAATCTCAGCTCACTGCAACCTCCGCCTCCCGGGTTCAAGCAATTCTCCTGCCTCAGCCTCCCGAGTAGCTGGGACTACAGGTGTGTGCCACCATGCCTGGCTAATTTTTTGTATTTTTAGTAGAGACGGGGTTTCACCGTGTTAGCCAGGATGGTCTCTATCTCCTGACCTCGTGATCCACCCGCCTTAGGATTACAGGCGTGAGCCACCGCGCCTGGCCCATCCCCTCAATTCTTAAGACCAGCACCTAGCAGATAAGCAGGTACTCAATAATGAATTGTTGAATGAAATCAACATACAACAGATACGATATACAATGAAACATGTTTTCAGAACTTTGGAAATTCTATTTTATGCATTCAAAATCTTTCTTCATTGCTTACAAATCTATCAGAAATGAATTTACAAAATTAATCCATTGCTATACCTGTGAAAAAGGAAAAATTAAAATTTCCTTAAAAACTCTATGTTGAGAATCAGTTCAGAATGCTACCAATGAAATTCTATTTGAGAACATCCCGAAAACAAAATAAAACTAAGAATACTCATTCTGGAGCCCGGGTACCCCAGTACCATCGATTCTGATTTGATTACTCTCAGGAGAGTGTCTGGCCACGTGGGTTTTAAAAATGCACCACAAGTCACCCTGACATGCATTTCTGGTTAGAATCAACTAATCTACACCAACATTGAAAGTGCAGTATAAGAACATTCCACGACAAGGCAAAATGCTAGATACTGTTGAATGTAAAATCTAGGAGTAGAGTCAGAAACTGAGAGGTATACACACCACGTTCCTAAGAGCAGTCCTCTGTCACAGGTGCCATGAAATGATCCTAGGAATGGGGGAAAATCTCAACAACAAAGTGACTCAGTCTTTCTTTCTGTCCTAGTCTTTTTAGAGACAAAATAAAATGTTCACTTAAGAAGTAAATGTCAGCAAAGCTTTAGAGAAAGAAAACCAACAAAAGTCTTAGGACCTATAAAGCACTCCCAATGCAGGCAGAAAGACACCAAAAATGTGGATAAAAGGGTTATCAGAAACAAAAACCACCTTTCCAAATTATACCATCTCTTTCTCTAATTTGCTACTGGGTAAGATACTGCCTCATACATAATATATTTTTACCTGTTTAATGGTCCTGCCCATGCCTACCCTCATGTGAGTAATCCTAGCAACTGAACCTAATTTTTTCCTTTGTCCTTTTGAGAGCCAAAATATCCCCCCAAAAAAGCTACACAAGTTAAAAGGTGGAAGCAACCCAAATGTTCACTGAGGGATGAATGGATAAACAAAATGTGCATATCCATCCACACAATGGAATATTATTCTGCATTCGAAAGGAAGGAAATCCTGTCCCATGCTACAATATGGATGAACCTTGAGGACAATATGTTAAGTGAAATAAGCCACTCATAAAAGGACAAATACTGTATGATTCTACTTCAAGGAGGTATCGATAAAACGAGAGAGTTCCCTGACCCCCCTCACAGGACGTGCAACAGAGGTATGGCTCATCTGTTCAGCCACTGTGTGCACTCAAATCCCTTATGGGAGGGGGAGCACACAGACGGGCAGGTGCAGGATCCAGGGCGAACACTTTTGGGCTCCAGCCACACAGTAGTGTCTAGGAGTGGGTGCCTGTGACTCCGGAAACTCCACTGGGCTTGCTACAGTGCTCTTTTAGCTCTGCCGTCCATAGATGGCTTAAGTGTTAACCAGCTCAGTGCCTTCTTGGTGCCTGGGTTCTTGTCCGGAATTCAGAAAGAATCAGGTCACACATGGGCTTGAAGGATGGTGAATGCGGGGATTTTATTGAGTGGTGGAGGTGGCTCTCAGTGGGATGGATGGGGAGGAAGGAGATGGAGTGGGAAGATGATCTTCCCCTGGAGTTTGGCCGTCCAGCAGCCAATCTCCTCTCCAATGGTCCCCAGCCGGACTCCTCTCCATGTTCAGATGCTCCTTCTCTTCTCTCCTTCTCTGCCACACCACTCTTCTGCTCATGGAGCCTGGGGTTTGGGGTTTATATAGTACAGGATAGGGGGCATGGCGGGCCAAAAGGCAACATTTGGGGGTGAAAACAGGAATGCTTGTTCTTATTTAGGGCCACAGGTTTCCAGGCTTGAGGGTCGGGCCTTTGCCAGAGAATCGCCCTCTTCTGCCCAGTATTTCCCGGTCTCCTGTCCATATCATCTAGAGTAGTCAAACCCAAAGAGGCAGAAAATAGAGGCCAGGCATGGTGGCTCATGCCTGTAATCCCAGCACTTTGGGAGACCAAGGGGGGCAGATCACTTGAGGTCAGGAGATCGAGACCAGGCTGGCCAACATGGTGAAACTCCATCTCTACTAAATATACAAAAATTAGCTGGGCGTGGTGGTGGACACCTGTAATCCCAGCTACTCAGGAGGCTGAGGCAGGAGAATCGCTTGAACCTGGAGGCAGAGGTTGCACTGAGCCAAGATCATGCCACTGCACTCCAATCTGGGCAACAAAGTGAGACTCTGTCTCAAAAAAAAGAAAGAAAGAAAATAGAATGGTGGTTGCCAGGGGCCAGGGGAAGGGGGAGTTGCTATTTAATGGGTATAGTTTCTAGTTTTGCAAGATGAGAAGAGTTCTGGAGACTGTACAACAATGCAATGTACTTAACACAATTGAACTGTACACTAGGAAATGGTTAAGATGGTACATTTTATGTTATGTATATTTTACCACAATTAAAAATTTTTAAAATAAAAAACAAAAATCATCCAGCCCCACTCTTGTCCATGATGCCCTCTTGCTCTGACTCACCCTTTATTCAAACCTCCCACTCCCACCCTTTGCAACCTGGCTTTTGTTCCTGTGACTTTACAGAACTGCTCTCTAAAATCCAGCAGGTCTGTCTTCAGCTGCCACCCTTCCCCTTCTGTGACCTCTGCTCCTCCAGGCACTTTTTGCCCCATCTACCTGTTCATCATCCTCAACTGGGGACCCCTGCCCAAGACTGTACCCTCTTTTCTTCTCCCACATTCGCTCCCCTGGAAGCTATCACCCACATAGCTGTCCACTCCCATTCTATACCTTCTGATCCTTATCTTTCCCCCGGTGCCATATCTCCTATTTCCAGGGGGCTAAAGGCAATCACCCATAGCATCTAATACATTGGTACAAAAGTAACTGCAGTTTTTGCCATTATTTTCGACGGCAAAAACCGCAATTACTTTTGCACCAACTTAATAAAAAAGTAAAACCACTACCTGCTGGGCTTCATTACCTCTTTTCTTGGTAGAATTGCCTTGCTTTTACACAAATGTCCTTTTTGCACCAGTGTCTTAATTTACTTCACTTTTAAGACTACCTGCAACCATGCCTTCTGCTAATTAGGCATTTTAAGGACCAGAGCCCTCTCGTATGTGCAAGAATTTGCTGATGCTTATCTAATTCAGTGCTTATCTAATTCAAAGATCCTAAGAGGCTGCCCAGGGTGCAGATATTTGTTGTATTTCGCTTGCAGAGTGCTGGCAAACACACAATATTTTAAAAATGTAAATAAGTTGCCAACATTTAAACGTCAGGAGATTTTACATAAAACTCCAGATTTCCAGATTTTCTTGAAAATTTAGAAGACTGGCAGCAGTGAATCCACAGTTCTTGATACAACTACCAGCTGTGGAAGTCACTTCTTTGATGGGGCACATGCTTGCTGATTTGCCACAGTCCCTACCACTCCTTACTGCCTCTCTAACTCTAAGGCTCAGTGTAGCTGCTGCTGATTGTTGAGCTTAAGCTGTGGCATTTCTCACACCTGCCTGTCTGCATGCCCTACTGGCCTAGATGCTCAGTGCAAAACTGACTCAGTGCTTGTGTCTATCCTTAAGCTAAACCCGCGGTTTCAGACTGGCTTTCAGAAGAGGCCTGGGGTAGGGTCTTCGCTTTCTGCACCCCCTGCTCTCCACCCACCAGACACCCCCGAAACCTGCAAAACCTTTTCTCAGGATTCTCAGTGAGGGCAGCATCCAGCTCTGGGAGCTGTTTGGGTTTTTCTGCCTCTTCTTTGATTAAGGTCCAGCCGTTTGGTACAGTGAGGTGGTCAAAGAGTCAGCTCAATGACTTTCTAACAAGTGACCTGGATGAGTGACTTAACTTTGCTAAGATTCCTTTCTTTTGTGCAAAATGGTGGCTGGGTCCTAGGGGTGATGAGAGCAATGTCTTAATTACTGGTGTGCAGAAAGCACCGAGTTGCAGCCAGCCACAGCTGGCTCCTTTATTTCTCCTTTACTTTCTCCTATATTTCTCCTTTATTTCTTACTTTTGAATTTTAGAATGTCATTTCTCCAATTTTTATAAAATATTTCATTTCTTTTAGTATCTAAACTCCTCCCCCTTCCCTAATTTTATCTTCCTAATCTGCTTTTATCTCAATTTTTTAGTATAATACATCTGAGTTGAAAAATGCGTCTTTGCTTTTAACTCTATATTATAGCATTACATTCTTTTTCATCACTTTTTTTGTTCTTTTTGTTTTGTTTTTTAAAACGGAGTCTCACTCTGTCGCCCAGGCTGGAGTGCAGTGGTGTGATCTCGGCTCACTGCAACCTCCACTTCCTGGGTTCAAGTGATTCTCCTGACTCAGTCTCTCAAGTAGCTGGGATTACAGGCATGCACCATCACGCCTGGCTAATTTTTGTAGTTTTAGTAGAGACGGGGTTTCTCCATGTTGGCCAGGCTGGTCTCAAAGTCCTGACCTCAAGTGATTCACCCACCTCGGCCTCCCAAAGTGCTGGGATTACAGACGTAAGCCACCACACCCCACCTTTCATCACTTTCATTTGTTTTCCATTTAGTATTCTTACCTCATTCTTGGCATCTCTTTTCTTAGATCTTATGCATTGGCAAGTGGGGAGCTAGCAGCCAAGAAAGACAGAATAGAAATAACCTTGCAAGAGCAAGGGAAAGCCTATTCTTCCCTCCCACTCCCCTAGTGGGACCTCATTCTTAATGCCAGGTCACTAACCGACGTTTGCCCCAAGCTTTGAGAAGATCACAGGTCAATGCTCTCAAATATCAGCCACACTTAAACAGTGCCTTTTCTGTGCCAGGCACTGTTCTAAGGGCTCCCGCATATCATTTATTTAACCCTCACAAGAACCCCATGAGGCGGCGCTCTTATCTCTGTCTTTCAGATGCAGAAACTGAGGCGTGGTGCGGGTAAGTAGCTCCACATAGCCAGAGACTGAGAGCTGAGGCCCAACGGGCCTCTGGTGAGCAGTGGCTCCACAGGCTGGGCTCTTAACCACTCCACTAGTTCCCTTCGGTGAAGTGATGAGGACAAGTGCTTGTCTAGAGAGGGGGCAGGAATGCCATCTGTTGTTAGGATGAAAGGTGCTATGTCCCAGACCTATGAACCTCCATATTAACAAACACGCTTTAGCGAATGGTTTCCCCAGTAAAAGGCAAGAAGCAGTAAGAAGACAGCCACCCTGCAGTGTGGACCTGGGCTCTGGGGGCAGGCGGGGAGGCTCGCCAAGTGGTATGCAGCTCTCACGAAGCCCTGCCGTGCTCCTCTGGAATTTGTGTCTCAGCACAATGACAAATTACCATGGCATGGACTCAGGGTCCCTAAATCCCGGGCGACCTCTTTTAAACTGTTATGTAAATTACCTCATTAACTCAGTCGAGGATTTTTTTTTTTTACATGGTTTTTCTTTTTTTTCCCCTGCTCTAATGTTTCACGAACATTCAATGTTGGTTTTGGTTTTAATTTTTAAACTTCCTAATCTAATCACACCAGGAGCCAGAAGCTGTTTTTCCATATCAATGCTTTGATAAGAGACAAGAAAGCAAAAGCCATTTTTCTAGCCCCTGAAAACTTCTCCCCATTTCTTTCAGCTCTTTCAAATTTTAGACTTAACCACTCTGCATTTGCAATGCCATAAACTGTACCGGGACTCCCAGCACTGGGTCTCACTCAATATCTTTTTAATGGGCCTCGTGCCTCTGTTCTTTCCAAACAAAACACTTTTTCCCTTACATTAAAGCAGAACTGGTCGTTTTAGTCAAGTTCTTCTTCTTTAATACGAGGAAATGCAGAGAAGGTCCCTGAAAGGAATGAAGCCTTTTCTTAAAGCATTCCATTTCCACCTGCCAGGTCCAGAAGGCTTCACTCGTGTCTTGTATGCCAGAGTCATGTCATGCTCCTGCCGGCATCAACCTGAGGAGCTCTCCCTGGCCTCCTCTGCCAGCTGTTATCTGCCTGCATCAAACCTCACTGTCCTCATGTCATCTGCTCTGAGGATGAGGGCCAGCTTCACAGAACTCCGGAAATCACCAGGTCCTAGTCTCCAGTTGTATAAACTGCACTGCCCTGGGCTCCTAATTCCTTCAAGTTTGTTGTGTTGTATTTTTTTTTTTTTTTTTTTTTGACACAGAGTCTTGCTCTGTTGCCCAGGTTGGAGTGCAGTGGTGTGATCTCGGCTCACTGCAACCTCTGCCTCCCGGGTTCCAGCAATTCTCTTGCCTCAGCCACCCGAGTTGCTGGGATTACAGGCATGTGCCACCACGCCTGGCTAATTTTGTATTTTTAGTAGAGATGGGGTTTCTCCAGGTAAGTCAGGCTGGTCTCAAACTCCCAACCTCAGGTGATCCGCCCACCTCGGCCTCCCAAAGTGCTGGGATTACAGGTGTGAGCCACCGCGCCCGGCCCTGTGTTGTGTTGCATTCTTAACCGGACCAGATACACCTCCCTATAGGGAGCCCACAGTACAACCCCGTGCTCAAGGCCCACCTCTTCCCTCCTCTCTCTCCTCGAGCCTGTGGGTCTTCTCTGCACCCTTCCACCTTGTGGCATTCCCCTGCTTCTAAGGGTAAGTGCTCCCTAACTGTTTGGGTGCTGGTTTGGAGGGCATAGAGAATTTGGGAGCTTTAAATTAGGTTGATGGCTGGACAAAATGAAGAATAACATTTCATGCCACGTGAAAATGATATGAAATCAACTTTCAGCACCCATAAATAAAACTCTGTTGGGACACAACCATGCTCATTCACTCACATATTTGTCTGTAGCTGCTTTCACACCACAATGGCTGCAAAGCCAAAGATATTTACTATCTGGTCCCTTATTGAAAAAGTGTACAAAAGGCCATTGAGGATCTCTTGAGGCCAAGAGTTTCAGATCAGCTTGGGCAACAAAGAGACCTCATCTCTACAAAAATTTTAGGCCAGGCACAGTGGCTCATGCCTGTAATCTCAGTACTTCAGGAGGCCGAGGCGGGTGGATCACCTGAGGTCAGAAGTTTGAGACCAGCCTGACCAATATGGTGAAACCCGTCTCTACTAAAAATACAAAAATTAGCCAGGCGTGGTGGCGGGCGCCTGTAGCTCCAGCTACTCGGGTGGCTGAGATAGGAGAATTGCTTGAACCCGGGAGGTGGAGGTTGCAGTGAGCCAAGATCATGCCACTGCACTCCAGCCTGGGCGACAGAGCAAGACTCTGTCTCAAAAAAAAAAAAAAATTAGAAATTAGCCAGGCGTGGTGGCATGTGGCTGTAGTCCCAACTACTCAGGAGGCTGAGGCAGGAGGACTGCTTGGGCCCAGGAGGTTGAGGCTGCAGCGAGCTACGATCACACCACTGCCCTTCAGCCTGGACAACACAGTGAAACCCTGTCTCTAAAATAAAGAAATAAATAAATAAGTTTGGGGCTAGCATTCCTACTAAATTCACACACACCAGATTGTGCAGTATTCAAACATGTGAACTGAAATGGTCTGAAAAACATGTTCTTTCTAGCAGGTGGCAGTTTGGTTTGGAAACCACATTCAACACAAAGTCTTGCCTCCCTCGCTGGATGTCTTGGCAACACATCTGGGACTTGACCAAGCAAATTAAGGCCAGGGTCTTGTAATATTTTAGAGACACTATCAAGTTGTTGGCCATCCCTGAATGAGCTCTGAACCTTGTCTGAATTTCTTTGTGCTTTATTATGTTCCCATCTCTTGTGCTCTCAGTTGAGAGCCACAAGCAAAACAATAAAGTTTATTTTTGGAGTCTTAAAACCGTCTATTAACTTAGTTCCTCAGTGTTCCCCTGGCTCCCCTCTCACCTGAGCCTGATCCCTCCATCTTTAGCCACTCCTCATTCTACATTTCTTACTTTTCAAAGCACCCCACTTAAGACTTACCCACACTGTGCCACTTCTCCCTGCTTTTCAAAAATCGTCTAATGAGTTAATTAATCAACTAATAGCATCACTATAAGGAGACAAGCCCTACTATCTAACTTTCCAGATAGTATAAGCTTTTTTAAGGCCAGACACAGTGACTCATGCCTGTAATCCCAGCACTTTGGGAGGCTGAGGCAGGAGGATTGCTGGAGGCCAGGAGTTAAAGACCAGCCTGGGCAACAAAGAGAAACCCCGTCTCTATTTTTTAAAATTAAAAACTTTTTTAAAAGGAGAAAAATGAGTTTTTAAAAAATCGAGGTATAATTTACATGCAACTAAATATACAGACCTGAAGGTAGAGCATCAAGGAGTCTAACAATTGGGTGTTTCAAGAGTTACCTTTTTTTTCTTTCTTTCTTTTTTTTTTTGAGACAGAGTCTTGCTCTGTCACCTAGGCTGGAGTGCAGTGGCATGATCTCGGCTCACTGCAACCTCCGCCTCCCGGGTTCAAGCTATTCTCCTGCCTCAGCCTCTTAAGTAGCTGGGACTACAGGCACACACCACACCATGCCCGGCTAATTTTTGTATTTTTAGTAGAGACAAGGTTTCACCATGATAGCCAGGCTGGTCTCAAACCCTTGACCTCAAGTGATCTGGCCGCCTTGGCCTCCCAAAGTGCTGGGATTACAGGCATGAGCCACCATGCCTGGCCAAGAGTTACATTTTGGAGAGTGATTATAGCACTAGATGGGGGAGCCAGGACAGCATGTTTTATTAGAAGACTAGAAAATAACGTGGGAAGAGTGTCCAAGCCCTGGTTCTGACTCTCCCAACTGTGTGCCACTTCATCTCTCAGCCCTCCATTTCCTCAGCTGAAAAATAAGGAGGTTAGATCAAACGGCTTCTGAAAGCCCCCTTAGTCCTATTCTCTGTCATAAAATAGGATATGTATGCAAGCCAGTAGAGAAGTGGGGAGATGATGTCCTTCAACTCTGCCTAGGATGGGAGCAGCTCACTGCCTCATCCGTGGAGTTCATTCAACATGCAGTTCTTTTTCTTTTTCTTTTCTTTTGTTTTTTTTTTTTTTTTTGAGACAGGGTCTCACTCTATTGCCCAGACTGGAGTGCGGTGGTACAATCATGGCTCACTGCAGCCTCAACTCCCTGGGCTCAAGCAATCCTCCTGCCTCAGCCTCCTGAGTAGCTGGGACTACAGGTGTATGCCACCACACCTGGCTGATTTTTTAAAAATTTTTTTGTAGAGACAGGGTCTCACTATGTTGCCCAGGCTGAAAGGTTCTTGTTTGGACCAGAATTCAACAGACTATGGCCCAGCCCACAGTCATGGGATCCCCCTGACTGTTTCTGTTTGGCCCTTGAACTAAGAATGGTTTTTACATTTTAAATTGGTTGAAAAAATTAAATCAAAGAATATTATTTCATGCCACATGAAAATGATATGGAATCAACTTTCAGCGCCCATAGATAAAGTTTTGCTGGGACACAGCCGTGCTCGTTCACTCACATATTTGCCTGTAGCTGTTTACACACCACAATGGCTACAAAGCCAAAAATATTTACTAACTGGCCCTTTATTGAAAAAGTTTACCAACCCATAGTTAAGTCCTAATAAAGACTTCAGACCTGGGCACTATATACACAAGTAAATCAACATTCGAAGTAGAAAACGTTTTCACTTTTTAGCAATGAACAGAAATAGGGCTCTTTTTGTTTCCATTAATACAGCAAGAAGAAAAATAATCCTACCAAAAAGACTAGGGAAAGCAGGGACACAAGTACAGTGAATGTCATTATGACCTTGCTCAGCCCTTCTTTCCAACAGTCTGGCAGAATTATCAGTCATAAAAGTGTTCATACCCTTTGACCTAATAATCCAACTCCTGGAAATCTATACTAAGGAAATATTCAAAAGAACGAAAACACTGTGTCAGGATGTTCGATTCAGCATTTTTCTAACAAAATGCCAGAAACCATGTGAAGTGTTTTATCAGTAGGAAATGAATCAGCAGAATATGCCTCCTTAACGCGATTAAATACTATATGCACAGATCATAGACAGGAAGACCAGATACAGGAAAAAGTGATGCCACCAGAAAAGACTACATAAAAACTAATCTTGATGAAGTCTGGAAAAGACCATGGATATGCAGTTAATACTCAGATACAGGATTATAGATAATACAGTTTAGAAAAAATCTTCTTTCTTTTTTTAATTGACAATAATTATACATATTTATGGGGCACATAGTGATATTTCAATACATATAATGTATAGTGATCAAATCAGGGTAATTATTTTGAATCCTTTAACAAATCTCTCCCTCTTCCTCAAAATGTCTCATTTCTAAGGACCCTTGAATCAGCTTTGATAATTCTACACACACTGTCATTAGCCCTTTTATAGGAAAAGGCCTTTGCAGATGAAGACAACACATAGAACACAGGAAGGGAACTTCTAGGAACACACTGCTTATAAGTAGGGCAAATAATCATTACCAGTACTTTTGTCCAAATCAATTCAAACCTATAATCTCCACTTCAGAAAAAGTGAATTCATAGTTTTCATAACCCTTAAGGAATTAACAGGTTATTAAGAAAAAAAGAGGAATTGTTCTTGAATATAAAAGTTAGGCTCGGCTGGGTGCAGTAGCTCACGCCCATAATCCCAGCACCTTGGGAGGCCGAGGCAGGAGGATCACCCTAAGTCAGGAATTCCAGACTAGCCTGGCCAAGGTGGTGAAACCCCACATCAAATAAAATACAAAAAATTAGCCAGGCATAGTAGCGCATGCCTGTACTCTCGGCTACTCGAGAGGCTGAGGCAGGAGAATCGGTTGAACCTGGGAGGCGGAGGTTGCAGTGAGCCGAGATGGTGTCACTGCACTCCAGCCTGGGTGACAAGAGCAAAACTCTGTCTCAAAAAGAGAAAAAAAAAAAAAAAGGCTCACTCTAGTCATCCATCCACTGCGGCTATCAATATCTTTAGGCTGTGACCCTATTTCAAGGCATTATTTTTTACTAGAGGACTCTTTACTTTCCTGTTTTTCTATTTAATCCAAGCATTGTAACTACTGGCCTATAAGTCAAATTTAAATGAAAAAAATGAGTAGCATTTCAATGCTTTCTATCAAAATTGTTAATTGTTTTCACAGGCAATGTAGGCAAATGTATTTTGTTCATAGCATTCTTGCAAAAATGTGCTGACTTGGAAAAAAGTCTACAAAAGAAATATGCCAATACGGGATGGGGGAATCCTACAAAAGAAATGTACCAGCTTATAAAAACATAAATAAATACATAAAATTCTACAAAAGAAATATGTTGACTAGGAGAAAAAAAAACGTTCATAAAACACTATCGGCCAGGCACGGCGGCTCATGCCTGCAATCTCAGCACTTTGGGAGGCTGAGGCGGGTAGATCACTTGAGGTTGGGGGTTCGAGACCAGCCTGACCAACATGGAGAAACCCCGTCTCTACTAAAAATACACAAAATTAGGAGGGCGTGGTGGCACATGCCTGTAATCTCAGCTACTTGGGAGGCTGAGGCAGGAGAATCACTTGAACCTGGGAGACGGAGGTTGCAGTGAGCCGAGATCACACCACTGCACTCCAACCTGGGCAACAAGAGTGAAACTCCGTCTCAAAAAACAAAAGAAAACAAAAAAACACTATCATGCTATATGTTTTGATATTTGTATGCCACTCAGTAGAGCCTTGCACAGTGGTCACATTCTTATCTCTGGCACAGCCTTTTTTGGAGACCTGTGGAAGACAGTGCTGCACAAGTGGGAGGGCACAAGTTCATATATCACATACTTCTTGGAAACTATGAAGCACAACTTAAATTTAAGGCAACATACTTTTCTTTCCCTTTAGAAAAAGGACTTTTTAAAAAATTAAGGAGAAAAAATTAAAGAAATTGTTGCCTGGAAACAACCCAAATGTCCACCAGCTGAGGAATGGATAAACAAAATGTGGTCTATCCATACAATGGAATATTATTTGGCCATTAAAAGGAATGAAGTACTGATACATGCTACAATGTGGATGTAGCAAAAAAACATTATGCTAGAAGAAAGGAGACAGACCAGGCATGGTGGCTCACGCCTGTAATCCCAGCACTTCAGGAGGCCAAGGTGGGCAGATCACCTGAGGTCAGGAGTTCGAGACCAGTGTGGCCAACGAAACCCCGTCTCTACTAAAAATACAAAAATCAGCCAGGCGTGGTAGTGGGTGCCTGTAATCCCAGCTACTCAGGAGGCTGAGGCAGGAGAATCGCTTAAACCCAGGAGGTGAAGGTTGCGGTGAGCCGAGATCATGCCACTGCACTCCAGCCTGGGCAACAGAGTGAGACTATCTCAAAAAAAGAAAAAAGAAAGAAAGAAGCCAGACACAAAAGACCACAAATCATATGGTTCCATTTACATGAAATGTCCATAATGGGCAAACCTATAGACAGAAAGTAGATTAGTGGTTGCCAGGGGCTGGCGGGAAGTAGGGATGGTGACAGCTAATGGGCACAGGGTTTCTACAGGAGGTGATGAAAATATCCTAAAATTGCGGTGATGGTTGCACAATTCTGTGAATGCACTAAAAAAATCAGTGAATTGGGCCGGGCGCGGTGGCTCACGCCTGTAATCCCAGCACTTTGGGAGGCCGAGGCGGGCAGATCACGAGGTCAGGAGATCAAGACTATCCCGGCTAACACGGTGAAACCCCATCTCTACTAAAAATACAAAAAAAAATAGCCGGCAGGCGCCTGTAGTCCCAGCTACTTGGGAGGCTGAGGCAGGAGAATGGCGTGAACCTGGGAGGCGGAGCTTGCAGTGAGCCGAGATTTCGCCACTGCACTCCAGCCTGGGCGACAGAGCCAGACTCCGTCTCAAAAAAAAATAAAAAATAAAAAATAAAATCAGTGAATTGTACACTACTAATAGACAAATTATATGATGTATTATATCTCAATAAAGTTGTTTTCAAAATTTTTCAAAACAAGCTTTGCTGCTGTGTTTAAGATTCATGAAAATCATCAAATCATCAATATTTTTATGTCTACTGTGAAGAAAAACAAATTTTACTTTTTAAATTGAGACGGAGTCTCACTATGTTGCCCAGCTGGTCTCCGACTCCTGGGCTCAAGCAATCCTCCCACCTCAGCCTCCCAAGCAGCTGGGACTACAGGCACATTACACCACATCCAGCACTAAGAAAAACAAATCTTTTTTACCCAGGCTGGAGTGCAGTGGCACCATCATGGCTCACTGCAGCCTCAACCTCTTGGGCTCAGGTGATCGTCCCGCTTCAGCCTCCCAAGTGGCTGGGACCACAGGCATGAGCCACCATGCCAGGCTAATTTTTGTATTTTTTGTAGAGGCAGGGTCTCCCCATGTTGCCAAGGCTGGTCTTGAATTCCTGGGCTCAAGCAATCTGCCGGCCACAGCCTCCCAAAGTGCTGGTGTGAGCCAGTGCGACTGGCCAAGAAAAATCTTAAATCAGACTTATATCTATCAAATTTTTAACTATATTGAGTACAATGCTCTTTTTAAAAACTTAGTACAATTATCACTGAATCTTTCTCAATAGATATAATTTTAGGACATTAATTTTTCACCAACCATTTTTTGTCACGTAGGCAATTACTTGAACAAAGTTTCATAGAATCTGAAGACACCTGAAAGCTACAGAATTGCTAACATTCATGAAGAAAAAAAGTTCTTATATAGTATGTGTAAGGAAAAATGTTAGTGACTTAGAGAACAATGGCTTTTTATGCAGAGAAAGGAGGAAACTGTATTCACTTTGAAGCCTTTCCTTTTTTAATTTCATTCTGGCTAGGAAGCTTTCTATTCCTTAGAAGGTTTATATTCATCTTTAAAGGAAAAGCTCATATTTCTGGTCTTACTCTTTCTTGAGTTAAGAAGGCATTTTTCTGAAGAATTCTTGCCGGGCGTGGTGACTCACGCCTGTAATCCCAGCACTTTGGGAGGCCGAGGCGGGCAGATCATGAGGTCAGGAGATCAAGACCATCCTGGCTAACACTGTGAAACCCCATCTCTACTAAAAATACAAAAAATTAGCCGGGCGCGGTGGTAGGCGCCTGTAGTCCCAGCTACTCGGGAGGCTGAGGCAGGAGAATGACGTCAACCCAGGAGGCGGAGCTTGCAGTGAGCCGAAATCGTGCCACTGCACTCCAGCCTGGGTGACAGAGCGAGACTCTGTCTCAAAAAAAAAAAAAAAAAAGAATTCTTATAACTTCACAGGATTCTAAGGGATTCTTATAATTTCACGAAAATGACACTGAACACTCACAATTCCTGAGCTCCCTCTCTGCATCCGGTCCCCTTAGCAATCTGCCTTCCCCTTTTGTCACATTTCTTCCCCTTGTTTTGAGGCCCTAGGAGGGCAGGGCTGGTATCTGTCCTGGTCACTATTATATCTGCACATGGCACAGAGTGGGCACTCAAGATACATTTATTAAATTGAATTAAAGGCTTTAGTTTGTTTTAAACAATAAGTTATTCTTATATAATATGCTAATTTATGAAAAAGTTCCACAGAAATTAGAATTAACCTTATGGGGAGTGGAAAGATCAGCAAATATCAAATGGCGAGCCATCTCCCCACACTGGGGCTGCCAGGGAACAGAGAAATACGCTTCTGAGGTGCATAACTGCCCTCCTACTCGGAAGTTCATTTGTGAGTCACTAAGACCAGGCAAACAGACATTAAACAGGGAACCGGTTCAAATGTAATGGAGAGAACTGTGGATTCAAAAGAACTGAGTGTGAATCAGTCCAAGTCCCAGTCCAAGTTCATCTCCAGGAGCATCGGTAACTCACAAAACAGCCCAATGAACAGGGAGTCACGCAGATCAAATGCGGAGGGGCATTCAGTGTGTTCTACTGAGGCCAGCCCAAGGGACAAGCTTACTAGGGAGAAGAATGCCCAGAGCAGAGGGTCAGTGAGGGCAGGGGAGATGGGAAGAGAGAGAATCAGGGCCCTCCGAGGATGCTGGAAGGGGCAGGGGGAGTCTCCACCACCCAGAGTGCTGGGCACCTGCAGTCACATGAGCCACATCCAACATCTTGTAAAATAAACAATATGGGAAACTTACTTAATATTGAATTTTCAGTTTTGAAAACAGTTCTTCTTATTCCCAGTCTCATTGTTCCTCCCAAATTGCCAGGGTTGTGCTCGGGCATATCAATCACCTTAGAAAACAAAACAAGTCCAGTTTTGCCATCTTGTAAAAATGTCATTTCCCAAATTTCAAGCTTTACGTTTAAAGGAATGATCATTGGGTAAGCATGGTCCCTAAACTATAACATTTGATCAGTCTTTCCAACGATCATGTTCAAATACAGGCATGACATAGACACACTGCACATTGTACTTCCTTTCCATCTGCTTCTCATCTTTCATTTAAATCACTTATAAAACAATGTATCAGGAGCATCTTGATGATGTCCCTCCTGCCATTACTCAAACCATCAGTTCCAAGTAGTCCTCACACTTCGAGATCTGGATTGCTGAGGCCTCCCACTTCGGTGTTCACATCTTTCATGATAACCCTCTTCCCCCACTGCCCAGTGCATTCCCTAAAGATTTTCCATAAGCAAATCTATCAGTACTTGTACTGTGGAAAGGTATACCAAAAGAACCTATTTATAGAAAACCATTAGAGGGATTCCAAAAAAAGAGAAAGAAAGAAAGAAAGAAAGAGAAAGGAAAAGAAAAGGAAAAGAAAAGAAAGAAAGAAAGAAAGAAAGAAAGAAAGAAAGAAAGAAAGAAAGAAAGAAGAAAAGAAAAGGAAAAGAAAAGAAAAGAAAGAAAGAAGTATCATCCAGTCTAGCACACTCTGTAGGTCGGAAACTTAAGTGGCACCCTTGATCGCTCCCTCTCCCTCATAGCCACTCTGTCAAGTCCTGTGGATTTATCCCCTCCAGAATTCCCGCATCCATCCACTTCTCTCCAGCCTTCTCCCAGGCTACAGCAATGGCTCACTGACTGGCCACTCAACATTCCCATGGCCCCAGCACACCCTACCTACTGCAGGCAGAGTGGTCTATTCACACAGCAAATCTTAGTGCGGCATTTTTCCTGCTTGAAACCCTTGACCTCATGGTATCAGGCCAGCCTAACCGTCCAGCCTTATCTTATATTCCCTGCCCCTCTCACCCTGAGTGCTGGTTCTTTGAGTTTTTCAACTGCATCTCCTTTCCTCCCGCCGTGGCGACTTGGCCCACACTGTGCCCTCTGCCTGGACAATCTCCTCCCATTCCTCTGCCCTCTTTTCCTAAATGAAACCATGCTTAACCCTGAAATCTTAGCTCCACTATCCAACATCAGCCACTCCAGGAGCTGGTATTTCTGGGAGCCATAGCTGAGTCAGGGTCCTCTCTCTGTGCCCTCACAGAACGAGGTTCTTCCCCATCCCTGCCTTTCTCTCAGTTTGTGTCTGGCGAGTGCTTTGTGGGAGAGACAGTCAATCTTTGAGAGCCGGAGTGGCTTTATATTTATGATCACAATCGCACTGCAGAAATTGAGAAACAGGTGATTTTTATGAAAAGCCTATCCTGGTGAGTCTCGTAATTCATCTGTTTTCTCAGTTCTGTTCACTACGATCTCATGGTTTCATCTCATCTTCTTTTTTAAAGTTGTTAGAACAGACTACAGTTGGGTGAGTCGACCTGTTCTAATGGAATTGCTTGAGCTTCCCTCTCATAAAACCTTTCATTTGTTGTTGTTGTTTTTTTCCCATACCGTAATTGCCACATATTGCTCTACAGGAATCTTTGACAACTGGAATTTTCTGAGGTAAAAAATTCCCAACAAAATGTCTGATCTTATCAGTGCCCCAGAACTTTCCGAGCCATCTGAACACAGTGTCCCAAGCTTGCTCCAAGAGTTACTTCAGGGAAAGGGTGGAGAAGAAACTCGATGACCTCCCTTGTTAGATGGACTGCTCAATTCTCAAGTGCTCTTGGCCTTGGCATCTTGTTCCTATCTTTGGTTAGCTAATTATGGCTAGGTTAAGTATTACTGGAGTGAGGTGAGATAGGGCATTCACTTCTGGCCGATGAAGCTGAGTTGCACATAGATGCCTGGCCTCTCTATGTATTCTCTAAATCAGGTAAGACTGCACCACCTGCCACAGATTCAGAAGTCCTACGTGTATTCAGAGCCTCAACTTCCATTTAAGTTTCAGACAACCTGAACCATCTAGGCAGACTACAGGGATAACCTCCCCTAATTTCTTGATAGAAGTGCACTACGACTCTTCAGTCTTCCTCACTGTGTTGGGTCCCAATACCCAATACCCAAGAAGAGTCTTTACATGTAGTTTGTTCAGTTACTGGCAAGGTTGGTATTCAAGAAATATTCTGGTATGAAGCATTGAGATTAGAGTAAAATTAGCCAACTAAGAACAGGAGGCCAGGTGCAGTGGCTCACGCCTGCAATCCCAACCCTTTGGGAGACCAAGGCAGACAGATCACTGGAGCCAGAAGTTCGAGACCAGCCTGGACAATATGGTCTCTACAAAAAATACAAAAATTAGCTGGGTGTGGTGGCACAGGCTGCAGTCCCAGCTATTCAGGAGGCTGAGGTGGAAAGATTGCTAGAGCCTAGGAGGCGGAGGTTGCAGTGAGCTATGATCACACCACTGCACTCCAGCCTGGATGACAGAGCAAGACCTTGTCTCAAAAATGTAAACAAAAGAAAAGAAAAAGAACAGGAAATCTGCCTTACTGCTTACTTGGGATGAACTTGACAAACACTTGAAGACCAGAAAATATTTCCAAAAGTCAAGTGTAGGGGTGGGAGGTGGGGAGAGAAGGAAAATGCAGTGGGCATAGGGGCTGCCTAAGAGCATTAAAAACTCCTTCAACAAAGCGGGAGAAGTCTAAAAAGTCCTCAAAGAATACTATGAGATTATTTAGCAACATGGAGACAAACACAGAGAAAGAGCTAGAAGAAGCTAAAGAGTGGTACAGAGGGAGTGAGGATTAATGACTTTGTCATTATAGGCTTTTCAGAACTGTTGGCTTTTTAAACTTTGCACATCGTATTTTACTAATGAAAATACAAGTTTAAGTCATCAAGAGTAAAATGTAGTATTTAGGCCTTACACTAGGGTATTAGTTCACATTATCCCTGCTGTTTTCAGAAGTAATAAACGCTACCTTCTCCTGAAATGATAGCACAGAAAGAAAATCCAAGGTATAAATGCCACTGTGATCCTCTGATTAAAACATGCTAGCGTAGGAACCAGTGGAGAAGGCAAAAAATGCTAGAGAAGAGGTGGGAAGCAGGTGAAAATAGGTCTCCAGTACCAAATGTTGCCCTGAACATCAGTGAAAGGAGAAAAGCAGGGAGAGAATTGACAGGCAAGTCGCTGATGGAGGGAGGGAACAGGAAGGTTCTGTGTGGGCCTAGCTTAGGAGATCTCATCTGGGAATCACCATCACATACTCAGGCAAAGAACGCTGCCAGGCACCAGCTGGTGGAACCCCAACACTCAGGAAGCGGAAGGTCAGGGCAAGGCAGAGACTATGGTGCCCAAGCCTGACACACCAGCTGCCTTGCAGAGTTATCAGATGATCCTACAAGCTGGATCCTACAAGATGATGATGGCTGGCTGCCTCTTGGGTTATAAGCAACCTGATTCAGCAGCAAAAATTAACAAAAATGTCTTTGTTCCTTGCATTCCTTCCACTAAAAGCCTGAGAGACAGGAGAACATCACAGTTTCAAAACATATCTATTTTATTGTTACTGGGGTGGTTAAAGAAAATAATCTCAAATATGCTTTAGATTTAACACCAACATTTCCAAAATACTCTAGATTTTTGCATCTGAAAGGAAAACGCATCTTCCATTGCAAAAGGATTGCCTTTGCTTCCTCTAATTCAGCCTAAATACTGGCTGTCATCTGATCCCCAGATTTGTCCTCTCTTGGAACTGAGCCATATAGTATGAGAAAAATAAAAAAGGATCAATAAGTGATAAAGCTTTAGGAGATGTAAAATCAGCATGTAAGGATAAATATGGCACTAATTAACCTTTACTGATGTTTTCTGCAGCCCATAATAAAAGTGTAATGAGTTCAAGACTTTACAGCATCCCAGGTGCCTTAAACAACAAAGTCTACAGGAGTTAGGTTCTCTTAGCAACAGTGAAATTCCTGACTGGACCTACCTGACCTACCCTGGTAAGCCCAGCTTTCCTTTTGTTCCTCATCGTTGAATATTTCACCTGGAGACAAAGGGAAAGCCTACTCACCAGCAGCTATTTCTATTTCCAGACTCTTAGGCAACATACAGCAATTTCCTCTAGCATTTTTTTTTTCCACTTTGTAGCATCGGGGTTTCATCATGTTGCCCAGGCTGGTCTTGAATTCCTGGGCTGAAGCAATCCGCCCACCTCAGCCTCCCAAAGTGCTGGGATTATAGGCATGAGCCACCACGCCCGGCCTCCTCTAGTATTCTTTACAAGTATTCTCCAATTCATTCCTTTCCTACTGCTCATTAGGTTTTCAAGCCTGATTCTGATTTTGATTCTAAGTCATATTCAAATTGTACATAAAGTATCAAGCAGTTTTACATCAGCATTACTTTCCCTAATGTTGGGTTGCACTGCTAGCTCCAGCAGCCTCCATCACTACAGACTAAACCTAAACTCTTCTGGGTGGCTCTCAGGTCCTACCTCACACAGGAGCCCAGACTAGCCATGCCCTCCTCATGTATTCGAACCTGTAGCTTCTACCACAGCTAGCTGGGGCCATTGTCAATGGCACCTCCACTCTCCTACCCACCACCATACTACACACAGACCACCTCCTTCTCTACTTTTCCCAAGATACCTTCTCCCTCCCATTCCTCATGCTTTAGGGGCCCCCTCCAGTTCCCCTTACTGCCTCATAATTAATGCCATTGTTATGCTCAGCCTACCAAATAAATAACCTATACATCATCAATTCATTTTCAGTAACTCATAGTAGGAGACTGAATAATGCCTCCCCTACCCTAAAGATATCCGCATCCTAGTCCCTGAAACCTATGAATCTGTGGCAAAAGGGACTTTGCAGATGTGATTAAGTTGAGGATCTTTTTTTTTTTTTGAGACAGGATCTCACTCTGTCTCCAAGGCTGGGGTGCAGTGGCATGATCATAGCTCATTACAGCCTCTGACTCCTGGCTTCAAGTGATCCTCCCACCTCAGCCTTCCAAGTAGCTGGGGCCACAGGTGCATGCCACCATGCCCGGCTAATTTTTTGGTATTTTTTTGTAGAGATGGGGTTTCGCCATGTTGCCCAGGCTGGTCTGGAACTCCTGGCTTCAAATGATCCTCCAGCCTTGGCCTCCCAAAGTTCTGGGATTACAGGAATTAGCCACCATGCCCAGCCTGTAAATTGAGGCTCTTGAGAAGGGAAGATTCTGGATTATCAGGGTGGGCCCATTGTAACCACAAAGGCTCTTAAAACAGGAAGGCAGGAGGGTCAGGGTCAGAAAAGGGGATATGACCACAAAGCAGAGATCAGAGAGACTGGAAGATGCTATGCTGCTGGCTTTGAAGATGGAGGATGGCCGTGGGCAAGTGGCCTCTAGAAGCTGGAAAAAGCAAGGAAATGGATTCTCTCGTACACCCTCCAGAAGGAACACTGCCCTGCCAACCCACTTTATATCTCTGACTTCCAGAAGAAATGTATATGTGTTTTAAGCCACTGTGTTTGTGGTAATTTGTTACAACAGCCATAGGAATCTAATACCGTTATTTACTACAAACAGCTTTAACTTCCTCTATTATTTCATAAATGCATCTCCTCTCATAAATTAAGTGTAGGCTCATCAAGCACAAGGATTAGATCTTTTTATTTTCCATCTCCACTGAGGAGTTCGACACAGTGTCAAGTTCAGATCAAGTACTCAATAATGGAATCTCTCAGTGTTTTTTGTTTTTTGTTTTTTTGAGACGGAGTCTTGCTCTGTCGCCCAGGCTGGAGTGCAGTGGCACGATCTCGGCTCACTGCAAGCTCCGCCTCCCGGGTTCACGCCATTCTCCTGCCTCAGCCTCCTGAGTAGCTGGGACTACAGGCGCCCGCCACCATGCCCGGCTAACTTTTTTTTTTTTTTTTGTATTTTTAGTAGAGACGGGGTTTCACCGTGTTAGCCAGGATGGTCTCGATCTCCTGACCCTGTGAACCACACGCCTCAGCCTCCCAAAGTGCTAGGATTACAGGCATGAGCCACTGTACCCGGCCTGGAATCTCACAGTGTTTTAAGTGTATTAAAAACTAACAGGGGAGACTAAGGGATGGGTCAGTGGGCCACAGAGTAGCAGAGGGGTGTCTGAGATACTCATGGATGTCCCAAGTTGCAGGTGAGTCTCTTCAGCAGACGGGAAGGGAGGGGTGGTGCCCTACTCAGAGGCCGAGTACACACTATGCCCAGTCCTGCCTGACAGAGTCCTGCCTCTAACCTGAAGCAGTTTATTTCCCATTTCTGGCTTCCAACCTGCGCTGCTGTGTCACCAAGTAGTGTGAGAATGGAATCTACAATGAGGAAATCAATGAGCAGTCCCATAAGTACGTATGTATTTTTCCAGTCTTTTAAACTTGTTTTTTTCCCCACCAGTAAAAGAAAGCTGCTATGGTTTGAATGCATTCCCCAAAGTTGATGTGTTGCAAGCTTAATCCTCAGTGCAACAGTGTTGAGAGGTGGAATCTTTAAGAAGCAATTAAGTTATAAGGGCTCTGCCCCCATGAATGGATTAATGCCATTATCATTGGAATGGGTTAGTTATCATGGGAATGGGTTCCTGGTAAAAGGATGAGTTCAGTCCCCTTCCCTCTCTCTCACCCATGTGATGCCTTCTACCACATGATGACACAGCAAGAAGGCCCTCACCAGATGCCAGCACCTTGATCTGGGACTTCCCAGCCACCCTCCAGAACTGTGAGGAAATAAATTTCTCTTCTTTATAAATTAGCCAGTCTCAGGTACTCTGTTATAGCAGTGCAAAACAGACAAAGGCCTATATCATTTTCATCAGGAAAAGAACTTTCTTACACCTCAGAAAAAGAACCTTCTTATACCTCCAGATGTAAACCTAACACTTAAGTGTGATACTACCTGTGGTCCTAATGTTAACATACAATGGTTGTCCTCAGAGAAGCCCTTCTCCTGGGAGGGGCATGTGGCACGGTGGTTGAGGGTGCAGGCTGGGCCTGAACTTGAATCCCAGCTCTACTGCTGACCAGCAGTGTGACCCTGAGCAGGTCCTTGGATGTCTCTACAGACTGGGGGGACCAACAGCATCCACTTCATAAAGTTGCAGCAAGGATTTAAGGAGGCCGTGGGAGTTGGGTGCCTAGGTCAGCACACTGCCCATAGTAAAGATACGCACTCAAGAAGCACAGGCTATGGTCAGGAGACCTCTGGGAACTCAACTGCTGAAGGTGAGCACAGGCTGACCCAAAAGACAGTGAGCCTCACAGCCCAGGCAAAGGTTGGAAGTGAACTTTGTCTGAAGGTCCAGGGAAGGTAGACACCAGGTCAGGTGACAAGCAAGCTATACTTTCTGGGAAAGCAGCATTTGAGTATTCAAGGTCTCTTTTAAACTTCAGGATCAAAGATAACAAGAACCCATGGATAGCATTTCACACCCATTTTGTTTTGCAGGGACCAGGTACTAACACTGTACCCTCTTCCTGAAGGTGCTTTTCAAGACATTGCATGCTGTCACCTTCAAGCAGAATAACCCACAGAAGCCTGTGGTGCCCAGAGCTCTTAAAATATGTTACTCTTGGCTTTCCTAGGAAAAATTAAGCCTGTCCAAAGATCAAACAATTGAACAGTGAGGTGATAAATAACCTTTGCCTCTCCATTTTCCCATTACCACCCTTGTGCCTGTCGTTTCCCCCCTTCTCTGGTTTCAAAACGCACTCTTGTGAACACACCCTGTAATTATCACTTGTCTCCATATATTTTTAGTTAATGTTTCACAAGAGTATCTATTAGTGGATTTTTCATGCTTCCAAGTGCAAGTTTACCCTCATGCTTTTAAGTCTATGGGTAAAGAGAAAAATAAGAGACAAGAGATGTGACTGGTAGAAGTGAGCAAGTAAAAACTTAAGAAGCCGCACAGGCTGTTTTTCAAGTTCAAGTTTTGCTAGCATTCGCTACAAGTATAAATTCTGACAATAGGCAGCATTGGGCCCATTCTTTTTTTTTTTTTTTTTTTTTTTTTTTTTGAGACAAAGTTTCGCTCTTATTGCCCAGGCTGGAGTGTAATGGCAGGATCTCAGCTCAACGCAACTTCCACCTCCCGGGTTCAAGCAATTCTCCTGCCTCAGTTTCCCGAGTAGCTGGAATTACAAACATGCACCACCACGCCTGGCTAATTTTTGTATTTTTAGTAGAGATGAGGTTTCTCCATGTTGGTCAGGCTGGTCTCGAACTCCTGACCTCAGGTGATCCGCCCACCTCGGCCTCCCAAAGTGCTGGGATTATAGGCGTGAACCACCGTGCCCGGCCGCATTGGGCTGATTCTAATCAGAAGTTGTCCCTTGAAAGAAGAGATTTGTAGCCTAGAAGACTATTAACCAATACTGCTCCAAAAGTTTTTCTTAGAGATAATTTTTATATATACATACACACGTCATATGTAATATATGGGTGTATTATATAGAACATGTTATCTTTCATCCTATATCGTTACTAAGATGACATATAGTTATTAAAATCATTTCTTCAGATGCAAAAAATAGGCCAGGTGCAGTGGCTCACGCCTGTAATCCCAGCAGTTTGGGAGACTGAGGCGGGCAGATCATTTGAGCCCAGGAGTTGGAGACCATCCTGGGCAACATGGCAAAACCCATGTTGTATTTTTCTACAAGAAATACACAAAATATATATATATGTATCCGGGCATGGTGGCACATGCCTGTAGTCCCAGCTACTCGGGAGGCTGAGGTAGGAGGATCACCTGAGCCCATGGAGGTTGAGGCTGCAGTGAGCTGTGTTCACGCCACTGCACTCCAACCTGAGTGACACAGTGAAGTGGCTTCAAAAAAATAAACAAAAAAACCAGATGCAAAACATAATAAACACCCCATTTGATTTTAGCTCACTAGTGGTAATTTGAGAGAAAAGATGATTTAAGATGCTATTCAACAATTGGAGAGATTTGACGTGGGCTATGATAATGGCATTGTGGTTACATAGGAGAATGTCTTTGTCCTTAGGAGACAGATGCTGAGGTGCTCAGGGGGGAAGCATCTGGATGTTTGTAATTGATTCTCAAATGACTCAGGGGTGGAGGAAAGTATCTGTCCAGAGAAAGAGAAAGCAAATGTGGAGATGTTCGCAATTAGTGAATCTAGTCGAAAGGCAGACTGGTGTTCATTGCACTATTCTTGCCACTTTTCTGTAGATCTGAAATATTTTTTAAAAGATGTTTAAAAAAAGATAGTTCTTGTTATGATTAAGCACAAACGCCTACTTCCTCCCAGGAAAACAGAACATATGTGTAAAAACACTGGCAATTTTCTAAAATCTTGATTAAAATGCATTGCCAAAATCAGAATATTTTTGTGTAAAATCTTATAACTAAAAATAAAATGCCTGTCTTTACTCCAACCAGTGAGTTAATACATATTCTATATTGGTGCATAGCAAAGTCAAAGAATCCATAATAAAAACAAGAAGAATATATACAAGACAGCAAAGACACATGGAATGATAAATGCTCAAGACTGGCGGGAAGCTTTTAAGGAATTCTATTAGATTTCCCATTTGTTCTCCAATGTAAATAAGGCCCTAGAATTTTAGAGCTGAGAAACATCAGGGAGAAATACAGTCCCAATAGTCCAGTCCTCAGTTTGTAGGTGATATAAGGCAGAGTCAGGGAAAATTCTATAAGTGTGGAAGTGTACAAGTGTTTCAAAGCTGTAAAGTGCTCTTAAAATCCACCTGGAACCCCTTCCTGTGAGTTACAATCAGCATTAGATCAATGTCCCTTGGAAATGTCCTACTTATTTCATGGAACTCTTTCCAGTAGAAATCAATCTCCTTGGCAATTTTAAATCATGGCAGTTACAAAAAGTTTGAAGTATTTCCAACTGAACAAGAGTAAGTCGAGTGTTCTCACAAGTTTTTCGAATGATCACGAAATATATTTGGTAAGGAAAAGGATAATGAGAAATAAAAAGCAGACACAGGACCAACAAATAATGAAAGAGCTGAAAAAATGACCATGTTACTCAATATTGATTTGCCAAATAAAACCACAAATTACTGAGTATCTTCTTTCCACTTCTTAAACCTGCTTCTGAAGCAATACTTCCATTCATTCATTCATGTATTCAAATATTTAAGCTGCTAATATGTAAAGACATCAGAAGGACTTCAATGGCCATACCGTAATTTTTTAAACTATGTAATATTGTCCTTCTATGACAGCATTTTTTCTTTTTTACAGACAGGATCTCACTCTGTCACCCAGGCTGGAGTGCAGTGGCACAATCATGGCTCACTGTTGCCTCAACCTCCCAGGCTTAAGGAATCCTCCCACCTCAGCCTCTACAGTAGCTGGGACTACAGGCATGTACCATCACACCTGGCTGATTTTTTAAATTTTTCAGTAGAAATGTCTTGCTGTGTTGACCAGGCTGGTATCAAACTCCTCACCTCAAGCAATCCTCCTGCCTCGGCCTCCCAAAGTGCTGGGATTACAGGCATGAGCTACCGCACAGGGCAGCATTTATTTTTTCTGGATATGAAGAAAGTTATTTTTTAAAGCCTAAATATGCAACTAAATTGAAAAGAATCCTCTATATCTAAGCTTTATGAAATGTGAACTGTGAGCAAATATAATTCTACATTGGAGGGAAAATATAATCTCAGGGGGAAAAAAATCCAAGCTTACGACTCTGAACCATGAAGCAACTGTCGAGATGGACCTTTACTGGATCTTGCCCTTAATTATGGGGTTCATGCAGTCTTAAGCCTGAGTTTCAAAAACCATTAATAATTACCCTTAAATGGCCAACAAAAGGAAATTTTCATAATCAGGGTGGCGTGCCCGTAAAGACTATAAAAGTGTCATGATTCTGCTCAGCTCTTCAAACTCCTCTTTGATTCTTCTAGCTGTTTCACTATTGGGCAACCAGGTTAGTGTGATTTTGGTACTACCTAGAGCTCCTTCTGTTTGCATTAATACTCTGCTTCCTTTTAGAATGGTGTGAAAGATAATGGTCTGGAGAGAAGGTGAGTTTATGCCATCTGGAGATATTCCCTGTAACTTAGAAGCTAGAAGCTGTGGTCAAGTATTCTTCAAGACCACAGCCTGCAGAGTGCAGATCAGGTACATAAAAAGTGTAGAATGTCATTAATTACTAATAAAAATGTTTGGCTCCAGGGACCATCTCCTAACAGATGTACTCTAAGAACAGACATTTAACATACTATCTAAGATGTCTTTTTTTTTTTTTTTTTTTTTTTGCAGCGGAGGCTCGCTCTGTCACCCAGGCTGGAGTGCAGTGGCATCGCACTCACTGCAACCTCCGCCTCCCGGGTTCAAGCGATTCTCCTGCCTCGGTCTTCCAAGTAGATGGGACTATAGGCACGCACCACCACGCCTGGCTAATTTTTGTATAGAGACAGGGTCTCACCATGTTGGCCAGGCTTCCATGGTCTCGAACTCCTGACTTCAAGTGATCCACCCTCCTTGGCCTCCCAAAGTGCTGGGATTACAGGCATGAGCTACCGTGCCTGGCCTAAGATGCTTATTTTTTAAACATGTTAGTAGTTACTGGTGCCATTCCGACCCCGACATTCTCTTTTCCTTATTCTTCCCCATTTATGCCAAGGAAATGGCCCAATGGCACTAAAATCCTGCAGACAACCCTCAGCACAAAACTGTACTTCAGCTTTTTGGTAAGTTTATTTTCTTCCCAATTTATAAGACACCAGAATGAGTACTAAAAAGTCTCCTGAGGAACTGAAGAGGATTTTTGAAAAATATGCAGCCAAAGAAGGTGATCCAGACCAGTTGTCAAAGGATGAACTGAAGCTATTGATTCAGGCTGAATTCCCCAGTTTACTCAAAGTAAGTGGCCATCCGCAGAGCCCACTTAATGGGACTGATGGTGGGAGGGGAGGGAGGGAGGGGAGAGGACTCCGGTAGAGCCTTATAGGGACCGTCGCTTGAGGGAGGACACATGCAGGTGGGGTTTCTTCCCCTTAAGTCAGGCCACATTTCAGAAGGCAAGCTCTCAGAAAACAAGGGCCAAGCCTTCTATCCCTCCTGCAGCCTCAGCACAGGACTCTGCAGGACTAGCCATAATAAATGGAAGCAATGCCAAGTTATGCCTGGAAGACCCACAAGTCACCAAGCAAACCCAATAAGGCCTTCAGCATGGATTCAGTACTTCTGTGCCAGGCTTTAGGAAAACAAAGAGGACTGCAAAATAGTGTTAGCTGGCCTTGGACAGGCTTCATTTGTGTATGTAAAATCCCTCAACAAGACCAACACTTACTTAGCAGTCTGTTAGGAAAACCCACTGACAAATTGCCTTGTCAGCACTCATTTATATTTCAAAAGCATTTACATTTGTGTTCATCACTTAAATTTGTGTTAATGAGGCAACCGTGCATTTCTAAACAACTTTCAAGAAAGGACTAAATTTCCTGGGCCATAAAGTTTCACATCAAAATCACCCCAGAGTTGTCAAAATCAAAATGCATTCAAGGCAACAGAGTACAGAGAAGAGCTGATCGTCCTCACTCCAATATACAGTACTGTCTTTCCTTTTGCTAAAGAAAAAGCTGAGTCAGGACACTTGCCAAGGATGGTAAGGCAACTTACTCCAGGAGGGCCATGGCGACCCATACAGGGACCACTGAAACGTGTTCTTGCCATGGGGAGAGAGATTGGGCTCAACTCCAGAAAGGATAAGTGGGGGTTTATGACCATAGAGCAGGATGGGGGGGGCCAGTGGATGGAAAATTACCAAGGAAATATCCAGGATAAGGAGCTTCTGGCTAAATTGCCTTGATAGGATTCTAGCTGAAGGCAGGCCAGGTGATCAAATATTAAGGGTAGTCAGATACAAGGACAGAGAGGGAAGCCCAAGGTCAGGCCTAGTCGAGCAGAGGACTCAAAGGAGAGAGTCATTGTCATTTTGCAATTAAAAACCATCTTCACAACAGAAGTGACTATGGAATTGTTTTGTATGACTCAGTCACTATTTAGCTCTAACTTCAGGAAAGAACATTTCTTCAAATATTTTAACCAGCTCTCCAGATTTTAACCAGAAATGTCCCTTCTGCCAATATGACAATTGGAAAGACTTCTGTTTTTAATACTAAAAAAGAAAAAAGCTGAATTCAATGACCCCAGAATCTGATATTTTCTCATTTTCTCATAGTTGAAATATAGAAGAACTTGTAAAAACACTTAAAGTCAC
This sequence comes from Homo sapiens, assembly GCF_000001405.40. Taxonomy (NCBI): domain Eukaryota; kingdom Metazoa; phylum Chordata; class Mammalia; order Primates; family Hominidae; genus Homo; species Homo sapiens. The sequence continues at coordinate 16,652,502 of NC_000023.11, forward strand.
TAGCAGAAAAAGGGACTTTTTAATTAAACAGCAAAACAAGTTAGTGAAAAAATTTAAAATTTTAAAAGACCCTTTATTTTTTCTAAAAGGAAGAAAAATAATCATCTAACAGGAAAGCCTAGGCCATGTACTCAAACAAGTTGTTTCAAAAGGTAACACGGGTAACTTTTTCTATATTTTATGTCTTTCCTACAAAAAGTACGTAAGACATAATCTGGAACGAGGTAGGAAGACTAATGGTAAGTTCTGAAAGTCTACTTAACATGTACCTGATTATATTCCCATAAGGTTTCCATTACTAAGGTTTTCCACCATACTCTGTTTACATATATCATCACCATGCATGGTTTAGAATCTAGTAAAGGCTTCAGGAAAACAGTGTTTCATATTCATAAATCAAAGGCTGAATAAGTAACTTACAGTTTGGTCTTGTAATTAAAGCAAAGTGCTAAGTGTTTTTGTAGGAATCTTAGGGGTTAAAATATATCTTCCATAGAGATGTGCTGCACAAAATTGTGAATCTACTTAGCACTACTGAACTGTATGCTTAAAAATGATTAAGAGCGTAAATTCAATGTTATGTGTTTTTTACCACAATTTATATATACATATATATATATAATATAGTCTAATTTGAAACTGACAAACTGAACTGTTATTTCAATCGGTTTTCTAAGTAGTATTTTGCACAGATAGACTCCTACCTGAAAGTCCAAGTAGTAATGGCTTTAAGATTAGAGTTTTATGGTAGAGACAAAAATTAACTCCACTTAAGACACTGCAGGAAGTCCAGTAGTCAAAAAGCCTGCACACGATCTCACACGACATCTCAAGCAGTGGTTCTCCAAGTGTGGTCCCAGAGCAGCAGCATTGGCACCACCTGGGAAGCTGTTGAAAATATAGATTCTCCAGCTTGAACAACACAGCAAGACCTTGTCTCTATTAAAACTTTTAAAAAATTAGCCAGGTGTGGTGGCACACGCCTTTAGTCCCAGCTACTCGGGAGGCTGAGGCAGGAGGATCATTTGAGCCCAGGAGGTGGAAGCTGCAGTGGGCTGTGATCATGCCACTGCACTCCAGCCTGGGTGACAGAGCAAGACCTTGTGTACAGATTCTCGGGCCCCACCCCAGGCCTAGTGAATCAGAAACTCTGGAGGTGGGGCTGGCAGTCTGTATTTACTAAGGTCAGCAAGCCTATCGTGTGATTCTGATGCATGCTAAAGCATGGGAACCATTGAGCCAAAGTCATTTTGCATAGCTCAACGTTTGGGAAAAACTGGGCGGTGGTTAGTTAAGGGGTTGAGCTCTGGAGTCAACGTGTGGACCCCAACCCCTCTGTTAACCAGCTGTGGACACTCAAGTAAGTGACTGCCTGTCTCTGAGCCTGTTTCCCCACCTGTAAAGTAGATCTCCCTCATAGGGTGGTCGGAAGGATTACAGAAGGAGCCCTCCCTGCCTGCTGCCTCATGTAATATGTCAGCCCTAGCCCTGGAGCAGGAGACAAACCCAGCTTCCAGGAAAACCTTGGGGCAGGGGTCCTCAACTGTTTGTGTGCCGTGGGCAATCCAGTGAAGCCCACAGATCCCTTCTCAGAAGAATGTTTTTAGAGGCATAAAGAAAAAGACCCAAGATCGCATAAGAAAACAACTGTATTAAAATACGCATTGTATTAAAATAACAGATGTGTGATATGGAGGACAAAAAGGTAGCCAGTTCTATGACACGGAGCAATACAACAGCTAAAGCTGGTTTCTCTCTGTTAGCTATTAGATGCATGTCACTGGAAACCTGAGCTGCCTTCTTGGCACACAGACCCCAAGGCCTCTAATTTCTGAGAATGTGTAGCAGTAACTGATTCATTTTTTCTCCCCTCCCTTCTCCCATCCTTTTTTATGTAAAACAGGGTCCAAACACCCTAGATGATCTCTTTCAAGAACTGGACAAGAATGGAGATGGAGAAGTTAGTTTTGAAGAATTCCAAGTATTAGTAAAAAAGATATCCCAGTGAAGGAGAAAACAAAATAGAACCCTGAGCACTGGAGGAAGAGCGCCTGTGCTGTGGTCTTATCCTATGTGGAATCCCCCAAAGTCTCTGGTTTAATTCTTTGCAATTATAATAACCTGGCTGTGAGGTTCAGTTATTATTAATAAAGAAATTATTAGACATACCTTACTTTGTTAAGTACTGACCTCATAACATAATAGACTTGAAAGTAACCTTAGTCTGATTCAACTAATTCTATAGATTTAAAAAAGAGAGAGAGAGAGAGAGAGAGAGGGAGGCTGAGGCAGGAAGAACACTTGAGCCCCCGAGGTCAAGGTTGCAGTGAGACATGATCACGCCACTGCACTCCAGCCTGGACCACAGAGGGAGACCCTGTCTAAAAATAAAACAAAATAAAAATAAAAATAAAAAAATAAAATGTGAGGGCCAAGATAGCTCTGTGATCCTGCCGAAAACTACAAAGATGGTGTGGGAGACCTGAAAAGAATCCAGAAATGCCAAACCAACTCCCTTGCTCCACTTTTCCACCAGAATCACCCTGTTGCTTGCTCTCCTTCCTTAACTCCTCAGTGCTCAGGTCATCTCCAATTTCCACTCTGATCTCACACTATCCACTAGCGAGCAAGAAAAACACTTCACAAACAGACAGTTGACGTCATGCTATCTCCCAGCACTCGCTGTGCTTTCTTAATGAATGACCCTCGACGGGGAACAGAAGGAACACAGGACCTAGAGGCGGCCCCACTCATCACTGACCGGGTGGCCTCGGGTCTACCAGCCTAACGCCATGGTACTGGCATGTGACGTGTAATATAAAAGATCACAGGAAGACCTTGGGCCCTCTCAACTCTTGGCATCCTGTATTCTGAGAAAACAGCCAGCCCTCAAGTTCAAGTTCCACTTTTTGCGTCCAGCTAGGGGATGCAGGGGGTGAAGTGACAACAGTGTGGAATATGGAGGCAAGAAGTGCAGAGGAGGGAAGGGAACTTTCTGCTACCCCTTACCAGATAAGAGTTCAAATGTTAACGTTCAAGGAGGGAAGGGAACTTTCTGCTACCCCTTACCAGATAAGAGTTCAAATGTTAACGTTCAAGTTTGTCCAAGTTACCAATGGCTCAAGCTGACCCTAATAGCCTGGTCACAGCAGTGCCCCGGAAGCTAGATTTTTATTTCTTCTTTATCCTCGCAACTCTCCTCCGCAAAACACCCATGAAGTATCAAAGTATCAGTATTGGGTCCCATTGCCTTTGAACAGTCTCTCTCAACCTTTCTTTTTTTCTTTTTCTTTTTTTTTCTTTTTTTTCTTTGAGACAGAGTCTTGCTCTGTCGCCCAGGCTGGAGTGCAGTGGCACGATCTTGGCTCACTGCAACCTCCGCTTCCCGGGCTCAAGCAACTCTCCTGCCTCAGCCTCCTAAGTAGCTGGGATTACAGGTGTGCACCCCCACATCCAGCTAATTTTTGTATTTTTAGTAGAGACGGGGTTTCACCATGTTGGCCAGGCTGGTCTTAAACTCCCAATCTCAGGTGATCCACCCGCCTCAGCTTCCCAAAGTGCTAGGATTACAGGTCGCACCCGGCCTCTCTCAACCTTTCCTAAGCCATTATCAACCTCCTAAGGAGCTTTGTTAAACACTTGTTTCTAATCGCCACCCCCCAGGAAATTTTAACTCCAGAGATGTCTTGTGCATCTGTTTATGTGCTGTGCACATATCTGTGCTTTAGACATGAGATTTTTTTTAACCCCACTGCTGCCCTCCCCATCAAAAACCCAATTGTACATGATATGCCTTTGAACAATGTTCTTCAAGCCATTTATTATTTTTACCTCGCGCTCTAGAGCCCAGACTGCCACACTATACTTTCTGTAGTTAACATCAGAAAGATATGGGATCATTTCCACTTTCCTTTTTTTTTTTTTTTGAGACGAAGTCTCGCTCTGTCGCCCAGGCTGGAGTGCAGTGGCGCCATCTCGGCTCACTGCAAGCTCTGCCTTCCGGGTTCACGGCATTCTCCTGCCTCAGCCTCCCGAGTAGCTGGGACTACAGGTGCCCGCCACCACGCCCGGCTAATTTTTCTTTTTGTGTTTTTAGTAGAGACAGGGTTTCACCGTGTTAGCCAGGATGGTCTCGATCTCCTGACCTTGTGATCCGCTCGTCTCGGCCTCCCAAAGTGCTGGGATTACAGGCGTGAGCCACCATGCCCGGCCCATTTCCACTTTCAAAGTGTAGAAAATGATGATACTGAAGGCGTTTCAAACAACATAAGCCCTCTCCAAGATTCTGCTATACGGCTCTACCTTCAAGCTGAAAATAACTGCCTGCAAAGTACTGCCTTTGACTTATTTTTAGTTTCAGGGTTTTTTTGTGTTTTTTTGTTTGTTGTTGTTTTGTTTTTGAGATAGGGTATTGCTCGGTAGCCCAGGCTGGAGTGCATTGGCACTTTCAGGGCTCACTGCAGTCTTGACCTCCTGGGCTCAAGTGATCCTCCCACCTCAGTCTCCCAAGAAGCTGGGACTACAGGCATGTGCCACCATGACTGGCTAATTTTTTTTCTTTACTTTTTGTAGAAACAGGGGTCTTCCTGTGTTGCCCAGGCTGGTCTCAAACTCGTGGGCTCAAGCAATCCACCCACCTTCGTCTCCCAAAGTGCTGGGATTACAGGCATGAGCCACCATGCCCGGCCTTTTTTTTTTTTTTTTTTTTAATCTAATGAACTTGAATGTGTATGCTGGGTTCTTCTGTCAAGTTGGCTGCTATCATTTTTCCAGAAGCTGGATGACTCTCCGAGGTGGGCAAAGGAACACGTACCCATGCTCCCACCTCATCTACCCATAAAAGGCTGGGCAGGGCCAGGCTTCTCTCTGGGGTGTTTGAGCTCAGAGAGAGAGAAGTACCGGTTGATGTAAGCACAGGGATGGTGGGGACAGGGTGACCAAAGTGAACTGGGCACGAGATGAGTAGCTGGTATATAGTGACTTGGAAGGCAAGGTGCTTGAAATTTCCTGGAAAATCTCTGCAAGTGCACAGTAGAAACTATTATCATTGGTTACGTGCTTCAAGAGGACTGGGCAGATGGGGGGGCAGGAATAAGAGAGCCACTATTCACTTGACAAATTCTTGGACATTTTGATTTCTGAGCCATATGGATGTGTGTCCTATCAAAAAGAATAAGTGAAAATGTTCAATAGTAAGAGAACACTTTGTAAATCTCTGGCTGCTGCTCTTTGTGATTAGCCTCTCAGCACTCTTATTTGGAATAATCAGAAAAATACAACTATCTAAATTTTGGGAGGAGAGTATACTTGTGGAGATTTGGGAAGAAAGAAAATAAGTGTGGAAGTTTCCCCCAATAATAAAATGAAATTCATTGGAAGCCATTTCAAACATTTAGAAAGTTAACCAGAAAAATAGAAAGGTGGCCGGGCGCAGTGGCTCACGCCTGTAATCCCACCACTTTGGGAGGCTGAGGCAGGTGGATCGCTTGAGTCTAATAGTTCAAGACTAGCCTGGGCAGCATGGTGAAACCCTGTCTCTACAAAAAATACAAAAATTAGCCAGGCATAGTGGCGCACACCTACAATCCCAGTTACTCGGGAGGCTGAGGCAGGAGGATTATCTGAGCCCGGGAGGCGGAGGTTGCAGTGAGCCAAGATTGTGCTATTGCACTCCAGTCCAACCTAGGTGACAGAGCAAGACTCTATCTCAAAAAAAAAAAAAGGTGATTTCTAACCCACCAAGAAACAGAGGAGATTTTTATAAACAGTTGAGGGACTGTTTAAATACAATTTGTATCATTCTAATTCAACACAAGAGCATTCTCATGGTATTAAAACTCTTAAACATTTCTCATGACTCATTACATTCCACTGTACAGATACCCCATAATAATCTTAACTATTTCCCCATTGTGGGGCATTTAGATTGCTGTCATTTCCGATTCTTCCAAATGTTATGATGAGTAGATTGTTGTCATTTCTAATTCTTCTAAATGTAATGAGTACCTATTCATATTTCTGTCAACATTTCTGATTTCCTTAGGAGAATTTCTGAGAAGTAAATGTCTGAGTCAGAGGGTATGGATATTTGTATGGTTTGTCAAACAGACCACCTAACTGATTTCCCAAAAGGTTGTATGGATTCATAACTCTACAGGCAGGAAGGAGAACGCCAGCTTCACTTCCCAGAGAGCATTTGCTGGTCTCATTTTAACAACTGTTTTGTTCACGATGGTGCACATTTTTTATTTGTTGCTAGTTGTAATAAGAATCCCTTACTATTTCACCATGAACTTTACTGTTGGCTACTGCTTTGTGGAAGATATTCTTCTTGTTTAAGAAGTACTGGTGTCTTCCTAGTTCATTATGAGACTGTGAGCACCAGGTTTCGATGTTGAGCATGTATGGCGCTACACAGTCTCTCTCTTTTGTTCAATCAATATAATGTGTTAATTTAATTCCCAGGATAAACACACTACTCAGTCATGATCATTCTTTAATGCTGTTAAATTGGATGTTCGAATATTTTATTTGAGATTTTTCATATCTTCATTCCCAACCAACGTTAGTCTATGGTTTGAGTTTTTATTATTTGTGGTGTGTGTTTTGTTCAGTTCTGATATCTAGCTCATGCTAGCTTCTCATTTTAGCCTATGTTCATTCTAGGTATCAATTAGCCCCTCGCAGAGTTAATATACATTATCTATTTCAACTCCAACATATATAAAGTACTTATTATGGGCAAGGCACTATACAAGATGCCATGAGAGACACAAATTTCCAGACCTCTGAGATTCTAAGTCAGTAAGTTTGGGACCAGGTCAGGGGAAGGATTCATCAAAAAAGTAGCATTTCAACTGGGCTCTGTAGAAAGAACCTTGAGGGGAGCATGCAGGAAAGGGGCAGCAGTGGGCATTCAGAAAGAGAGAAAACAGCCCAAGCAAACACATCATGCCCAAATGCAAGGCTGTTTAAAGAATGTGTACACCATGTTTGGGGTGGAATGTCAAGTATGAGGAATGAAGAGGGCACACCCACTTCAGATCATGAAAGTCTTTGGTCACCATGCTGAGTCCACCCAAGGTCACAAAGGGAGTAAGAAGGTGTAGGAGTCACAGAATGACAAAAAAAAAAAATTGTATATATTCAAGGTGTACAACAAGATGTTTTCATCTCTGTATACACTGTGGAATGATTACCACGAGCAAGCTAACATATTCATCACTTCACGTAGTTACTGTTGTGTGTGTGTGATGAGAGCAATGAAGATCCACTCTCTAAGCAAATTTCAGCCTCCCGAAGTGCTGGGATTACAGTATTATTAACTATGGTCCCCATGCTGTACATTAGATCTCCAGAACTTACTCATCTTATAACTGCAAGTTTGTGCCCTTTGACCAACATCTCCCCATTTCTCCCACACACCCCACATTTTCCATTTTCTTTATCTATTCATCTATCAGTGAACACTTAGGTTGATTCTGTATCTTGGCTACTATGAATAATGCTGCAACAAACATGAGTGCAGATACCTCTTGAACACAATAATTTCATATCTTTTGGATATATACCCAGTAGTGGGATAAGTGGATCATATGGTAGTTCTATTTTTAATTTTTTGAGGCACCTCCACACTATTTTCCGTAATAGTAATGCCAATTTAGATTCCCACCAAGAGTGTGCAAGGGTTCCCTTTCAGGAGAATTTTTCTTTCTTTCTTTCTTTCTTTTTTTAGACAGGGTCTCACTCTGTCACCCAGGCTGGAGTGGAGTGGCATGATCATGGCTCACTGTAGCCTCGACCTCCTCAGGCTCAGGTGATCCTCCCATCTCAGCATCCTGAGGAGCTGGGACTACAGGTACACACCACCACACCCAGCTAACTTTTTAATTTATTTTTTATTATTTATTTATTATTTTTTGAGACAGTCTTGCTCTGTCACCAGGCTGGAGTGCAGTGACGCAATCTCAGCTCACTGCAACCTCCACCTCCCAGGTTCAAGCGATTCCCCTGCCTCAGCCTCCTGAGTAGCTGGGACTACAGGCACGTGCCACCATGCGCAGCTAATTTTTTTGTTTTTAGTAGAGACAGGATTTCACCAAGTTGGCCAGGATGGTCTCAATCTCCTGACCTCGTGATCCACCTGCCTCAGCCTCCCAAAGTGCCAGGATTACTTTTTTATTTTTTTGTAGACACGAGGTATCACCATGTTGACTAGGCTGGTCTTGAACTCCTGGGCTTAAGCAATCCTCTCACCTTGGCTGCCCAAAGTGCTTAGATTACAGGTGTGAGCCACCGTGCCCAGGCAAGAACTTTTCTTTCTCTGAGTAGAAAAAAGTTACCTCAGCCAACAGTCTGATGTCAACTCTAAACCTACTATCCCCACAGAGACAGTATCAAAGGAGTATTAGGCTCCCAGAGTGGTCTGTAAAAAGCTATTTAACCCATATTATAGCTGCATTTTTTTTTTTTTTTGAGACAGAGTTTCGCTCTTGTTGCCCAGGCTGGAGTGCAATGGCGCGATCTTGGCTCACTGCAACCTCCACCTCCCAGGTTCAAGTGATTCTCCTGCCTCAGCCTCCCAGTAGCTGGGATTACAGGCACCCACTACCACGCTCAGCTAATTTTTTGTATTTTTAGTAGAGACGGGGTTTCACTACGTTGGCCAGGCTGGTCTCAAACTCCTGACCTCAGGCGATCCACCGGCCTCAGCCTCCCAAAGTGCTGGGATTACAGGTGTGAGCCACCACACCCGGCCTATAGCTGTATTCCTAATGACTACTTTTATGGGAAAAAGGATTTTTAGCCCTAACTAACCTCCAAGTGATTTCTATATGATCTTTGTAATAGTCAGGAGATGCTTACTTCAACACTCTAAATGCAAGAAAATCCTCAAAGTAATCAAAATTGCCTAAAAGATAATTCTAAGTGGGCCATCTGGTTTGTTTTCAACACCTCTTAATTTGCACTCCATATGAAGTTGTTGAAAAATAATACAGATGAGGAAAATATTTTAAACAGGGCTTCAACTAAAGGCAGGAAAATGTTATGCATTAATCAATTATACTTCATGTATAACAAAAATCAACTTTCACCCAAATCAGCTTTTAATTATGTGACTGTTTCACAAATCTACTATGGTAGATGTAAAATTCACTTAACCCTGAAAATTCCTGGATCAAAAAGGGATAAATGACGTCATACCTATGATAAATAATGAAAACTGAAATAATATCAAATACCAAAATCTCAAATATCCATTTGCATCTCGTTAAAATGCTTTGAATTTCTCCCTGTTCCTTTCCCATACCACCATCCAAGTGTGCATGTGTGTGCTGATGTCTTTTGAAGGTGGAACATGAATTCTGTCTTCAGGGTGTAATATCTTATGTAAATTTAGAATTTTTAGTTACCTTTTTCAACAAACAGAAAAGAAATGCTTAGAGTTAAGCACATTCACATGCCTACACATTAGATTGAGATTGTTCATTCATATATATATATATATATATGCCTCAAAAGCTGAAAATATTCAAAATATAAAGTCCAAAGTGCTGTGAACTACACTACAGATGTACTGGAGAGATCTGAAGCCAAATTCAAGGTCAAGGATGTCAGCAGCAGCCATGTGATTGATATAGGGTTAGAATGTAAGTCAGCAACAGCTACGCTCTTGGTTATGTACCATCTAGAAGGCAGCTGAGACTACTTTGAAGCAGGGCAAAAAACCAGAGTTGCTATAGAACCCTAAGTATTCTGCAAAGTCCCAGAGCCTTCAATTTCACCTTGTGGATTAAGCAGAGAAATGACACAATAAAATAAATTTTACTCATTCTCTCCTGGGCACTCTGAGACGCAGAAAGAGTCTACCTTAACCCTTAGGGAAAAATCTGTTTCTCTTTTTATGTGTATAACAGACACTTTCTCTTGGAACTGTTCTGGATGCCAGTGTCTCTATTGATTTCATCAACAGCCATAGCACTAATCATGCATGCCAAAGGAGGGTCATGATGACCTATGAAGAGATCTTAGGAGTAAATATTCCCTATAGAAGGCTCCTGGTTTCCAAACTGTTTACTTTCCTAGCTAGAACAGCCAGAATGACCAGTCCCCACAAAGTAACTGTTATTTGCTCAAGCTTAAGTAACTCTGCAGGCTTCATGGTGCTTGCTGCCTTATGATTCTATCTCCTTAGTCTTTTTTTTTTTTTTTTTAATAAGACTTCTCACATCGATACAAGTGCTAGCTCTTAAGGCTATTTTTCTCCAACAAACATTGCAGGCCATAAAGACGTTCAATAGCAATTAGCTTTTATTGTTCTCATCTCACTTATGTGTATAGGAGCCATCAAAATGTAAAATGCACACATCCTCTGACTTAGCAACTCCCCTTCTAGGAATCTATCCCTGCAGATGTGTTCGCGCGTGGGTGCAAGGATATATGTACATGGATACTAATTTGCAGCATAAATTAAAGCAGCAAAATAATGGACACAAACTAAATATGAGACTGGTTAAATAAATAAGGATGCAGCCATATAGCATACAGCAGAGCAAGCACACCGAAGACATCCCTGCACATTGATGTGGAATGATCAGTATATAAAGCAAGGTGGGAACAGTGTCTGGAGCATGCTACAAAGTTGTTTTGTTTGGTTTTGTTTTGAGACAGGGTCTCGCTCTGTCACCCAGGCTGGAATGCAGCGGCGTGATCACAGCTCACTGCAGCTCAACCCCTGGGGCTCAAGTGATCCTCCCCCTCAGCCTCCCGAGTAGCTAGGACTATAGGTGCATGCCACCATGCCCAGGTAATTTTATTTATTTATTGTAGAGGCAAGGTGTAACTATGTTGCCCAGGCTGCTCTCAAACTCCAAGACTCAAGCAGTCCTCCCGCCTCAGCCTCCAAAAGTGCAGGGATTACAGGCATGAGACACTGCACCTAGCCAAGATCTTTTTTTTAAACGCAATACATATTCATATGTGTGTGGCTAAGTGGGTATACACACACAAAAACACACACACAAATCTCTGAAATAACTAAAGAAATGCATCAGCTGAGCTCCTGTAGTTTCAGCTACTTGGGAAGTTGAGGTGGGAAAATCACTTGAGCTCAGGAGTTCGAGGCTGTAGTGCGCTATGATCACACCTGTGAATATCCAGCCTGGGCAACATAGTGAGACAGCCCATCTCTTTAAAAAGGAAAAAAAGAAAGAAAGAAATGGATCAAAGTAGTTGCCACTGGGGAAGGGAACCGAAGTGAGGTGGGGGCAAAGGAGAGACAGTTCTGTACCTTTTTCTGCAGGGCTTAACTTTTTTACTCTGTGTAAAAAAAAATTTTTTTTCATTTTTTTTGAGGCAGAGTCTTGCTTTGTCACCCAGGCTGGAGTACAGTGGTGCAATCTCGGCTCACTGGAAGCTCTGCCTCCTGGGTTCACGCCATTCTCCTGCCTCAGCCTCCCGAGTAGCTGGGACTACAGGCGCGTGCCACCACGCCCAGCTAATTTCTTTATGTTTTTAGTAGAGACAAAGTTTCACCATGTTAGCCAGGATGGTCTTGATCTCCTGACCTTGTGATCTGCCCGCCTTGGCCTCCCAAAGTGCTGGGATTATAGGCATGAGCCACTGCGCCCGGCCATGTGTAAAAATTTTTTAACGCACGTACACACACCCCCAGTAAAGAATAATCATCAAAGAATTAACCTTGCCAACACTATCTAACAGTGGCACCTACTGGTAAAATCACTTCCTATCCCAAAGTATATCTTAGAAAAGAAAACCCATAGTTTTCCTGGCACAGCCATTTCAGCTATTAGTCAGGAAATATGTTTATATTAAAGGCTCATAAGGAACCCTTCATTGGTATTAGGCCTTCTGAGCATAAGACTTAAAAGTACCATCTGGCTGGTAAGTTATGGTTCATTATGGTTTGAGTTACAAGCTATAAAAAAAAAGAGTGAAGAATGCTTCTATGTGCTTCCGTGGGGTGATCTCCAGCATACAGTGTTAAGCGAAAAATGCAAGGCAGGAAAAAACTGTGTAGAGTATGCTACCATTTCCCTAAGAAGGGAAGTGGATGACAAAGACATACAGCTTTACTTATATGTAAAAAATGGGAAGATGAACCAAGAAAAAAAAGAATGAATGCTTGCCATAAGGGAAGGGATTAAACAGGCTACAGGGGACAGAAATAGAACTAGATTTCTCTAAATCAGTGGTTCTCAACCAGGGCGATTCTGCCCCTGCCCCCAAGAGATATTTGACAATATCTGGAGGTACTTTTAGTGTCACAGTTGGGCAGGGGTTAGGGAGTGATACTGGCACCTAGTGGGCAGGAGCTCCCACATACAACAAAGAATGATGTGTTCCCAAATGCCGATAGCACAGATTATATATAAGGAACTTATATCTAGAATATATAAAGAACTGTTACAACTCAATAATAAAAATACAAATACCCTAATTTTAAAATAGACAAAGGATGTGAATGGACCTTTCTCCAGAGAAGACATACAAGTGGCCAATAAACACATGAAAAGATGCTCAACATCCTTAGCCATCAGGCAACTGCAAATCAAAGCCACGATGAGACACCACTTCACATCCACTAGGATGGCTATCATCAAAAAGACAGAAATAACAAATGTTCACAAGGATATGGACAAATTAGGACCCTCATACATTGCTGGCAGGAAATTAAAATGTTGCAGCCACTTTGGAAAACAGTCCTACAGCTCCTCAAAGGGTTAAACACAGAATTACCATATGACTCAGAAATTCCACTCCTGGTGAAATGAAAACATATGTCCACACAAAAACTTGCACATGAATGTTCACAGCAGCGTTAGTCACAATGCCAAAAAGTAGAAACAATGCAGATGTTCATCAATGGATAAATAAAATGTTTCATGTCCATATAATGAAATATTAATCAGCAATAAAAAGAAACAAAGTACTGATACGTGTTACAACATAGACAGACTTTGAAAACATTATCCTAAGTAAAAGCAACCAGTCACAAAAGGCTACATATTGGATGATTCCATTTATATTAAATGATTCAAACAGGCAAATCTATGAAGACAGAAGGTAGACTAATGGTTGCCTGGGGCTGGTGGAGATAGGAGGCTTGGGGGTGTCAGCTAAGGCGTGTGGGGTTTCTTTTTGGAGTAATGAAAATGGCCCAAAATTGCTTGTAATGAGAGTGGCACAGATCCGTGAATATGCTAAAAACCATTGGATTATACAGTTTTTTGTTTGTTTGTTTTTTGAGACAAAGTCTCACTCTGTTGCCCAGGCTGGAGTGCAATGGCACGATCTCAGCTCACTGCAACCAACGCCTCCTGGGTTCAAGCAATTTTCCTGTGTCAGCCTCCCTAGCAGCTGGGATTACAAGCATGCACCAGCACGCCCAGCTAATTTTTTGTATTTTTAGTAGAGATGGGGTTTCAACTTGTTGGCCAGTCTAGTCTCGAACTCCTGACCTCAAGTGATTGACCTGCCTAGGCCTCCCAAAGTGTTGGGATTACAGGCGTGAGCCACCGCATCTGGCCGGATTATACAGTTTAAATGGCTAAATTTTGTGGTATATGAATTGTATCTCAATAAAGCTGTTTAAAAAACCAATCGCGATTGTGAGGCGCGAGCTCCATTAGAAGTAGGTGCCCAGCAGCAGGGACACGACTGGGTGTGCATGGGTGGCTGGCAAACAGGCTGACTGAAGGCCAACCATCATCTTGCAGAACTCGCTCTGTTAGTGGTGAGCACAGTAGCATGAGGCAGAAGGCAGAGGCAGGTAAAGAAAAGAGGTCAGGAAAGGTTTCCTCAGATGAATAGGAAGTTGTTGGTAACTGAGTTGTTGTTAATTAAATTTTTCAATGCTTTTATTGAGATTCCAGGGGGAGAGGGATTTTAGGCAGGTGGACATCTCAGGTATAGGGAACCTCAGGCTGTATCTGAAAAACTAGTTTAGATTGTCCAAACGTAAAACTCAAAGCATGTAGCCTGGGCAACATAGTGAGACCTTGTCTCTACAAAAAAAATCAAAAAATGAGGTGGGAAGATTGTTTGACCCCGGGAGGTCTAGGCTTCCGTGAGCCGTGATCATGCCACTGCATTCCAGCCTGTGTGACAGAGTGAGAACTTGCCTCAAAAAAACACAAAAAAGAAAAAAACTCAAAGCCTGGGAGGAATCAGGATGCCATGGGATGAATCAGCAAAGCAGCAGGTGACAGAGCACAGTGGCTTTGGGACCCAGCCCAGAATCCTGGACTGAATATTTTAAGGGAAAAGAAACTGATGGAAGATGAGGACTGGCAGCAGAATCACTGTCGCTTTTGTTTTAGAAAGACAGATGACCACCAGTGTGGAAAATAGGCAGACTGGTGATGAGTCTGGAGACAGGACAGCTCATTTATTTATAGTAGATGTTATAAATTGTTGTCACAGCCGATTTAATCCTTTCCTAAACATTAAGCTTGAAAGCTGCGACAAAGAGAAATCAGTCCAGGATTGTGACTGTCTTTAAGGCATAGCTGAGAAGATGGACTATCAAGAACAAAGGAATTTAATATAAGAATAATGTAATTTAAAATGTTCTGGTGCTGTAAAGAAAAAATAATAATAGACCCCCCCCCGCCTTTTTTTTTTTTTGAGAAGGAGTCTCACTCTGTCACTGAGGCTGGAGTGCGGTGGCATGATCTTGGCTCACTGCAACCTCCACCTCCCGGGTTCCAGCAATTCTCCTGCCTCAGCCTCCCGAGTAGCTGATATTACACGCATCTGCCACCACAGCCAGCTAATTTTTGTATTTTTAGTAGAGACAGGGGTTTCACCATGTTGACCAGGCTACTCTTGAACTCCTAACCTCAAGTGATCCGCCCGCCTTGACCTCCCAAAGTGCTGGGATTACAGGGGTGAGCCATGGCGCCCAGCCAATAGCCCCTTATGAATTTAGGCAAGAGCCAGGACCCAAGTGACAATGACTGGACCCAGAAAGATAAACAAGCCACTTACCAGAGGAACTGGGGCATTTGGCCTAAACTCTGTGGAATCAGCATCTGAAGATTAAGAAAAGAGTTCAGTAATTCACCAATAGTGCTGAAAAATATTTGAAGAGAGAAAATTTTTTAAATAAATGGTCATTAGCAAACCTCGAACTTACCTTTCAAGTTAAGGCAGTTTCTTGCAAACTCTATCACTGCTAGTTGCATCCCAAGACAAACTCCTATTTTAAAAAGCACATATGCAAAGCAAATGAACTCACTTTGTATTTGTTCACATTTTCTGTTCATTTGTTGGCTGCCTGTCTCCCCTATCTAGAATGCAGACTCCCAGAGAGCAAGACTCTGCCTGTTTTGCTCCCTGCTGTCCTCTCAGAAGAATCCCTGACAGAGAGCAGGGCAGGGGCTTAGACTATCATGAAGCCGCCTAAGTCCCAAAGTTGACAAAGAAGGAACATGAGGTCAGAAAAGTGCAGGGTCAACTGGGCGCAATGGCTCAAGCCTGCAATCTCAGCACTTTGGAAAGCCAAAGTGAGCAGATTACTTGAGGTCAGGAGTTCGAGACCAGCCTGGCCAACATGGTGAAACCAGCCTCTACTAAAAATACAAAAATTAGCCAGGTGTGGTGGCATGCACCTATAGTCCCAGCTACTTGGGAGGCTGAGGCAGGAGAATTACTTGAGCCCGGGAGGCAGAGGTTGCAGTGAGCTGAGATCACACCACTGTGCTCCAGGCTGGGTGAGAAAGAAGGAAGGAAAGAAAGAGAAGAAAGAGAGAAAGAGAGGAAGGAGGAGCTGGGTGCGGTGGCTCACACTTGTAATCCCAGCGCTTTGGGAGGCTGAGTTGGGCGGATCACGAGGTCAGGAGATCGAGACCATCCTGGCTAACATGGTGAAACCCCATCTCTACTAAAAAAAAAAAAATACAAAAAAAAATTAGCCAGGCATGGTGGTGGGTGCCTGTAGTCCCAGCTACTCGGGAGGCTGAGGCAGGGGAGTGGCGTGAACCTGGGAGGCAGAGCTTACAGTGAGCAGAGATCGCGCCACTGCACTCCAGCCTGGGCGACAGAGCGAGACTCTGTCTCAAAAAAAAAGAAAATAAAAAGAGAGAGAGGAAGGAGGGAAGGAAGGAAGAAGGGAAGAAGGAAGGATGGAAGGAAGGAAGGAAGGAAGAAGGAAGAAAGAAGGAAGGAAGGAGAAGGAAAAGGAAGGGGAGGGAAGGGAGGGAAGGGAGAAAGAGAGAAAGAAAGAAAGAAGGAAGGAAGGAAGGAAAGGAAGGAAGGAAGGAAGGAAGGAAGGAAGGAAGGAAGGAAGGAAAGAAGGAAAGAAAGAGGCAGAGTCCATGAGACAAATCTGCCACCTTCTAGATTTGTCCCTGAGTTGAGGCATCTTAGTGGGCTGCAGTGCCTGATTCCTTCAGAGAACATCTAACACCCCAACTCAGAGGGAGTTTCCTGGGCTAAGATTTCCCACTCCTTCTCATGGTGACTTCACAGCCATAAACACAGGCTTGGCCAGAGGTTGAGTGCCTACAGGACGTCAGGCTGCTAACCCACAGGCAGCCCCATAGCCTTCACTGTAAGGAAAAGCAGCAGTGGGGGGTGGGGGTTGGAGACTCCACAGTGGGCTTGAGCATGGTGGGCAGCAGGGAAGGAGACACGATGGGCCTGAACAGAGTGCTCGGTGATGAAGGAAGGCAGACCTGTGTCGCCCAAGCCTGTTGCCACAGGGATGCTCCCAGACCCAGCTCCGCCTTCACTGCAGTTCACCAATTCTCTCCACTAAACAAATGCC
Organism: Homo sapiens; assembly: GCF_000001405.40. Lineage (NCBI taxonomy): Eukaryota > Metazoa > Chordata > Mammalia > Primates > Hominidae > Homo > Homo sapiens. The sequence goes on from NC_000023.11 coordinate 16,669,294, forward strand.
AAAGAGCATCCCAGATGCTCCTCCGATAGATACTTAAGATGTACACAGGGGAAACAAAGAAGGGAGCAATCAATATATCAGGGATGCCAGAACAGAAGTCAATAAGCAGGAAACAGCTGAGTGCTGGGGGGTGGGGGTGGCGGTGAGGGGGATTTCAGAAAGTTCCATATGGCTGGGACATAAAGAGATGCTATGCTAGAGGGAAAGCTAAAGACCTGCAAACCATTCCATACTATTAAAATAATCTGAGGAACATTACCCACATTTAGACAGAAACTTCAAAAAAAAAAACAATGGCCCCCAACGAGCTTAGACCAGTAAAAGAAAACAAGGTATCCAGGTAACTACTCCAGTCTTCTATTTTGAAAATGGATCCTAAGAGGAGAGAGTCTAAGAAGCTAATCAAAGAGCAGGTAATGGGGGGAAATAAATGGTCTGCTGGCACTAAAAGCCTGTCCAATGGGCTCATAAACCCACCCAGCCATCCACTGCACAGTGGGAAACACAGCCTCTCTGCACTCCCCCTCCTGCCTGAGTCCCCAGCTACAGGGCTGCCTCTCCCGCATCAAGGTCCCATTTCCTCTGGTTTCCCTGGTACAGAAGCCGTACTTCGCAATTTGAAAAAAAAGCATTAAAAAGGCTCAACTCGGCCGGGCACGGGGGCTCAAGCCTGTAATCCCCACACTTTGGGAGTCTGAAGTGGGCAGATTGCTTGAGCCCAGGAGTTTGAGGCCAGGCTGGGCAACATAGCAAGACTCCATCTCTTAAAAAAAAAAAAACACACACACACACAAAAATTAGCCAGGCACAGTGGTGTGTACCTGTAGTCCCAGCTACTCTGGAGACTGAGGTGGGAATTGGAGAAGGTAAGCACAGTTGCAGATGGAGCCTTCTCCCAGCCTCTGCTACCCAGCTGGAATAGCAGCAAGTTCTCCTAGGATGAGAAACGTTTTCTGTAAAGGGTCACATAGTAAAGATTCTAGCCTCTTTCAGATAGTAAAGCTTCTAGGCCGTAGGGTCTGAAACTCTGACGTTGGACCACAAAAGCAGCCATAGACAATATGTAAACAAATTGGTGTGGCTGTGTTCCAATAAAGCTTTATTCATAAAAACAGGCTGTGGGCCAAATTTAGAATATAGTTTGTTGACCCTATAGCAGACTATTTGGCACCTGAACTTTCAAATCCGAGTTCACACCTTTACGATAACAAACCTTTAGTGTTACCCCTCCTAGGTGTCAAAAATCTAATAAACTCATAGTTAGGGTCAATAAACATGAGTTTTACCCAGAAAAGGAATCTTCTTTGTCCTTGCCCAAGAAATCGCCTGGAGTTTTCCCAATGTTCCTCTGATTCCAAAGCCTCCAGGCACAAGAATACCACTGAAATCAATACAAAATGAGGGTAAACTTGACTATCCATTTTTTTTTTAAACTAGTGTATTCAGCCATTCGTGCAATGCTTGGTCCAATCACTAGTGACTATGCTCAAGCTCTATTTTCAGAACCAATTATATGACTTCACACCCTGAACTTTTTTTCTGAAATCTTCCCAATGTTATGAAGAAATTGTGACAATTTCTCACAACTGACCTCAATATATATTTTACGATAAGTCTTTGTGGCATCAGAGCATACTAACTGAGAAACCCAATTCAATTAAGAATGCCACTGGGAAAAGAAACTGAATGAAAATAGGTTAAGGTTCTTTCAAAACACTATTATAAAAATGTTAAGATCTCTGACATCATCAGAAAGAGTTAAATTGGAAAAATCAGCCTAAGATTTCAAATGCTAATTAAGTAGTGGCAAATGAAAATTTCTTGGCTAGAAGACTTCACAGACCTAGGCAAACACAACAGCAACACAGTTCAACAGAAAACCCAGGAGGATCATGCTAACCTCATGATGCAATGCTGCCCCCAAGAGTTCTGTCAATTACTTACAAAATAAAACCTAAAATCTAAGACATGTGGAAAATATCATCAAGAGAGAAAGGGCTGCTCTGTCAATGGAGCAGCTATTCTTTATGTCCTTACTTTCCTAATAAACTTGCTTTCACTTTACTCTATGGACTCACCCTGAATTCTTTCTTGAGCAAGATCCAAGAACCCTCTCTTGGGGTCTGGATTGGGACCCGTTTCTGGTAACATCTTTCTAGCGACCACAGAAGGGACAATACTGAGTACGTGGTGGGGTCCAGTAACATTTTTCTTTTTTTTTTTTTTTTTTTTTTTTTTGAGACAGAGTCTTGCTCTTGTCACCCTGCCTGGAGTGCAGTGGCGCGATCTCGGCCCTCTCCAACCTCCACCTCCCGGGTTCCAGCAATTCTCCTGCCTCAGCCTCCCGAGTAGCTGGGATTACAAGCACACGCCACCACGCCCAGCTAATGTTTTGTATTTTAGTAGAGATGGGGTTTCACCATGTTACCCAGGCTGGCCTCGAACTCCTGAGCTCAGGCAATAAGACCGCCTCAGCCTCCCAAAGTGCTGGGATTACAGGCGTGAGCCACCATGCCCAGCCTCCAGTAACATCTTTCTAGTGAAACACGGAAAGAACAATACTGAAGAGACCCCAGACCCAAAGGAAAATCGTCTGTGTGCACCAATTGGCTGACTTTGGGTAAATGGGGTGCATATACCCAGGTAAAGGATGGGATTGGGTTAGAGGCCCAACTTAGAGTCTCTCCTAAAACAGAGAGAGTTAAAGGCTCCTCTCAATAAAAGGCAAGGATGCTTGAATGACCTTGGGTTGGAGGCACAACTTAGGAAGGTTAGAGTCCTTCCTAAGGTTTAGGGGGTTAGAGGCCTCTCTCAGTAAAGTCCCTCTCTGCTAAGAATAGGTTTGGCACTATGGGATGTTAATTGCTATTCTCTTTGGATTATTCTGCCTTGCACTCTTTGCTGATAGCTATGGGTGACAGAACTAGGCATGCACAGGACCATGGGACATGGGGAGCTTTTTCCTCCTCAAAAGGGGAAACTTGAGAGTTGATGAGACTCCTGGAAAAGATCCCTTCACGACCGACAAGCGGCCACCTGAACTTTTCAGTGTCACTGCAATGGGTGCGTCTTTCTCTGGCCTCCCTGAGCTCTTTGCCTTCCCCAAAATGCTGCGGGCAATGCTTTTCTCCCTTTATCTCCTTTCCTTTTCGTATCTTTTCTGTTACTCAAGGCGACCATCTTGCCCAGAGACAAGTTGAAACTCCTGGTCAGAGGTTGGATTAATGATGATGGGGCCCAACCAGGGGCAAGTTTGAGCCTTGCCAGTAAGATATTGGGTGCTAGGCAGAGTGGCTAATGTCTATGTTTTGTCACACATATTTTGCTCTGGCCAGAACAGGAAAAGATAATTTTCCTTTGTGTTACAGCTTGGCCCCCAGGGCTGTGGTGCAGCCAGCCGGGTCACTAGGGCTGCTCAAGGAAAGGGAACCCAGAAGCCTAGCATACCGACAAAAGGGTAAGAATTTCTTACCAGTCAGACTTCTGGCCTCTCTCTCTCTCTGTGCAAATTGGTTGAATGAATGGTAAAAATCACTGTCTCCTGTGTAAAGTTTTGATTAATGGTAAAAAGGATTTGTGAGGCTACTCTTTTTTTTTTTTTTTTTTTTTTTGAGACGGAGTCTCGCTCTGTCGCCCAGGCTGGAGTGCAGTGGCGGGATCTCGGCTCACTGCAAGCTCCGCCTCCCGGGTTCATGCCATTCTCCTGCCTCAGCCTCCCAAGTAGCTGGGACTACAGGCGCCCGCCACTACGCCCGGCTAATTTTTTGTATTTTTAGTAGAGACGGGGTTTCACCGTTTTAGCCGGGATGGTCTCGATCTCCTGACCTCGTGATCCGCCCGCCTCGGCCTCCCAAAGTGCTGGGATTACAGGCGTGAGCCACCGCGCCCGGCCGAGGCTACTCTTAAGCTACAGTGAATCTGGTGTGCTTTGTGTGTCTTTCTGTATTGTTCTGTCATAATGAGGGGTCTTAGGATAGAATGTGGGCCTAGGACCCCTGTAAGCCTGCTGTTCAAGCCACCCCAGCAAACTGGTCAATAACAAACTTTGCTGTAGGTCCCTGAAGAAAAACTAGATAAGGGTTCCCTCTCATCTTGTTTCATGTCCTTGGGAGCTTGACCTTGCAACCATGTGGCAGTACTTTCTCTTGGTCTCCATCATCACAATGGTGACCTGGGTTCAGGGTTCAATTCCTAGTTTAGGGGATAAGCCTTTCTGATTGATATTTGGGTGCTTACAACTACTGGATCTTCTTTCTGTCTGTGCATTTATATGTGTTGTGTGTGTGATGTTAAAAAAAAAAAGCTTTAATTGGTTTAAAAATAGTAAAGCTTAAATCAAGTATTGTGTAAGAAAAGTAAAAATTGTAATGACTTTTAGTTCACATAACTTTAGTAATCTTTGGGTAATAAAAACAGCTTTAAAGATTATTGGGAAAATAAAGACATTTGGTCTAAATTAGGCAGGTCAGATATTAGGTTTTCTCAATGCTTTAAGGTCATAAACTGCTTTGACTCTTGAAAATTGTTCAATTTACCTACTTTGGAGCATTAGATTCTAGGTAAGGCTTGGGGACAAGTTGAAAGCCATGCCCCCTAGCTATGCTGGAAAAGGTCAGACCTTATCTAGTGTCCTAGGCTCCATACCTAGTACGTAATTAAAATTGCTTACTAACCAGGTTTTTCACCAAAAGTAAAAGTTCCTAAGAGTTAACAGTGTAATCTGTAATTGAGACTACTGAAGAAACAGTTTTACATGCAAGTTGCATAAGGAAAGTGAAATGTGTTTTTAGTAAAAGATTATAAGAAGGCATGAAAATGTGGATTTTTTTTTTTTTTGCCTAGATTAAAAGGTTAAAGGATTGTTTTTTGCTGTTTTGTTTTTGTCTTCAGACGAAGTTTCACTCTTGTTGCCCAGGCTGGAGTGCAATGGTGCAATCTTGGCTCACTGCAACCTTCACCTCGTGGGTTCAAACGATTCTCCTGCCTCAGCCTCCCAGGTAGCTGGGATTACAGGTATGCACCACCACACCTAGCTAATTTTGTATTTTTAGTAGAGACGGGGTTTCACCATGTTAGTCAGGCTGGTCTAGAACTCCTGACTTCAGGTGATCCACCCACCTCAGCCTCCCAAAGTGCTGGGATTACAGGCGTAAGCCACCGCATCCAGCTAACGGATTATTTTAAGTTAGATAAGATAAAGCTGAAAGTTTGAGCAAGTTGTAGAAGGTTTGTGAAGGATTAATCTTATAAAAGAAATTACGCAGGCCGGGCATGGTGGCTCACACCTGTAATCCCAGCACTTTGGGAGGCCAAGGTGGGCAGATCACGAGGTCAGGAGATCGAGACCATCCTGGCTAACACGGTGAAACCCCGTCTCTACTAAAAATACAAAAAATTAGCCGGGCGTGGTGGCAGGCGCCTGTAGTCCCAGCTACTCGGGAGGCTGAGGCAGGAGAATGACATGAACCCAGGAGGCAGAGCTTGCAGTGAGCAGAGATTGCGCCACTGCACTCCAGCCTGGGCAACAAGGCGAGACTCCGTCTCAAAAAAAAAAAAAAAGAAATTATGCGTGTGGACATTGGCTAAAGTTAAAGGTGTATTCAGGTTTTCCATAAATTGAACATTGAAATAAAAGCACAACAGGTTTCTCTTAGAGTGCTGATCTGCTCTTTAACAAAAACTTCTAAAGGAGCCAGGCATGGTGGCTCATGCCTGTAATCCCAGCACTTTGGGAGGCTGAGGTGGGCGAATCACTTGAGGTCAGGAGTTCGAGACCAGCCTGGCCAACATGGTGAAACCCCATCTCTACAAAAATGCAAAAAAAATTAGTCAGGCATGATGGCGGGTGCCTGTAATCCCAGCTACTCGGGAGGATGGAGCAGGAGAATTGCTTGGACCCATGAGGCGGAGGTTGCAGTGAGCCAAGATTACACCACTGCACTCCAGCCTCGGTGACAGAGCAAGAGACTGTGTCTCAAAAAAAAAAAAAAAACTTGTAAAGGATTATAGAAGGTTTGTAAAAATCTTACCTTATGGTCAAACTAAAATTGGATAGATTTATCTATAAGGTTTTATTAAAAATTGGGTTTGACATGAATTTAATGCACTAATGCAATGGTGAAGTTTGGTATATTTGGTATAAAAATTATACGAAAAGCACTGTCAAATATGAAATGGTGTTTGGCTTTCTTTGGGCTGTATTTGTATAAATATGTTATTGTATGTGTTCCAAAATTATAAGAAACTTCTATAATTCTAATATGAATTCGTGTATGTTATTAATAATTATCATTGTTATGCAAAATTGTTGTAAGCCACAGATGTAACAAATTCCTAGTCAATTGTGGCTTTAATAGTGGCTGCCCTAAAACATTTTGTCACCCACAGACAATTGTATTGTTTTGGTCCTCTTTAGAAGGTAGTTAAAAATCAACTATAGAACTCTAACAGCTGTTCTTAAATGCAAGTTTCTGATAACTTTGGAGATTGTGACAGCAGAATAGAGGAAAATCTTTCAGGACTCTCATGGAGAGCTGAAATGTTCATGACTATCAAGTAGAACAGGAGTTAGCTCCATGGAATGAACTAATAAAAAATTAATATTTTTTACTTTGCTTAAAATGTTGCTGATCCTTTTTGTTTTATTTTTCGGAGTCAAGAAAACTGTTCTTTTGAGCTATATACAGCTTGTAACAATTGAGTAAAGTATACTCCTGTGAACAAAATTTGGAGCATATTTGTTTCTCTCTACCTGATTTGTCCAGAATTGGGAAATTTGGAATTTGTGAGTATTCTTAACTTATGGCAATATAGTTGTTTGCATAAGTGCAATAAGAATCTTTTTTATTTTGCAACAGGACACAATTGGAGGGAGAAACTGGTTATATTACCAAGGCTTTGACTGGAATGGTGTGCTTTCCTGTAAAGAATCGAACTTGAATTGTAAAGCCAATACAAGCCCCGTGGGAAAACTAGCCTCATACCTTGTCTACACAGTCCCTGTACAGGGTTTCTGACCTGTGGTAACTAAAGAATGTCACTTTCTGACAGGTCCAGGAGCCTCAAGTTATCTTGGGACCTCAAAAAGAGAGGAATTTACCCAATTCATAGGTATTTGAGGGTACAAACCCATGGGTGGGCTCAGCTTTAAAAAAGGTCTTATCTGAGATTCCTTATGGAATAAGGTTCTGTCAAAGCCAATTTTAAAAGCCTATTGAAAAATAATTATTCTTGCTGCACTTTATACAAATAATCAGGCCAAGTATAATAAAGCAAATTGTTCTTACCATGATTTGTCTTTAGTGAAAATGGGAAACTGGAGAGAGAAAAAATTATGTTTCAAGAACTATGGTCTAACTGTTATTATTATGAATTCTAGTCTTATTGGTTGTTTTTGAAGTTTTTTTCTGCAATTTAGACTGACCCTGCTTATTCCTGTGAAACAATCAGTGATCTGTGACTGCAGCTCAGAAAAAAACAAGAGCAGGGCTGGGCGTGGTGGCTCACACCTGTAATCCCAGCACTTTGGGAGGCCAAGGCGGGTGGATAACGAGGTCAAGAGTTCAAGACCAGCCTGGCCAACATGGTGAAACCCGTCTTTACTAAGAATACAAAAATCAGCCAGGCATGGTAGCGCGTGCCTGTAATCCTAGCTACTTGGGAGGCTGAGGCAGAAGAATTGCTTGAACCTGGGAGGCGGAGGTTGCAGTGAGCCGAGATCGCACCACTGCACTCCAGCCTGGGAGACAGAGCAAGACTCTGTCTCGGAAAAAAAAAAAAAAAAAACAAGAGGGATGGGTAACGTAAAAATTGGGATCAGTATTCTAATTCTGGGCATGTATTGAAATCAGCTAGCAACTGCATATCAGCTTGGTTCCAACAGTTGCCCAGTTCATGGAAAGCCTTCTAATTTAGTTTACTTGGGATAATTTTTTGCTTTACTGTTGTGGAATATATTGCTATTGTACTCTTTGTGTAGGAATGCAGAATAAGCTTACTCAATGTTTTCTTAAACTAAACATTTATTAATCTTCCAGATATCACCTTTTGTTGGAACTCAGAGTTATGAATGGCCCTCGCCATCTGACGCTTTCTGACTGACCTCTTCTCTACCCCAAATACAAGAGACTCTAATAGGGAGGAATGTCATTGCCCCTATTCAACACGAAGAAGTTACAGAAGATGGAGCTTTGTCCCTCTGCAACCCTTAGTATTAAGAGTTCTCCTATAAAAGGGAGAGGGGAAATATTGAACCACAGCAACTCCATCTTGAATAGGGGCTGGGTAGAATAAGGCTGAGACCTACTGGACTGCATTCCCAGATAGTTAGGCATTCTAAGTCACAGGATGAGATAGGAGGTCAGCAAAAGATACAGGTCATAAAGACTTTGCTGATAAAACAGGTTGCAGTAAAGAAGCCAGCTAAAAGCCACCAAAACCAAGATGGCAATGAGAGTGACCTCTGGTCATCCTCACTGCTACACTCCCACCAGTGCCATGACAGTTTACAAATGCCATGGCAACATCAGGAAGTTACCCTATAAGGTCTAAAAGGGGGAGGCACGTATAATTCATCCCTTCTTTAGCATGTAACCAAGAAATAACCATAAAAGGGGCAACCAGCAGCCCTCAGGGCTGCTCTGCTTGTGGAGTAGCCATTCTTTAATTCCTTTACTTTCCTAATAAACTTGCTTTCACTTTGTAAAAAGAGAGAGAAAAAAAAAGCTGTCATTCTTGTACTTTAACTTTGCATATGTAAGATTCATCTCTGCATCTTCCAGGAGAATCAACACACTTTCCCTCTGCATCCTTCAGGAGAATCAACACACTTTCCCACAGTATCCCCATCCTCCCCAAATAAAACCATTTCTATGCACATGCCACCAGCATTAACATGGCACATTTCAAATCAACGCAGTATGATCGTGGAACAATCACCTGCAAAGACCACAAGTACTCCAAACTACCTTTCAAAATGCATGAAAATTAGCAATTAGGGTAAACTGAATCATTACAGAAAAAGTACAATGGTCCTATCCTAACTGGTGTGCGTGGGCCCTGGTACTCACTCAGCTTTGCATAGCTTCTGCCAAGCTTCATGAAATTTCACAGGGTCCTCGGTTTCAGTGATCTTCTCCAGATCAATGGAGTCTATGTACTAAAAAACATCCAACAGATAAAAGGAGTATTTAAGAAAAATAAACACTCAAAAATACTGCAGCCATCTAATACTATGACACATTATTCAATAATTACTTATTATGCAAACACTGTACTGGGCACTAGGGATAGAAAAACAGTCTCTGTTTTGCGGCTCTTATAATCTTTCAGAAAGATTACAAAACCAGATAAACGGGCATCCACACTATACTGTGATAATGGCTATGACAGACAAAGAAGAGAACGATGCAGAAGTAACTTGGGGTCAACCGCGTGGGGTGGCACGTGCCTGTAGCCCCAGCTACTTGGGAAGCTGAGGTGGGAGGATCCTTTGAGCCTGGGAGGTCCGGGCTGCAATGATCCCTGATTGTAACACTGCATTCCAGCCTGAGTGACAGAGTGAGACACTGTCTCAAAAAAAAATTTAAAAAAAAAGCAACTAGGACGTCACTAGAACTGAACACTGGAGGAAAGACAGGAAGGATTGACGTCAAGGAAGAGCTCTGGGGAGGTAATGTTCAAGAAGCCAGCCGAGAGGAGAGCAGAAGCAAGATAAGCACGTGTGTGATGGGAGGCAGCAGGAGACAAAGAGAGGAGGGGAGAAGGGTATGAAATCTCCAGCAGGCCGGGCGCATTGGCTCATGCCTGTAATCCCAGCACTTTGGGAGGCCGAGGTGGGCAGATCATCTAAGGTTAGGAATTCAAGACCAGCCTGGCCAACGTGGCAAAACCCCGTCTCTACTAAAAATATAAAAATTAGCCAGGCATGGTGGCAGGTGCCTGTAATCTCAGCTACTCGGGAGGCTGAGGCAGAAGAATCACATGAACCCAGGAGGCAGAGGTTGCAGTGAGCTTAGATTGTGCCACTGCACTCAAGTCTGGTCAACAGAGTGAGAGTCCGTCTCAAAAAATAAAAAAATAAAAATAAATAAAAAAAAAAGAAATCTCCAGCAAAGGAACCACTTATATGAAACCTCAGAGGAAAAAGAGAGAAAGTGGTAGCCACTCTGGGACCCTCAAAAAAGGCCCCACCCAGCGAGAGGACAGACCTGATTGGTTGGAGGAAGGCAAGGGACGAGGCTGAGAAGCCATGACACAGACTTGACACTTGAAGCCAATTGCAATGGTTTGAATGTCTGTGTTCCCCCAAAATTCCTATGTTGAAATCCCAACTCCCAAAGGAATGGTATTAGGAGGTAGGTGGGGTCTTTGAGGGATGATTAGGTCAAGAAGGCAGAGCACATAGGAATAGGATTAGTGCCCCTATAAAAAAGGCCCCATAGACCTCCCTCACCCCTTCCGCACATGGGGATATAACCAGAGGTTGGTCCTCTGCACCCAAAAGAGGGCCCTCACCAGAACCCGGCCACATGCTGGCACCCTAATCTTGGACTTCCAGCCTCCAGAACTGTGAGAGAGAAATGGCAGTTGTTTGTAAGCCACCTGGTCTATGGTACTTTGTTACAGCAGCCTGAACAGACTGAGACACCACTGAAAGATCTTAAGTAAAGGGACGACAGGAACAGAGAGAACCGAGAAAGATTTTACAATGATCACTCTGGTAGAGTGTGGCAAAGGCAGGGAAGACTGGCAGCTGGAAACCAGCCCGGAAGCCGCTGCAGCTGCAGCAAACCAGGAGAGATAGACAGATGCAGCCCAATCTTAGAAGGAAGATGACAAGGCCAGGATTCAAACAGTACTTAGGAGAAGCTAATGTCAATGAATCCTATCAGATGAAGCATCATGTGCACCAATTCTTATGTATATAACAGTCCCTCTCTATCTATATTAGTTTAGTATTTCTTCTGTAAAAATGACTCTCCTGGCCAAGCACAGTGGCTCACGTCTATAATCCCAGCACTTTGGGAGGCCGAGGCAGGTGGATCACTTAAGGCCAGGAGTTTAAGACCAGCCTGGCCAACATGACAAAACCCTGTCTCTACTAAAAATAACAAAATTAGGTGTGGTGGCGGGCACCTGTAATCCCAGCTACTCAGGAGGCTAAGGCACAAGAATTGCTTGAACCCCGGAGGTGGAGGTTGCAGTGAGCCAAGATCGCACCACTGCACTCCACCCTAGGAGAAAGGGCGAGACCCTGTCTCAAAAAAAAAAAAAAGAAAAAGAAAAGAAAAGAAAAAAAAAAGACTATTCAAATAAACTTTAAGATACAAATTTCTAAAGGCTTTATAAAATGTATATGTCATGGCAATTTTTCCATTGCCATTTTCTTTTTTTTACATAATGGGGCGGGCGACTTGAAGGAGTGGGAGGAATGGGAAGTAAACTATTCCTTAGAAAGCCAAAAGTAAAAAGTGATTAGGGGCTGGTCATGGTGGCTCACGCCTGTAATCCTAGCACTTTAGGAGGCCAAGGCAGGAGGAATTGTTTGAGCAGTTCGAGACCAGCCTGGGCAACATAGCGAGACCCCGTCTCTATAAAAATTAAAAAATAGGCCAGGCACGATGGCTCACGCTTGTAATCCCAACACTTTGGGAGGCCAAGGCAGGTGGATCACCTGAGGTCAGGAGTTCGAGACCAGCCTGGCCAACATGAAGAAACTCCATCTCTACTAAAAATACAAAAATTAGCTGGGCGTGGTGGCACATGCCTGTAATCCCAGCTATTCGGGTGGCTAAGGCAGGAGAATCACTTGAACCCAGAAGGCAGAGGTTGCAGTGAGCTGAGATGGCACCACTGTACTCCAGCCTGGGCAACAAGAGCAAAACTCCATCTAAAAAGTAATTAACTAATTAATTAATTAAAAAATAATAAAATAAAATTTTTAAAAAGTGATTAGGAAAGAAGGAGGCTAAAAAGAGGAGAGAGAAACAGCAGCTAGTTCTCCTAAGCTAGTGTCAAAGTGGAAGCCATTAAATTTCTTTAACATATAAATGGATCTTTTTACTCATTATACAAAGTTTTTGCCATTTAAGTCAAGATGATAAGACTTGCTTAAACAATGATATACTCATACTGAATATCATTAAATATAAATGTGAGATAGATATATAAATATACGTATCCAACTGGTAACAAGTGGGATTTCAGGGAGGAGGAATCTGCTTTCTGCATTTTAGATTTATGCTTTATTTTGTTTTGTTTTGTTTTTTGGAGACAGGGTCTCAATCTGTCACCCAGGCTGGAGTGCAGTGGCGCAATTATAGCTCACCGCAGTATCAAACTCCTGGGCTCAAGTGATCTTCCTGCCTCAGCCTCCCAATTAGCTGAGACTACAGGCGCATGCCACCACACCCGGCTAACTTTTTAAGTTTTTTTTATAGAGATGAGGTCTCCCATTGTTGCCCAGGCTGGTCTTCAACTCCTGAGCTCAAGCAACCCACCTGGCTCAGCCTCCCAAAGGGCTGGGATTACAGGCGTGAACTACTTCGCCTGGCTTATGCTTTGTTTAAATGTTTTACTCTAAACATGTACTACTTCCGTTCTTATATGGAAGAATATACTCAAGCTATATAAGATAACTACGCCTCTGTTATTCCACAATACTGAGTTTCCAAAACAAATAATCACTGTTTGCTAGCTATCATTCCTCCATGTTAGAGAGGGGAATATAGTATTTTAAAAAATCTAGATTCCATTCCAATGCTAAAGGGAAAAAATGTCCTATTATTTTCCTGTTAGGCAATTACGACGTACTTAAACGAGCATGACAAGCATGCTCATTCATCTGAATGTGCAAAGCCTACTTTCAGAAATGTGCCTTAAACCTACATGTAGAAAACAGCTTACACAGGCCAGGCACAGTGGCTCATGCCAGTAATCCCAGCACTTTGAGAGGCCAAGACGGGCAGATCACCTGAGATCAGGAGTTCGAGACCAGCCTGGCCAACGTGGTGAAACCCCGTCTCTATTAAAAATACAAAAATTAGCTGGGCATGGTGGCGGGAGTCTGTAATCCCAGATACTCAGGAGGCTGAGGCACAAGAATTGCTGGAACGGTGAAGACAGAGGTTGCGGTGGGCCGAGATCATGCCACTGCACACCAACCTGGGCGGCAGAGGGAGACTGTGTCTCAAAAAAGGAAAAAAGAAAACCGTTTACACAGCAAGCCTGGCTGCTGCCCTTGGAAAGGCCTGCTACAAGATTGAGACTTGACTGGCTTCTGGAAACTCTGATTTTGGGAGGGTTCCCATCATTCCAAGAACTGATAGGAGAAGCTCACTGTGCTGAAAGTGTCTGTACAGACAACATGGTTTCTGCTGCATGCTTTCCTTCTGGGAGGCTGGCATTTTGGGAAGTGCTAAGAAGAGGGTGCCTACGTGACCAGCCCCCAGTAAAAACCTTGGGCTTCAAGTCTTCAATGAGCTTCCTTAGTAAATGGCAGTTTGCATGTATTATCACAACTCACTGGACTCTACCAGGGGAGAGCACTTAGAAGCTTGCGCCTGGTTACTCCTAGACTTCACCCTGCACGACTTTTCCTTGGCTGATTTTGCTTTGCATTGTCTGGCTATAATAAATCTTAGCTATGA